>NC_000018.10:29036206-29661206 GCF_000001405.40 Homo sapiens | reverse complement strand
CATATTTTAGCAGAGCTCATTCATTCACGCAAATGTTATATAATTATTAGATTTAAATCATAAGAAACTAACCTGGACTTTAATTCATCTGATATCTGTTTGTACACAGTTCTCAAACAACTCAAAGCCCAAGTCTAATCCAAAAATAGTAGTGTTTTTAAAAAATAGCTACAATGCCAAGTCACTACATAAGAATATAATAATATCCTGAAAGTGTCATGTACTATTTAAATGTCACCTTCTAAAAATACTACTAGATGTCTGTTATGGAGTTCATTCCTCATGAAATAGAAAAGATAAGCAAGTTCAACTTGAGCTTAGGAGAATGTCAGTCACTGATTTTCACTTTAGAGATGAAGAAACCACGGCAGGTAGCATATCAGTAAGAGAAATAGAAACCTGGTTTCCAGCACTATGGAGAGATAGCCTGCATAACTAGGGGAAATGTTTGCATTATCAATCCCGTCAATGCCTATTAAAATAAAATGTCTTTACCTGACTTTGGTGGAATCAATTACTCTGGATACTATATAACTATCACTTAATATATACATTTTTTGTTGAGTACTTAGAGTGCATGAGACACTGTATTTGCAGCACTAATGTACATTATATAACTTGCTTATTACTATATAAATGTAAAGGGAATATTACTCACATTTTATAAGTAAGAAAAAAAGGCATAAAGAGAAAGAATATTGAAGGTCACTTGACTTGTAGGAGAAAATTTGGACCAAGGTCTTCTGATACTTTGTCCTATAATCTTCATATTATGTTTTATAGTTGTTTGTTTCTTTGTTGAAATTGACTAATAAAAAAACGCCATTATGGAATTCCTAATAAAGTGGAGAGTTGATATATCAAGGGATATTTTATTAATATTTTTATTGGCTTTTCCTGGTTACTTTAATTATCTAACATATTAAAAAGTATAATTATATAGTGAATAATTTGTTTTTCCATTCCTTTTATTGATATGTTCTATCATTTTTTTGACAATTTTTGTTCCCATTTTTTTCCACCTTCTTCATGATGCACATAATATAATATCATTACTGGAGCACCAAATTGATACCACTAATAAAGATATGTCATTTATCCATTTGTAACTTATAAAACAATTAATACATGTCGAGATGTGACAAAGTGAAATAGTGAGAAAACAGTGTGCCTGCTCTGATAGTGCCTACTGCAGAGAGATGGAGACAAAATAACAGCAAAATTAAATTTAATATTGCAACCATTGTAAGCTTTGTGAATGAGATGAACTGATGATAGTAAATTACAAGGTGCTATAGTCTGAATGTCTGTATCTCCAGAAAACTTATATTGTGAAATCCTAACCCCTGTTGTGATGTTATTTGGAAGTGGTACTGTCAGGAGGTAATTAGGTCATGAAAGCAGAGACCTATGAAAGGAATTCACACATTTATGAAAGAGGTCCCAGAGAGATCCCTTGCCCTTTCTGCCAGGTAAGAACACAGTGAAAAGACATGCTCTTTATGAACCAGAAAACAGGCCTTCGTAAGATATTGAACCTACTACCACCTTGATCTTAGATTTCTCAGACTCTAGGACTGGGGGAACAAATTTCTGTCATTTATAAACAGTCTATAATAGTTTGTTATAGCAACCCAAATGAACTAGGACATACAGAGAACCTCTTCCCTTTTTTAATGGATCAAGAATACTTAATTGTAGAAATGATGGAGAACATAAGGATGAGAAGAATTATTTTTAATTTTTTTTTAATTTTGGGGGGTACATAGTAGGTAAATATGTTTATGGGGTACATGAGATATTTTGATACAGACATACAATGTATAATAATTACATCAGGGTAAATGGAGTATCTGTCACCTCAAGCATTAATCCTTTGCGTTATAAAAAAATCCGATTATATTATTTTAGTTATTTTAAAAGGTACAATTAAATTATTGTTTATTGTAGTCACCCTGTTGAGCTATAAAATATTAGAATTTATTCATTCTTTCTAAGTATCTTTGTATAGTCACTAACCATCCCCATCCCCCACCCCCATACATACACATACACACTCCCACTGCCCTTCCCAGCCTCTGATAACCATCATTCTACTCTATCTCCATGAGTTCAATTGTTAATTTGTAGCTCCCACAAATGACTGAGAACTTGCAAAATTTGTCTTTTTGTGCCTGGTGTATTTCACTTAAAATAATGCTGTCAAGTTCCACCCATGTTGTTATAAATGGCAGGGTCTCGTTCTTTTTAATGACTGAATAGTACTTCAGTGTGTATATATATACCACATTTTCTTTATCCATCTGTCTGTTGATGGATATATAGGTTGCTTCCAAATCTTGGCTATTGTGAATAGTGCTTCAATAAACATGGGAGTGCAGATATATTTTAGATATACTGATTTCCTTTTTTTTGAGTATATACCTAGCAGTGGGATTCCTGGGTCACATGGTAGCTAAATTTTTAGATTTTTGAGGAAACTTCCAACTGTTCTTCAAGGTGGTCATACTAATGTACATCACACCAACAGTATACAAGAGTTTTCTGTTTTCTTCACATCGTCATCTGCATTTGTTATTGCCTGTTTTTTGGAAAAATGCCATTTTAACTAAGATGTGATGTAACGTCATTTTGGTTTTAATCTGCATTTCTCTGATGATCAATAATGTTGAGTAATTTTTCATATACTTGTTTGCCATTTGTATGTCTTTTGATAAATGTCTATTCAGATGATTTTCCCATTTTTTAATTGGATTATTAGTTTTTTTTCCCTATACAGTTGTTTGAGCTACTTATAGATTCTGATTATCAATCCCTTGTCAAATGGATAGTTGGCAAATATTTTCTCCCATTCTTGGGGTTGTCTCTTCACTTTTTTGACTGTTTCCTCTGCTGTGGAGAGGCTTTTTAACTTTATGTGATAATATTTGCCCATTTTTGCTTTGATTGTCTGTGCTTGTGGAATATTACTCAAGAAATGTTTGCCCAGACCAATGACTTGGAGAGGTTCCTCAACATTTTCTTTTAATAGTTTCATAGTTTCAGGTCTTATATTGAGTCTTTAATGCATTTTAATTCAATTTCTGTATGTGGCAAGAGATAAGGGTCTAGTTTCATTCTTCTGCATGTGGATATCCAATTATTTTCCCAGGACTATTTATTGAAAAGATTGTCCTTTCTCCAATATACGTTCTTGGCATCTTTGTAGAAAATGAGTTCACTGTAGATATATGGATTTGTTTCTGAGTTCTCTGTTCTATTCCATTGGTGTATGCGTCAATGCCATGCTGTTTTGGTTAATATAGACCTGTAGTATAATTTGTAGTCAGGTAATGTGATTTCACCAGCCAAGCCCTTTTTGCTCAGAATAGCTTTGCTATTCCTAGTCTTTTGTGGTTCCATATATATTTTATCATTGATATTTTGATGGAGATTGCTTTGAATTTGTGTTGGGTAGTATGTACACTTTTACAATATTTAATATACAATATTTATTCTTCCAATTAGTGAACATGGAATATCTTTCCATTTTTTTGGTGTCTTCAATTTCTTTCATCAGCATCTTATAGTTTTCTTTATAGAGATCTTCCCCTTTCCTATGTATTTTACTTTATTTGGGGCTATTGTAAATGAAATTACCTTCTTGATTTTTCAGTTTTCTCACTGTTGTTATATAGACATGGTACTGATTTTTATATGTTAAGTTTATGTCTTTTACTTTACTGAATTTATCAGTTCTAATAGTTTTCTTCTGTCTTCTTTAGGTCTTTCAAAATATGAAATAATATTATCTGTAAACAAGGATAATTTGACTTGTTCCTTTCCAATTTGGATGCCTTTTATTTCTTTCTCTTGTTTGAGGGCACTAGCTAGGATTTTCGGCACCGTGTTGAATAACAATGGTGAAAGTGTCATCCTTGTTATGTTCCAGGTCTTAGTGGAAAGGCTTTTAGTTTTTCCCCATTTAGAATAATACTAGCTGTGGGTCTGTTGTATATGGCTTTCATTATGTTGAGGTATGCTCTTTCTATACCCAGTGTTTTGAGGGTTTTTATAGTGAAGAGATGTGGAATTTTAATATAAGCTGTTACAGCATCAACTGAAATGAGTATATTGTTTTTATCCTTCGAGCTGTTAATATAATGTGACAATCAAGGAGTCACATTGATTGGTTTGCCTGTGCTGAACCATCCTTACATCACTGGGATAAACCCCATTTGGCCATGATGAATTATCTTTTTAATGTGTTGTTGAATTTGGTTTGCTAATATTTTGTTGAGGATTTTTGCATCAATGTTCATCAGAGATATTGACCTGTAGTTTTCGTTTTTTTGTTGTGTCTGTCTAGTTTTGGTATCAGGATAATATACTGACCTTGTAGAATGACTTTGGAAATATTCCCTCTTCCTCTATTTTTTGAAATAGTTTGAGTAGAATTAGTACTACTTAATCTTTACATTTTGGTCAAATTCAGCACTTAGACTACTGGGTCCTGGGCTTTTCTTTGGTGGGACACTTTTTATTATAGCTTCCATCTGCTTACTTGTTAATGGTCTGTCAGGTTTTGGATTTCTTCATGGTTCGGTTTCAGTAGGTTGTATGTGTCTAGGAATTATCCCATTTCTTCTAGATTTTCCAAATTATTGACATATAGTTGTTAATATTAGCATCTAATGATCCTTTGAATTTCTGTGTTATCAGTTGTAATGTCTCTTGGACGATCTGGCCAATGTCGAAAATAGGATGTCGAAGTCTGCAGCTATTACTGTATTGCAGTTTATCTCTCTTTTTAGCTCCAGTATATTTTGCTTTATATATCTGTGTGTTCATGTCTTGGGTGCATATATATTTAAAACTGTTATATTGTCTTGGCTAATTGACCTTTTTATCATTATATGGTGACTTTCTTTGTCTCTTCTTATTGACTTTGTCTTGATATCTATTTTGTCTGATATAAGTATAGCGACTCCTACTCCATTTTGTTTCCATTGGCATGAAATATCTTTTCCCATCCCTTTATTTTCCATCCATGTGTGCCTTTATAGGTGTAGTGTGCTTCTTGTAGGCAACAAATCAGTTGAGTCTTGTTTTTATCTATTCAGCCAGTCTATGTCTTTTGATAGGAAAGTTTATTTCATTTTACATTCACTGGTATTATTGATAAGTGAGGACTTACTCCTGCATTTTGTTATTTGTTTTCTGGTTGTTTTTTGGTCTTCTCTTCCTTCTTTCCTTCCTTTCTGTCTTCTTTTCAGTGAAGGTGATTTTCACTGGTGGTATGTTTTAATTTCTTGCATTTTATTTTTTGTGTGTCTTTTGTATTGTTTTTGATTTGAGGTTACCATGAGAGCCTTGCAAATAATATCATATAATCCATTATTTCAAATTGATGACAACACTGATTGCATGAACAAACTAGCAAATGGGCAAATAGAAAACTAATAAAAATTTTACACTTTAACTCTTTGTCCTCTCATTTTTACTTTTTGTTCTTTCTATTTATGTGTTCCTATCTTATACTATGTCTTGAAAAGTTATTGTAGTTATTATTTGGAATCAGTTCATCTTTTAGTCTTTCTAATTAAGGTATGAGAAGTTTATACACCACAATTACAGTGTTATAATATTCTGTGTGTTTACTATTACCAGAAGTTTTTAACCTTCAGATGATTTCTTATTGCTCATTAACAATGTTTTCATTTAGATTGAAAAAAAAAAACTTCCTTTGGCATTTCTTGTAGGATAGGTCTGATGTTGATGAAATCGCAGCTTTCTTTTTTCTTTGTTTGAGAAAATTTTTACTTCTCCTTCATGTTTGAAGGATGTTTTTTGCTGAATATACAATTCTGGGGTAAAAGTTTTTTCCTTCAGCACTTTAAATATGTCATGCCGCTCTCTCTTGGCCTGTAAGGTTTCCACTGACAAGTCTGCTGCCAGAGGTATTGGAGCTTCATTGTATGTTATTTGTTTTCTTTCTGTTACTGCTTTTAGGATACTTGCTTTATTCTAGACATTTGGAAATTTGATTATTAAATAGCTTGAGGTAGTTTTCCTTGGGTTAAATCTGCTTATTGTTCTATAACCTTTTTGTACTTGAATACTGATATCTTTCTCTAGGTTTGTAAAATTCTCTGTTACTAACCCTTTGAATAAACTTTGAACCTCTCTCTCTCTTTACCTTCCCTTTAAGACCAAAACCTCTTAGATTTGCCCTTTTGAGTTTATTTTCTAGATCTTGTAGGCATGCTTTATCCCTTTTTATTTATTTTTTTGTTGTTGTTTCCTGATACAGTTTGTACATTTGTCCTCACCCAAATTCATGTTGAATTGTAACACCAACCATTGGTGTTGGAGCTTGGTGGGAGATATTTGGGGTGGATTTCCCATGGCTTGGTGCTCTCTTTGTAATAGTGAGTTCTCATGAGATCTGGTTGTTTAAAAATGTGTAGCACCGGCCGGGCACTGTGGCTCACACCTATAATCCCAGCACTTTGGGAGGCTGAGGCGGGTGGATCACAAGGTCAGGAGATCGAGACCATACTGGCTAACACGGTGAAACCCCATCTCTACTAAAAATACAAAAAATTAGCCAGGCATGGTGGCGGGCACCTGTAGTCCCAGCTACTCAGGAGGCTGAGGCAGGATAATGGCCTGAATCCAGGAGGTGGAGCTTGCAGTGAGCCGAGATGGCGCTACTGCACTCCAGCCTGACAGAGCAAGACTCTGTCTTAATTAAAAAAAAAATGTGTAGCACCTCCTCTCTCTCTCCCTCTTGCTCCCACTCTGGCTATGTTATGTGTCTGCTCCCATTTTGCCTTCTGCCATGATTGAAAACTCCCTGAAGCTTCACCAGAAGCTGAACAGATGCCAAAACCATGCTTCCTATAAAACCTGCAGAACTGTCAGCTACTTAATCCTCTTTTTAAATAAATTACTCAGTCTCAGGTATTTCTTTATAGCAATGCAAGAATAGCCCAACACATTTCCTCTGACTGTGTATTTTCAAATGAGATCATAAGCGTTAAGAGTGGTATAACCATAGACTGGCTGTGTATTTTCAAATAGCCTGTCTTCAAGCTCACAGTTTTTTCTTTCTGCTTGATTAATTCTGCTATTAAGAAACACTAATGTATTCTTCAGTATGTCTCATGCATTTTTCAATGCCAGAGTTTTTGCTCAATTGTTTTCAATTATTTTAAATTATCTCTTCATTAAATTTATCTGATATGATTCTGAATACATTCAGAATCGTGTGTTATTATGAATTTTATTGAACTTCTTCCAAACAGCTGTTTTGAATTCTCTGTCTGAAAGATTGCATATTTTTGTCTTTCCAGAGTTTGTCCCTGGTGCCTTATTTAGTTTGTTTGGGGATGTCATATTTTCCTGGATGGTCTTAATGCTTATAGATGTTTGTTGGTGTCTGAACCTTAAATAAGTATTTACTTTAGTCTTTGCAGTCTATTATTGTGTCTACTCATCCTTCTTGTTAGGGCTTTTCAGGTATTCAAAGGGACTTTTGTGTTGTAATCTAAGTTTTAGGTCACTGAAACCATATATGCATTAGGGGCACCCCATGCCCAGTACCCTGTGGCATTTGCAGACCCATAGAATTACCATCTTTGTGGTCTTGAATAATATCCAAAAGAATTATCTGAAATGACCAGGCAGAGACTCTTGATCTGTCACTTACTTTCTTCCAAACAAACAGAGTCTCTCTCTCTTTCTCTCTCTCTCTGTTCTGAGCTTCCTGGAGCTGAGGGAAGGTTAAAATGAGCACCCCTGTGGCCACCCCACTGGGAATATGCTGGGTCAGACCTGAAGCCAGCATAGCACTGGGCCTTGCCCAAGGCCTTCTGTAACCACCTGCCTACCACCTGCCTACCACCTATATTTTCTCAAGGCCTTGTGGCTCTATGGTCAGCCTCTGGTCAAGCCAGTCAGGACTGTGTCCCTCCCTTCAGGACATCACTTTCACCTAGGGTCCTGGGTGTGTCCAGAGATGCCATCTAGGAGCCAGGTCCTGGAGTCAGAAACCTTAGGAATCTACCCGACACTCTATTGTATTGCAGCTGAGCTGGCTCCCAAGCCACAAGGCAAAGTCCTCCCCACTGTTCCTTCCCCTTTTCACAGGCAGAGGAGTCTCTCTCCATGGCCACCACAACAGGCTCACGGGGAGTACTGCCAGATTACAGTTGACATTCACTAAAAGCCCAAGGGCTCTTCAGTCAGCTTGTGGTGAATGCTGTCAGGCTTGTGACTCACCTTTCAGGGCAGTGGGCTCTTCTCTGGCCCAGGGCAGTTCCATAAATGCCATCCAAGGGCCCAAGACCTGGTATTGGTGACCCTAAGAGCCTGCATGGTACTTTATTCCACTGTGGCTGAGCTAGGACCTAAACTACAAGGCAAAGTCCTCTTTATTCTTCCCTCTCCTCTCCTGAAGTGGAAGAAAAGTATCTCCTTTAGAGCTGTTAAGTGTGCTGCCTGGAGTTGGGGGAGAGGTGGTGTAAGCACTCCCTTGGCTGCCCTGGTTGGTGTCTCACTAGATAACCTGCCCCCAAAGTTCACTTGCTCTGAGCCCAGCACAGCACTATGTTATGCCTAAACGTTATAGTTCCTGTGGGCTAGACTTTCAAGTTTATTTAGAACCACACAGCTCTTTAGCACACAGTGGCTAAGCTTGCTGAAACTCTCTGAGATGGACAGTTCTGCTCTGGCTAGGATGGTCTTAATGTTCTTTCCACGGGAGTCAGCTGAGTTTTGCCTGGTGTTTCTTTTTGCTGTGACAGGGCAGCACTGAGTTTCAATGCAAAGCCCCACATTCACTGCATTCTCCCTCCCCCAAATGCACAGATTCTCCATGCCACACTGTTGCTGCTGGGGGATGGCACAGGGGTGTTGTCAGCAATTCAAGACTGTTTTTTTTCTATCCTCTTCAGTGCCTCTTTCAGTGTTATGCAATTAAAACAAGGTACTGTGACCATGCACCTGATTTTTGGTTCTCGTGAAGGTGCTTTTTTTGTGTAGATGATTGTTAAATTTGGTGTCCCTGCAGGGAGGACAAACCATGGAGGCTTTTATTCAGTCATCTTGCTCCACCTACTTTTAAAAAATTCTAAGGAGTTAAAATGGAGTAAATTAAGAGAAGGAGAAAGAGGAGCATTTCAAAGTGATATTAGTTTATACAAGAACTTGGGTTGTGAGTAGGTATTGGACAATGCTATATATTAAGAAATGAAAAATATCTATGTGATGTCTGACATGGAAGATGAGAAGATATGTAATGTAAGATCGCATTCAACAGACAGGTATGGCTAAGGGACTACAAAATATAGATTAGAATTGTGGCTTTATAATTGAAAAGTATTATAGAAGGTGAACATTTTTGCATGCTATTTATTTTTCCTATTTAAGATATACTATGTTGTAAGAAAAACTTATTTAACAAAGATCAGAATGTATGTGGGTAGTTAGAATTATACTGACTTAGTCAATTATGGTAGGGTGGGCTACCTTGGCATTAAATCAGAGACTGTGAAAGGTACAAGGTGCAATCTAACAAGTTAGCTTGCACATTTCACATACATGCGCGCGCACACACACACACACACACACACACACATATTTTAACAGAAGAAATGATTCTTCCTGAATCAGACAGACAGGAATTTTATTACTCAGAGCAAAATGCAGTAGTCAGAGCAATACCTTAGTTTTGATTTCCTAAACCACCATACTAATTGGGTAATGTGGTGAGGGCCAGATATTTCCCTGAATATGCAGTGGGTATTGCCACAGGAGAGGAACTCTGAAGTCAGCAGACCCAGTTTATATAAGGCAACTAGCACTTCTGCCCATCCTCCTCTCCAGAGAAAGAGAAATGCTTATTCAGCAAATCTCCTCTAGGGAAGAGAAAACTGTCAGTACCCTTATTACCCTGGAATGTAAGCAAATATTTCCAAGGAGAGAAAAGTAGGGCTCTATGGCTTATCATATTCTCAGGTGTCTATCTTTAGGGAGACACTATTTATAACTTTTAAAGCTTTCTGTTATGCAATAATTCTTGTAATACCCTTTTTCCCAGAAGATTTGCAAAATGGCTAAAATTATAAAAAATTATCTCCCAACTTTATGTCCCAAAGATATTTGTATAAGTGGAAGGTGACTTAAGTAACCTTGAACAATCATAAAATAGATCTCTGAGAAAGAAGAACAAAGTACAGATGAATTATGTCATGTAAAAGTGTAAATCAGATCATGAGTATAGCTTCAGATAACTGTTAGTTGCCTGAGAAAGGAGGGGTTGTTTCTGTTATCTATTGCTGCATAACAAACTACCCAAAACTTAGGGCTTAAATCAACCCATGATTTTGCTTGGCATTTCATAGAAAGGCTCATCTACATGGTTTCTGACTGACCTACCAGGCATCTACTGACGTAGCTAAGGATGAAGTCTCTACTTCCAAGATAGCTCTGTCTTTCATATTTTTGATTCTTTAAGACTCTCTGGCCTCTCTTTTTGCCTGGTGTCTCATTCTCCAGGTCTCTCCGTGTCACTTTGTTTTTTTATGGTGTGGTCGTCTCAATGTAGATTTCCAGCATGAAGGGTATTTCTCTCAAAATAAGCATTCCGTTGAGAGTTTCTCAATGGGAAGATTATACAGAATGCGTGATCCTCTTCTATTTACTGCATTGTTTATAAAATAATACTTCTGTGAAGAAGAGTGTATTAATTTTTCATTGCTGCCATAACAAGTAATCATACATTTAACAGTGTAACACAGAAATATTTATTATATTACTGTGGTATAAGTCAAACTTCCAGGGAGGCTTAATCAGTAATATACTTATGGTCTTACAAGGCCAATATCAAGGTGTCAGTTGGACTGAGCTCTTATTTGGACGATTTAGGGGAGAATTTACTGCCATTTTTATTCAGCTTTTCAAAATAATTTACTTCCTTCTCATGTCTTGCATGTGTCCCTAGGCCAGCAAAGGCATTTAAAATCTCCATAGCATTCTCTCATGCTAAATCTCTCTGACTTGCTCCTCTACCCTCGACTGGGTGAAAGCTCTGCTTTTCTCTGCTATCAGGGGTTTATGATATGACCTGGAACCCTCCCCTCATGCAGGTAATCTAGGAAATCTCCCTATTTTAAGATCAATTTATTAGTAACTGTACTGCTTTAAATAATGCCTTTTCAATATTAATGTCCGCCCAGAACCACAGAATGTAATCTTATTTGGAAATAAGTCCTGTTATGGACAGGATTTTTTTTCCCCACAAAATGCATGCATTGAAGCCTTAATGCCTAATGTAATGGTATTTTGGGGCAGGGTCCTTGGGATGTAACTGGGCTGAGATGCAGCCACGAGGGTGAGCCCTCCTTTTAAGAGGAGGAAGAGATCAGAGCTCTGTCTCTTGCCTTGGGAGGATAAAACAAGAAAGCAGCTAGGAAATGAGCCCAAACCAATAATCAAATCTGTAGGCACCGTGATCTTGGACTTCCAGCCTCCAGACTATGAGAAATAAATGTTTTTTGTTAAAGTCACCCAGTCTATGGTATTTTGTTATAGCAACCAGAGCAGAGAGAAACACAACCTTTGCAGACATAATTAGTAAAGTTAAGATGAGGTTACATGGAATTAGGGCATACCCTAAAGTCAATATAACTGTTGTTTTTAGGAGAAGGGTAGAGGACACACAGACACAGACAGACACAGAATGGAGAAGGCCATGTGACAACCAAGGCAGAGATGAAGAGTTGCAGTTGCAAGCCAAAGAAAACGAAGGATTGCCAGCAACCAGAATCTAGGAAAAAAAAAAGAAAAGTGGATTTTTCCTAGAACCTTCAAAGGCCCTATGATCCTACCAAAACATTGACTTCAAACAGCTAGTCTCCAGGACTGGGAGAATACATTTCTATCGTTTTAAGCCACAAAATTTATGATAATTTTTTATGGCAACTAGGTTTGTAGTCATTTGTTATAGGAAGCTAGGAAAAGAACATAGTAACCTTAATTACATCTGAAAAGTCCTTTTTGGCATGTAACATAACATATTCATTAACATGATACCAGTGTGCAAAGTTCATGGGGCCAAAATCCTCACTACTGAACTCTACTCCCTGACCCCCATGATCCACATCTCTCTCAAATAAAAGATATATTTATCCCTTCCTGTATTAGTTTATTTTCACACTGCTATGAGGAAATACCTGAGACTGGGTAATTTATAAAGGAAAGAGGTTTAATTGACTCAGAGTTTCACATGGCTGGGAGGGCCTCAAGAAACTTACAATCATGGTGGAAGGCAAAGGGGAAGCAGGGCACCTTCTTCACAAGGTAGCAGCAGAGAGAAGTGAAAGCAGGGGAAATGCCAGATGCTTATAAAACCATCAGATCTCGTGAGAACTCCCTCACCATTATGAGAACAGCATGGGGGAAACTGCTCCCATGATCCAATCCAATCACTACCCACCAGGTCCCTCCCACTACACGTGGGGATTATGGGAACTAAAAATTCAAGATGAGATTTGGGTGGGGACACAGCCAAACCATATTACTTTCCAAGGTCCCAAAAAGCCACATTATAGCATTAGCTCAAAGTTCAAAATCTTAGGTTGGTGCAAAAGTAATTGTAGTTAGCCATTTCTCACCATCTGTAGGCCTTTGAACCTAGGGAAACAGATTATCTGCTCACAAGACTCCTAACATATAATGGTGAGACAGAAAAAACATAACAATGGTAGATACTCTGGTTCAAAAGGAGGAGAAATGCAAGGAAAAAGGGGTCACTGATCCAAAACTATTTTGAAATGTAGCCATACAAACTTCACTAAGTATCTAGGCAAGAAAATGGACCTCCTTGGCTTTCGTTCCACCCACATGGCTCTAAGTTCAGTCTTCTGAGTTCTCAACTCAACCCTGAGTCATGCTCCCTTTTTCATGAACATAGGCACATGTTTGCAGCTTGCTAGTTATATCAGACTGCTTCTTGTCAGTCGAAATTTGGTGGCCCAGAAATCTTCACTTAATATTTGGCTTGTCCTTTAAAGTCTAAGCTAGCAATCTTTCTGCTGATATAAAAATATCAAGAAACTTGTGAGTTTTGCATAGACTCAACAAGGGATAACTGTATTAGAAAAAGACTCCTCCACAGACCTTTCTTAGATAATCCCTTCTTTACTCTTGACTTCTGATGAAAAGAGTGATATACCCTTAAAATACCTAGAGAGCCTCTGGTTTCATTGAGAGGATCTGTGGGTCACTACACTTAATGTTTTCAAAGAGCATTTTGCGTGAAGAGTACTCTGACCTATATTGATGTTTCTGCTGGTTAAAAAAATATTGCATTGCCACATACTCAGGTTTTTCTCTATGTCACACTTTCTGAAGCAGTCTCTTAATTTTAGTCTTTTTTGCCATATGGATAGACTGAAAATTTCTCAAATTATCAAGTTCTGCTTCCTTTTTGTTTAACAGTTTTCCCTCCATTAGTCTCTATTCTTTCCCACTTTACTATGAATAACATTTTCATAATTTTGAAAATCTTCTGAGCTAAATATCTATGTCCATTTCTTATAAATGTTGTTTTTGAAAGCACTATAGGGCACAATTTTTTTTCGAAGCATTCTGAAACCATATAACAAAGATTCCTTTTGTGACAATTTTCAATAATAAATATCTGACTTCCATCAGAGCCCTCACTAGCAAGAACTTCACCATCCATTTTTCTTCTTGCATTCTGTTCAAGGCAATCTAAACTTCTACTGATAGGCTTTTCCAAATTCTCCCTGCCTACTCCCACTTACCTGTTACAATGCCACTTCCATATTTTTCGGTATTTGTTATAGCAGCACCTTATCTTGATGTAGCTGTACTTCTCACAAGTAGGCTCAACTCCTGCAGAATGTACCATGACACTGAGCATTCCTCCATGGAAAGATTCACAAAGAATTTGTGGTATCTTTAATCTACCACTGTGTTTATAAAGGAAAATAATTTTGTGAGAAAGAGCGATTAGGCCTAAGAAAGCCAACTAATTTCAACTAATTTAAATAAAAATGTAACGGTTTTATCGAATCTAAATTAAGGTTGACATTTTAAAATACTCATTTACTAAAGCACACTGAATGGTACCTTTATTTGTAATTTGTTGTGAAATCATCCATTACTAATTGCAGTTAATATGAATTAAAATGTTTTTTAAAAGAAAGACTATGACTTAAGATTGGTGTAACTAATTCAGATTACATTCTCCTCAGTTATTTAAAATTAGTGAATGTCAGATTATACTCATATAGGTTTCCTCTTATTTGCCTTGTTGAAATTTAGTATATAATCCCACAATAATTTCTAAAAATCTTGTGATTTATTTAAACTTTATATTTTAAATGAGAAAACTAGAAAACAGAAATAATCTCTTAAAAGTCTCACAAAGATACACAAAGAAAGTAGTTTAATTATAATCAAAGGAAAGCATGAAAAGGTATGATATTACTTAACTTCTTCTCCTTTCAGTGAGAAGAAACTAAAGATTAGTTTTTGGTTCAAATGAAAGTTCAGTGCCATTTAATTTTCTAGTAAAAATATAAGTCCAGAAAATGAGGTCTGAAATCAAACATTTATGAAAGTTCAGTAGTAACCTAATTCAAAACTCAGGAGATAAAATCCTTGATATTCTCTACTGATTATTCTTGAGAAAGTTACTTTTATTCCTGAGGATTTAATAAATTTGAAGCAGTGTTTCTCAAAGTGGTGTCTGCTAAAAATCAGGTGTATCTTATATATGTAGATTTCTGATTTTTGAGTTTAAAAACAGAATTAAGTGGATATATACATTTGAGAAACATTAAAGTGTTAGTTAAATAGGCTTTCTCTTTCTTGTTAAATTACAATGTAATATAAGACGACAGAGTGACTTTTAATAATTTTTTTAATGATCTTTTTAAAAAGTTGGTAATGGAAATAAAGGAAGGAGAGAAAAGAAGTAATTTTTTAGAGATCTCATGAAGATGCCCAAGGAAAGGATAAATGTTCCGATGGAAATAAAGAAAAAGTAAAATATCAATGTACCATATATATTCCACATAAATGCACATATTACTTTATATAACAAATCATTCTATACTATATACCATATTTATATTAATTCTAATTCTACTAAAGTATAGTAATATAAATTTAGTAAATATAAATTTACACATAAATATAAAATATATATTAGTTATATGATTTATATCATATGAATATACATATACATAAGTTTTATTAATGTATGATTTATTTATATCTTATAAATATGTAAATATAGCATTCTACATAAAAATGGTACGTTGAATTACACTATGGTATAATTGGTATATAGTGTATTTATAAAGTTCTTTGTCTTGGTATATATGTTCCTGTGTTAACATAAATGTATCTTAACTATACTTTTTAATACTGGTTAAAATGACTTTGGCATGTAAGTGGAACTTACTCTGTTTATTAACATTGTTATATTGCAAACCCTGCACAGCTATTCTAAACTACTTAAAGTTTCATCTTCCTGTATCCCATTACTACAACCCTAGCTAGACTCTAAGACATTTCAACCTGTGTCAGAAATTGTGGATTGAAATGTAAAGCATATGTTTTTCTTAAAATCATTGTCACTTGTTCAACAAATATTAACAATCTACTATGAACCAAGACTATGCTACTTACTAAGATTAAGTGAATAAAAAATAAATACATAATTCTTACTCTCTTGGAAAGAAATTTTAATAAAGGATCCAGGTGATAAATAACTATGTATACAAGCAAATATGAAACAAAAATTGTGGTAAGTACTAACAAGGTGCTATTTTGGCATATAAGAGAGAACTAGATCAAGACAAATATCATTTGAAAGCTTTTAAGAAAGAGTTATGTTAGGTAAACTGTAAATATTTTACGATGAAATAATTAACAAAGAGAAAGAATATTGTAATATGAGGAAAGAGTTTCTGGGGAAGACTCAACCCAGAAGGTAACATATTCATTACTGAAATGAAACAAGGACAATTTGATCCAAAAGAAAGAAAACAAAAGGTAAAATAATGTAACATGAGTGTCAATAAATTTAACGATATCTAAATACTTTAGGCTCTTCATGTCCAAACTACAAGTTTTGAATTTAGATGAAGAACAAGGAGTAACTATTGAAGATTCTTTAGACAAGATATGATGGAAGCATGATCTAGGGACAGATAGTGGAGATGAATGAAGATTTAAGGTTTATTTAGAAATCAAGTATTTAAAACATAATAACTTTTCAAATATAAAGGTTTGGGTAGTGAGAGGAGTTAAGAATAACAGATTTCTGGCTTATGCAGTTGAATGAATGATGACACCATGCATCGTAACATCAAACATTAGAATTTGTGGGATTTACTTGTATTTTTTTCTTTGTGTTTACAAGTCCCACAAATTATAATTCCCACAAATTACAATTCCCACAATTACAATTACAGAGCATAGATAGATAGATGGATAGATGGATAGATAGATAGACATTTGACTTGTTTGAAGAAGGGTGATGCATTCATGTTTTAACACTGTTCAAAATACTTGTGAAGTATCCACATAAAAATGTCAATTAGGCACTTGGTTAGAATGTCTGGAACTCAAATTATATTGTGAACTGTTTTCTGGGTTTATAGTCTTGGGACAATGTCTCCTAAGTGGCATTTAAAATTGTGAATCATGGTGACATCACCATGAGATGATTCATATGAAGGAGTACTAGATATGGAAGTGGATAGGACCAAAGAGTGGAACATGAGAAAATGCTGCATTTAACAAAAGCTATATCTGTGTGTGTGTATTATAAATACTCCAAGTAATAAAATTTTTTTTATTTTTATATGGTACTTTAATACCAGATTTATAAAACTAAATTTACCATTTTTTCTATTTTTTAATCATCCTCTCTTTCTTCAATGCTTTATGTCTTTTTCATATGTGCTGTTATTATGGAATATTAAAGAATAATGTAACTTTGATGGTATTATTCTATAAGTAAATATTGTAAGACAGCAGCAGATACCCGAATTTGGAAATAATGATGAAAAACAACACTGAACAAAAAAAGAGGAGAGGGAATTAAAAGAATAAACATTGAAACGAGGTAGCTTTCATCGGTTGCAGAGTTAATTTCCAGTAATCCCATGACACTGGAGCAATCATAACATTTTATGTATTTATGCTGGAAAGTAGAATAAACAGGCAGCAAATTACAGCTAGCTGGTAGCTTCATGAAAGGCAGAAAAAGAAAAGTTCATAGCCCTTTGTAGAGAAATACAGCTTATTCCAAGGTCTGAAAGGTAAATTAAGATAATTGAACAGACGTAGACTTCAAAATGTATTAACAGTGGGTTTTCCAAGAATCAAGCTTTGCATAAAGCATCTAGAAAGTTTAGGAGGCAGATCACAAAGGGAATTCACCTCACAGTATTGCATGATCACACAAGACAAAATAATAACTATATAATTGTGTATCACATATATGTATACACATGCATATGTATATACATATGCATACATTATATATGTGTGTATATATACATAAATAGGTAGACATGTATGTATCTAATGTGCTGATAATTTTGCAAAATAAGATAGCCTAGAATTTCTCATATTCCACATTGGTCATGTACTATATGATACAATATATGATACATTAATATTTTCTTTTAAGTCTACTTCTCAGTATTAGTTTATGACAAAAGTACTGGGAAATTACCAGGAGCAAGCATAGGAGATTATGCCTAAACTATGAGGGAATGATTTATGAATGAATTACCTGGGGAAAATGTATTGCCTATTACAGTGTTATGGTGCTATAGCAAGTTGTTTATTATAAAGGAATAATTAAAATACACATGCTTTACAGTGTTAAAGTAATTAAAACTATTAACAGAGACTTCTAATTTCATTTCCCACATGTAAACAGCTTGGAAGTGGGAAGTGGTCACTTCTATCCTTACAATAAGAAAAAAAAATGAATAATCAGAAATATCTACAACTTTTCTTAGAGCTATCAGGAAACTCAAGTGACAAGGAAGGCCACCACTCAAAATTAGAAGGGACAGGTGTTCAGAGAGATAACACTAAGACATGCTTATATGGAGCAAAAGCTGCTGAAGCCATGAACTGGTATAATTGCTTAATTGGCATTTTGATAAGTTGGCAGGGGCTGAGTATGGACTAGCATAGAGTCAAAAACTCCTGGGAGCCCAGTCTTAAGGAGGCCCCACACTTCTGTGAGATTTACCTCCAGGATCCCCCCCAGGTACTCATGTAACAAAGGCCCATGCTCCAAGAGAAAGGATTTTGTCAAAATCTTATCCCAGTGAGTGGAATGTAATTTTTTCTCACATTGGGCCCCTTCAGCCTTGATGCCCCACCTGGGAAGAAAAAGAGTAGTCAACAGGGATCAGAACTTCAAGCACATATATTGGGAATGACATACCCTAGGAAGCAAGTGAGAGGCTGTACCACAGGAGGAACACTTCTAAAGGTTAAAGGTTCTAATGAAAAAAGTTGACATGTAAGAACAGATGGGTAGCATAAGCAGAGAGACTGAAACTCTAAGAAAGAAACAAAACGAAATACCGTAAATGAAAAACATCAAAACAAAAATGAGGCATGTCTTTGACGGACCCATCAGTAGACTGGACACAATGGACAAAGCCCACCACTCGCCCCCTCACCTAAAAAAGAAAAGGAAAGCTGTGAACTTGAAGATTAGTCAGTGACAACTTCCAAACCTGAAGTACAGTGAGGAAAAAGGAATGCCCAGAATATCCAACACCTAAAGGGCAATTAAAAAGGTATAAGCAAAATTAAAAAGGTATAAGGTATGCCTGATAGAGAAGAAGGGAAATTATATATATATATTTATTTATATATATATATAAGTTAAATTATATATATATTTGAAGTTACAGTTGCAGATAATTTTCCAAATATAATGACAGAAACCAAACCACAGATTAGGGAAATTTAAACACTACTAAAGCAGGATAAATAACAGAATACTAGCCATGTCTTGGCAAAATATGCACCTACATATATGATATTGAAATGCAGAAAATCAAAGACAAAGAGAAAGTCTTGAAAGAAACTGGGGATGGGTAGGGCAATTGAGAAAAGATGACAGCAATTTTACCTATTGAGAAACAGGAATAAGAATAGACTTTTTCACAAAGCATGCAAACAAGAAGAGTGGAGCCAATTATTTAGTGTTCAAAGAACAAAAAGAGCATCCTAGAATTCTCTATCTAGAAAAATTACACTATTTTATTTTATTTTTTATTTAAGATGGAGTCTTGCTCTGCTGCCCAGGCTGGAGTGTACAAACTTGGCTCACTACAACCTCCGCCTTTCAGGCTCAAGCGATTCTCCCACCTCAGTTTCCTGAGCATCTGGGACCACAGGTGCCTGCCACCATGCCTGACTAATTTTTGTATTTTTAGTAGAGACTGGGTTTCACCATGTTGGCCAGGCTGGTCTTGAACTCCTGACCTCAAGTGATCCACCTGCCTCGGCCTCTCAAAGTGCTGGGATTACAGGTGTGAGACACCGTGCACAGCCTCAGAAAATTACACTTCAAAAGTGAAGGAGAAATAAAGACTTTCTCAGACAAACAGAGAGTGAGCACATTCATCGCCCACAAACCTGCCCTGCATGAAATATTAAAAGAAGGCGGAAGGGAAAAGATGAAGCCCAGAAACATGGATCTACCATAAAGAAACAGTGTCGTAGAAGGAGCCAATAAAGGCAAGATTAAATAATCTATTTGTCTTACTCATTACTGATCTAAAAGAAAACTGTTTGTTTACAGCAAAATAGTAGCATTGTATTGGACCATTATATCGTGCCGATAAGTAAAAGGATATGACAGCAATATAGCAAAAGGGAAAAATTAGGAATACTCTTTGGTCAGAAACCTGCACTAAACATGAAGCAGTACAGTGTTAATTGGAAGTGGACTAAGATTAGTAAAAGCGAATATTTTAAACAACAGGACAATCATTTAAGAAGGATTAAAAGGTGATATGCTACAAGAAGAAATTAAATTGAATAACATAAATTGCTCAGTCAAAAGACAGGTTCACAAAAAGAAAAAAATTAAAAAATGGAAAAAATATAAAAAAGTTACAAAAATGATAGATATGAATACAAATATAACATTACTCACTTTAAATGTAAATTATTTTAACAAACTAATTAAAAGACAGAGATTTTGAGAGTGGCAGAAACAAAAAAGACCAAACTATGCATTTGTTAGAAACCAACTTTAAATGTAAAGACTCAGATTAAAATAAAGTAATGGAGAGACCATCCTGGCTAACACGGTGAAACCCCATCTCTACTAAAAATACAAAAAATTAGCCGGGCGTGGTGGCCTGGGCTTGTAGTCCCAGCTACTCTGGAGGCTGAGGCAGGAGAATGGCATGAACCCGGCAGGCGGAGCTTGCAGCGAGCGGAGATCATCGCACCACTGCACTCCAGCCTGGGCAACAGAGCAAGACTCTGTCTCAAAAAATAAATAAATAAATAAATAAATAAATAAATAAATAAATAAATAAAATTAAATAAATAAAGTAATGGAGAAAGCTGCATCATGATAACACTAATTTTTGTAAAAAGCAAAAGTAGTGCATTATTTCATTGGAAACTTCAACTTCCTTCTATCAGTAATCAACAGGTCATGAACGCAGAAATCCGTAAGGATATAAATGACATAAATAAAATTATTAATTCACTTGATCAAATTGAAAAATATTTCATCCAACAACAGAAGAATACACATTTTTCTGCAGCTCACATGAAGCACCACTAAGCCATGAAACACTAATCAACAATTAAAAAAACAGATATCATACAGTTTGTGTACTCAGAACACAAGTGAATTAAATTAGAACTCACTACCAGAAATATAAACTAAAACACCATCAAATATTTGCAAATTAAACAACATATTTATAAATAATATGTATATTAAAGAATAAGTCTGTCAAGAGTTTTAAATTATATATTAAACTAAATGAAAATGGAAATACAACTTATCACAATTTGTGGGATGCAGCCAAAGAAATGTTTAAAGAGAATATTACGGCAATAAATGTGTGTATTAGAAAAGAAGAATTTCTGAAAGTTAATAAATTAGTTCTTTGGAAACTAGAGAAAGATGAGCAAATTAAGCTTCAAGAATGGAAAAGATAAAAATAGAAGAGAAATCAGGAAAACAAAAGAAAATAAATGAAAAATAAATGAATCAAAATTGATCCTTGAAGAGAGCAACAAAATTGATATATTACTAGCCAGGTTAACCAAAAATGTGTATGTGAGAGACAGAGACAGAGAAGGCAAGTGCAGATGACTGATCAATATTACAAATGCAAGGAAGAAGAATCATTACTATTGATAACATGGCCATTGAAAGTATAAGAAAATAGTAAAAACAATTTTATGCCCACAAATTTGAAAACTTAGAAAAACATCCCAAATTTTCACCTAGCAAAGCTCACACAAGGAGAAGCTGATTACCTGAGTAGCCTATTTCTGTTGAAGAAATTACATTACAAATCCTCTAAACGAACAAAAAAAAAAAAAAAAAAAAAAAAAAAAACAACTACTAGGCCCAGAGGTATGCATTGACAAATTCTACCAAACATTTAAAGAAAAATACCAGTTCTCCAGAATCTCTTCCAGAAAAGAAAAGCAGAGGTAACATTTTTATCTCAGTCTATAAGGTCAGTATTACCCCAATACTTAAACAGATAAAAGCATTGAAAAAATAGAAAACTACAAAATGACATCTCTCATGAACATAGATGCAGGAATCCTAAAAAAATAGTAAATTAATCCAGAAATGTATGAAAATAATTAAGCATTAAAATCAGTTGGGAATTATTTCAACAATGCAAAGCTAGTTTAAAATTTAAAACTCAATCTGTATAATCTTCCATATCAGAAAGCTAATAGTAAAAAATCATACTATCATATCAGCAAATGCAGAAAATACATTAAACATAATCCAAAAATCCAAGACCCACAAATGATAAAAACTCTCAGAAAACTAGGAGCTTCCTCAACATGATTTAAAAATAAACCTACAAAAAAACCTTATTCTAAAATCATAATTGTAGGATGAGATTGGGCATTTTCCTTCTATGATCAGCAACCAGGCAAGGGTACTGTCTCTTATCATTCCTACTCAATATTATAAAACCCCAGATAGTGCAATAATGCCATAGAAAAATAAAATTTGTAATTATTACAGTGAAAGAAATAAAACTACCTTTATTCAGAGACGATATGATTATAGAAAACTCCAGAGAATATAGCCAAACAAACAAAACTTCCCATAATTAATAAACAAGTATTCCAGTCATAGGATACAAGATCAATATGAAAAATTCAATTGCTTTCCTATATGTCAGAAATGAGCAATTGGCATTTTATATTTTTAAAAAACTACCACTTACAATAGTACCAAAAGCAACAAAATGGTATAAATCTGATTAAATATGTACAGAGCAGGTATATGGAAAACTATAAAAAGTAGAAGAAATGTAAAAAGCTAAAAATTAGTGGAGAATATTGCATGTTCATGAATTTAAGATTCATTATTGTTAATATGTGAACTTTTCCCATCTTCATCTATAGATTGAAGGCAATCGCATTTAAAATACTATCAAGAAGCTGGGTGCAGTGGCTCTCACCTAAGTTTACAGCGAGCTATGACCACACCACTGCACTCCAGTTGGGTGACAGAAGAGGACATTGTCTCTAAAAAAGAAAAAATAAATCAAAATATTTTGAAGATATTTCCTCAGGCCTGGAAAACTTTTGTACCAAAAGATAGTCTTCACAATTTGTGTTGGGCTTATTGCATTGTGTGGAAATAACTTTTACTGTTCCAACCCATGTTTGTCTTTCTTCTGCTTAAACATGTGTGTCATATGGCACCTGGCCAAATCCACTGCTATATTTATCCCCTGCATGAGGGGATGGGGTCTTTCTGCTGCATCACAAGGGGTGTGTGTACAGACCAATTATTGTGCATCAGCTTCCAGGAAGAATCTGATGGCCAGGGGAGACCAAGGACCACTACTAAAGCTGATCTTGCTCTGTTTCTTCTCTATGTGAGTAAAGCTTGTTCCATCCAGAGATTATCTGTGTTGTGTCTTTCTTGGTAATTCCATTATTAAGATGATAAATAAATCTCCAGAAAACCACCCTAATGAAATGGAGACATATGATTTACTTGACAGAGAATTAAGAATTACCATTATAAAGTACTCAACAGTGTCAGGAGCACAATGTATAAAATAAGCGAAAATTTCAGCAAAGAGAAAATATGAAATTGTACCAAAGAGAAATTAAGAATCTTAAAAATACAATAATTAAACAGAAAAATTCACTAGAAGGGTTCAACAGAAGATTATATAAAGCAGAAAAAGAATTAGTGAACTTTAAGACAGGAAACTGGAAATTATTCAGTCAGAGGAGCTAAAAGAAAAATAACAAAAAAGAGTAAAGGAAGATTAAGAGGCTTATGTGACAGTATAAGATGGATTACTATATGCATTATGGGTATCCCAGAAGAAGAAGCGAAAAAGAAGCAAGAAAAACTTATTCAAA
Organism: Homo sapiens; assembly: GCF_000001405.40. Taxonomy (NCBI): domain Eukaryota; kingdom Metazoa; phylum Chordata; class Mammalia; order Primates; family Hominidae; genus Homo; species Homo sapiens. Next base: position 29,637,524 of record NC_000018.10, on the reverse strand, counting down.
GAAATATTGGCTGAACAATTTCTAATCTTGGAAAGGAAATGGACATCTGATCCATGAATCCCAAGAGTACACAAATACGATGATCACAAAGAAATCCACACTGAGACACAATCAAATTTTCAAAGTCAAAGACAAAAAGAGTATTTTGAAAGCATAAAGACTAAAGTGACTTGTCATGCAGACAGTCACACCATATAAGTCTATCTATTTTATAAAGTGAATTTCTCAGCAGAAATATTGCAGATCAGAAGGAAGGTGAATGGGCCAGGCATGGTGGCTCAAGTCTGTAATCCCAGCACTTCAGGCAGCCAAGGTAGGCAGATTGCTCGAGCTCAGTAGTTTGAGACAACCCCGGGCAACATGAAGAAACCCTGTTTCAACAAAAAATACAACATTAACTGAGTGTGGTGGCACAAGCCTGTAGTCCTAGCTACTCAGGAGGCTGAGTGGGAGGACTGTTAACCCAGGAGATTGAGGCTGCAGTAAGCCAAGATCATGCCACTGCACTCCAGCCTGGACCACAGAGTGAGACCCTTATCTCAAAAAGACAAAAAAAAAAAAAAAAGAAAAAGAAAGTAGAATGATAAATGATATAGTCAAAGTACTGAAAGGAAAACAAAAACTGACAACCAAGCATGCTACACCCGACAAGGCTATCCTTCAGAAATGAAGAAGAGTTAAGGACTTTCCCAGACAAATACAAGGGGTAGTTTATCACTACTAGATCTGCCTTACCAGAAATGCTAAAGGAAGTTCTTCAAGTTGAAATAAAAATATCCTGAACAGCAATATGAAAGCACATGAAAATATAAAAATCACTGGTGAAGGTAAAATATAGACAAGTATAGAATATTGTAATCCTGTAAATGTTGGGTAAATTATGTTTAATTATAGCATAAACATTTTAAAAAGTATTAAAAATAACTAAAACTGTAAAATTATAATGTAACAATATACAAATATGTAAGTTATGACATCAATAAAAGTGTGTGTGGAGAGGGAGAAGTAAAAGAATAGTTTTAGTATGCCATTGAAATTAAGCTGGTGCAATTCAAGTTAAGTTGTTATCAACTTAAAATAGACTCTTATAACTACAAGTTGTTTTATGTAAGTCCCATGGTAACTAGAATGCAAATGACTACAGAAGATACAAAATGAGAAAAAGGAAGTAATCAAAGCACATCAATACAAACAAAAAAAAATCAATGAAAAGCAAAGGAAGACAGCAAAAGAGAAAAACAAAAGACACGAAAGACACTTAAAAGGATCATAAGATACTACTACGGATAATTATAAGCCAAAAAATTGAATAACTTAGAAGCAAGGGGCAAATTCCTAGACACAGATGTAGAAGAAGAAAAGGAGTGATTCATTTCTTCTCCATCATAAGGGTCAGAGTTGACTATAACAAAAGACAGGTTAATAAGAGAAAAGCATAACAAATTTATTTGATCATAGTTTTATGTGACACAGGAGCCTTCAGAAGGAAGACCCAAAGATACAGGGGAAAGTATCTGATTTTATGGTTAGGTTCAATAAAGTAGGGACAGACATGTAGACTGTGACTATATAAAAAAAGCTATGATCTAACAGTAATACAATTCACCTTCCACAAAACACTAGTTTGGTTTGCATGGGTCCACTTATATGAAGATTTTGTCAATAAAAGTTACACAGAGTGTGTCTGCCTCTTATGCCTCTCATTTCACCTCCTTCACTTCTGTCTCTGCCACCCTGAGTAGCAAGATCAGCCCCTCCCTTTTCTCCATCTTCTCAACCTACCCAGTATGAAAATGATGAAACTGAATACCTTTATGATGATCCACTTCCACTTAATTTACAGTAAGTATATTTTCTCTTCCTTATGGTTTACTTAATAATATTTTCTTTTCTCTAGCTTACTTTATGGTAAGAATACAGTACATAAAACATATAAAAAATATGTGTTAATCAACAATTTATGTTATTGGTAAGGCTTCTTGTCAACAGTAGGCTAATAGTTAAATTTGGGGGCACTCAATAGCTATATGCAAATATTTGCATGGTGGGTCAGCAACCCTGACCCACACATTGTTCAAGGCTAAACTGCAAAAGGAGCAGGGAAAAAGAGCAGGGAAAAGGAGCAGGGAAAAACAGCCTGTCTGTTCAGATTCTTCTTAGCCTCTCTGTTGTAGCATTTCTTTGTTATGGATACGGGATAGGACACTTCTGGAATAAGGGCCTTAATTTCTTTATAGTCAGCTGTTACAAGGAAAAGCGGAAGAAGGTTTGAGTAATAATTTTAGGCTTATGGTTTGCTTTGGGGAAAAGGAGTTATTATTTCTACATCCTGCCTTGGAGAAGAGGAATTCTAGTTTCTATGACTTGCCTCAGGGAAGAATGAGGGTTAGGAGGCTAGAGAGCAGGATAAGGTCGAGAGAGACTTTATTTTTAAGGATGCTTCTTAGGCTTTCACTTTGGGGTATTGTTTTTAATTCCCAACACATTCAACCTACCAAGACTGAATCATTAAGAAACAGAAAATTAGAACAAACCTATAATTCTTAAGAACATTGTAACAGTAATGAAAATCCTCCCAAGAAAGGAAAGCTCAGGACCAGATGAATCCATTGGTAAATTCTTGTAAACATTTAAAGAAGGAATAATACCAGTATTTCTCAATCACCTCCAAAAGGTTAAAGAGAAGTGAACACTCCCAAACTCCTTTGATGAAGCCAGAATTACCCTGATATCAAAGCCAGATAAAAACACTACAAGAAAAGGAAACTACTGGCCAATACCTTTGATAAATATAGATGCAACATTTCTCAACAAAATACCAGCAAACCAAGTTCAACAAAACAACAAAAGGATTATAAAGTGTGACCAAGTAGAATTTATCCTTGAGATACAAAGATGGTCTCTTACTTAGTTTGGACTGCTATAACAGAATATCGTAGGCTGGGTTACTTCAAATATGTAGTTCATAACAGATGGTTCAACAGGAAAATCAACTAAAATCAATTATACCACATTAACAGTATGAAAGATCAAAACCACATGATAATCTCAATAGGTGCAGAAAAAGCATTTGACAAAGTTCAACAACTTTTATTATTTAAAAACTCTTAACAAATTAGAAATAGAAAGAAATTTTCTTAACATAATGAAGGCCATATATGAAAATCCCACACAGCTAATATCATGTACAAGGGTGAAAGACTTAAAGTTTTTCCTCTAAGATTAGGAACAAGGCAAGTATGTCCACTATTGCTACTTCTATCTACTAGCCAGAGCAGTTAGGCAAGATAAAGACATAAAGGGCATCCAAATAAAAAAGAGGTAATATTATCTCTGTTTGCAGGTGACATGACTTTATATGTAGAAATTCTAAAGATTCTACCAAAATAGTATCAGAACTAATAAATGAAAACAGCAAAGTTGCAGGACACAAAATTAACATTAAAAAATCAGATGTGGTTCTGTGTACTAACAACGAGCTATTCAAAAAGATAGTTAAGAAGACAGTGTCATTTACAGTAGCCTCAAAAATAATAAATTTCTCAGGAATAAAATTAACTAGGAAAGTGAAAAACTTATATACTGAAAACTGTAAAACATTGATGAAAGGAACATAGAAAGATGTAAACAAATGGAAAGAAAAGTACATGGATTAGAATACTTAATGTTGTTTAAATGTCCATACTACCCAAAGCAATCTACAGACTCGATGCAATCTCAATCAAAATCCCAATAAAATTAATCCATAAATTTATATGGAACCACAAAGAGCCTTTAATAGAATAGTCAAAATAATCTTGAGAAAGAACAACAAACATGGAGGCATCACACTGTGTTTTCAAAATGTACTGCAAAGGTGAAGTATTTAAAATATACGTCCAAGCATAAAGACAGACAGATAGACTGATGGAACAGAATACAAAGCCCAGAGTAAACTCACCCATATATAGTCAACTGATACATAAGGGTGCCAAAAATACATAATGAAGAAAAGTTAGTTTTTTGCATAAACGGTGTTCGGACACGTGGATATCCACATTGGAATGAATGAAATTGGACCCTTATTTTACACCATAAACAAACGTTAACTGAAAATGAAGAAATGTCTTAAACCTGTGACCTAAAACTATAAAACTTCTACAAGTAAACAGGGGAGTCAAGGACAGTGGCTCATGCCTGTGATCCCAGCACACTGGGAGGCAGAGGTGGGAGGATCACTTGAGCCCAAGAGTTTGAGAAAAGCCTGGGCAACATAGGGAAACCTTGTCTCTATTGAAAGAAAAAAAAACAGCTGGGTGTGTTGGTGTACGCCTGTGGTCCTAACTATTCGGAAGATTGAGGTGGAAGGATCGCTTGAACCCAGAGAGGTCGTGGCTGTGGTGAGCTGTGATCACACGACTGTACTCCAAGCTGGGTGACAGAGCAAGACTCTCTTTCAAAAAATAAGAAAAGAAAACAGGGGGAAACCTTCACGACATTGATCTTGACAATGATTTCCTGTATATGACAGTAAAAGCACAGGCAACAAAACCAAAAATATATAGGGACAGATGGAACTACATCAAACTAAAAAAATTCTGCACAGCAAAAGAAAAAAATCAACAGAATAAAAAGGCAATCTTTGGAGTGGAAGAACATATTTTCAAAAGATATGTCTGATAAGTTTTAATATTACAAAATATATAAGGGATTCTTTCAACTCAAAAGCAAAAACAACTTAAAAATGAGCAAATAACTTGAATAGACATTTATCCAAAGAACACATACAAATGGCCAACAGGAATATGAAAAAATCCTCAACATCACTCATCGTCATGGAAATATAAATCAAAATTACAATGATATATTATCTCATACCTGTTAGGATGGCTGTTGAAAACAAAGCGAGACAAACTATAACAAATATTGGTAGAGAAACTGAAAACTTTGTACACTGTTGATGGGAATTTAAAATGGTATAGCTGCTATGGAAAGTGATGGGGAGTTTTCTCAATAAATTACAAATAGAAATACCATATGATCCAGCAATTCTCCTTCTGGGTATTAATATGAAAGGATTGAAATCAGGATTTCAAAAAGATATTTACATTTCCACGTTCAGTGCAGTGAACTAGTCACTTGACTATTCACAATAGCCAAGATATGGAAACTACTTTAATGTCCCTGGATTAATCAACAGATAAAAAATGAAATATAATCTACTTTTAAGAAAGAAGGAAATCCTGCTGCATGTGACAACATAGAAAATATTATGCCAACAGAAATATGCTAGTCACAGGACAAATGCTACTGAATTCCATTTATATAAAACAAATATTCAATCACACAGAAGCAAAAAATAGAATGGTTGTCACCAGGGGCTGGGGGACTTGGAATAGGGATTTGCTATTAAATGAGTAAAAAGCTTCAGTTATGCAAGATAATTAAATTCTAGAGGACTACCATATAACATTGTACCTAAAGTTATCAATATCATATTGTACACAAAAATGTGTTAAGGAGTTAGATATCATATTAAGTGTTCTTACAACACCAATAACCATAAATACAGGATTATATACAATAAAAAGATGATCGAGGAAAAGATAAGAGTTACAAAGTTTGTTAAGATGTTAATAATAGGAAACGTGAAGAAAGATATTTTCTGGGTAAACTAAAGTGGAAAAGACAGTAGGCATGTTGGTAACAAACTCACTTCTCTATCTATGAATCATTTAGGACCAGAATTAGGATCAAGTTTGTAGTAATGGAAAAGAATACACATGGGAAATTATTGATGTTAAGATTTTCAGAAGTAATATATAATTCAAAATTGAAGATAACCCCAAGGTTCTCAGCCTAGAGTGGTAGGAGAAAGGTGGATGCAACTTTCATGTTTAAAAACTATAATCCTGTAATAATCATCATATATGAATAAAGAGAGATGCAATTTAATTTCAGATTATTTTCACATCAATGATTACTGGATAGTTTCCAGATTAGTTTGTTTCATTTTCTAATAATGAAAATCCAAACAGTTTGACAAATAAAAAATGACTCTTGATTTTCTACTTATTGATCTTATTTAATTGGTCACACTATATACATGCTTTAAGTCTAAAAAAGGTGAAAAGCGTGTAGAAGTCCTACAATCAAAAAATAACTCGTACTTTATACAGTGAAAACAATAATTATTTTCTCACTGTCAAAAATAGAAAGAGCATTTTGAAATTATATCTATGTCAAAAATAATAATACATACACTAAAGCAGTTAGGCGAGGGCAATTTCACCAAGTTTTATGAGGGCTTTTGACATTTAGGACTGTGACGGATGCTCAATATAACACCTATCATAGGTGTTCAGGGAGTAAACAGTATGAAGATTTGTTAATTAATGTTCTTTTGTGTGCCAGGCAAATATTTATCATTAGAAGACATTTTATAGTTTATTTTACTCAAGTATGAAAGTTCTAAATCATTGGTACTTTTGGAAAGTACACACTTGAGAATACTCAGTATTAACCATGAGCATATAGGGAAGCATAGCTTAACTCCATTTATATTCCAAAAAATGCCAGAGGCCAGCATTACTGCCAGTCTCCTTTTGGGAGGATCTTTTCACCTTTAAAATTCACTCACTCTTCCCTATTGCTGCTAAGGCCTATGAAAATTTCCGATGTCCTTGAGGAGGAAAAAAAAAGATAGATTGAAAAAATCTATAGGCATGTGGCTATTCTACAGTGGATTAGGAAAGGAGAATAATCTTACTTCTAAACTGCAAGAGGTATATTGGGGGAAAAACAGAGACAAAAATTCTTGCGATTAAAACAAGCAAATGACGACCAGGACTTGGAAATGACTTTGGGGGTTTAAATCAGTAAAGCTCTGTATCTGTACATTGTCAGTATTTTTTTGTGTGTTTTTTGTTTGTTTGTTTTTTGTTTTTTTTTGTTTTTTTTGAGACGGAGTCTTGCTCTGTCACCCAGGCTGGAGTGCAGTGGCATGATCTTGGCTCACTGCAACCTCTGCCTCCCAGGTTCAGTCAATTCTCCTGCCTCAGCCTCCTGAGTAGCTGGGACTACAGGTGTGAGCCACCAAGCCCAGCTAATTTTTGTATTTTTAGTAGAGACAGGGTTTCACCATGTTCATCAGGCTGGTCTTGAACTCCTGACCTCATGATACGCCCACCTTGGTCTCCCAAAGTGCTGGGATTACAGGCATGAGCCACCGTGCCTGGCCCTCATTGTCAGTCTTTAACTTCTTTATTCTCCTGTCTCAAACAGAAACCCCTGCCAACTTTGGAGTAACCAAGTTCCAACACCAGTGACCAGCAATACAGAGAAAAAAAAAAGGAAAAATATATTTTCCACATTACAATGTTGAACTTGTTAATGTAATTTTGAGAAACTTTATAGTTAACCTCTCTACGAATTAATATTATTAGTGGTTAAGAAAATGGAGTCAGATATACTGAATCCTAACAAGGGCGCTTCAGCAGTTTTTAACTGTAATAGTGAAGAAATTGTTCAATCTTTTTAAGATCCAGTTTTCTCCTTTTGGAACTCAGATAATAACAGCACCTTCTTTGTAGAAGGGAGGAGGCAGGACTTAACTCCGGAGTTTGGCTTTGGACACCAGCCCAAATTGAGGACTAGCAGAGGAGGCAGAAGCAGCTTTCCATAAGATACACCCACCAGTGTGCCATGTCAGTTGACCATTGCCATGGCAACAACTGGGCGTTACCACCCCTTTCCGTGACAATGACCTGAGGATCCAAAAGTTAACTCTCCTAGAAATTTCTGCATAAACTGCCCCTTAATCTGCATGTAATTAAAGTAGATATAAATATAACTGCAAAAGTGCCCTGAGCTGCCACTCTTACCTATGGGGTAGCCCTGCTCTGCAGGAGCAGTCATGGAGCTGTAACACCACGGGAGTTGTAACGCTGCTGCTTCAATAAAGTTGTTTTCTGCTACCTCTGGCTTGCCCTTGAATTATTTCCTGGGGAGAGGCAAGAACCCTCCTAGGCTAAGTCCTACTTTAGGGTTCACTTGCCCTGCTTCAGAATCACTGGGAGGATCAAAGGAAGTAACCGATATTTATCACAGAGATTATCATGTACTAAATATTTAAATCTGTTAGTTGCTAACATTATTAACTTCACATGTCTCATACTGCTTGGAATTGCTTGGACATATAAAACCATTTAAAATGCAGTTGATTAGAATGTGACAATTCATATGCTGTCATATTGTTTTCGTTCTCATATTGTAATAGTGTTTTTAGAGTTCTGAGAAAGAAGAGGTACAAATACATATTGATGTATCAGGCTGGTGTAATATATATTGTAGAACATTTTCAAAGCGATCTCATGTTTAGTATATCACAGCATCCTCATAATAGTTGCTAGGTCAGGTACGTTATCATACCTCCATTCGACTACATAGGTAGCAGGGAGGCACCTAAAATACAGACTACAGCAATCACACATGATCATTCAGCTTTTTATTGGCACAGTATCCCCGGATCATCTTCTAGTGCTGAACTAATAACCAGACTGATTAATTATCATTTTCATAATTGTATAACCCATTCTGAGATCAGTGAGCAATTTCTGAGAGAAATTGTGTTTTTCCTTGTGTTCAATAGATTTAAAATGGAGACGGCAATTTTGATAGTGTTTCAGGTCAGTTAGGCAGCCATGTTATGTGACTGCATTAAGGCAGAGGCTGCCTGTACTGGTAATGGCTGCACAATACTGTTCACGACTTGTTGCCTCCTGTTCACTGATGTAGGAAACCTTACCAGCCAGGCCCATTGAATCGTATTTTCAGATACAGCTGGTAAAATCATAGACTGCCACACATTATATTGTCTTATTATCTGGTCAAGTAGCATGTTATAGTCCAGCCTGTGCTTTGCAGGGTGGAGGGCAAAGGTGCACAGACCAGCCTGTGCATGTGTGGTAAAACAAATGCTGAGGTCATTGCCTATAATTAAGGGTCCTGCCTCTGTTAATGGGCCCTGGAATTAATTTGTAAGCTTTCTGTTGTTGTTAATAGGTCTTTATTTGGGAAAAATTCAGTTGAGATACTAATATATTTGTTTTGAAACAAACATCCTTAACTACATGAATTGTGTGACAAAACTTTCCTCCTCTATGAAATATAAATGTTAGCCATGCAAATCATGTATGAAGATAAAGCTTAAATTTGTAATTTAAAAATATAAACGTAACTTGGGGTTTTTACCAGTTTTTAGCTAATGAGAGTAGACAAGTCATTTTAATTTTGTGAATCTCAATTTCTTCTGTAAAATAAATATGTGGAAGAATAACATGTGGACATATTTCATAAATGGAAAATAACTATTTCCATTTAATGTTAGTAAAGAATGAGTTAAATACCTTAATGTAAAGAAATATTATTCATTTTCAAGGCAAGATCTATTTTTTCAGTGATTTTGTTTATTTTCTATAATGTTACCGTGTTAAAAGGAGGTTTAACTTGCTCAGAATCGTTGTAATGGGCAAATGATATTTAATAAAGATGTTATCTGTGAGTGAATTTATATTTCTTCTATTTTCTTTATTACTTTTAAGTGATATTTCTTATTCTCTTAACTCTTCATGGAACCATTTTCATATGCAAAATTTACTTGGCTGTCTTATTTTTTAGGATATTTCCATGTCTTATTTATTATCTATATGTTTTTAAAAATATGCTATTCTAGATTGCTCTGTAGAACTTGGTGGAATTGCAGAGTCATTTACTAGAAGCAGCTTTTCACAATTGGCTAACTGAGGCAAAGAGAGGCTACGTGGCTTGCACAAGGTCACTCAGCTACAAGTGAACCTGCTCAATTCACTGACTAGTTTAGTGATCCATGTGCTTTTCATGAGCTCATTGCTTCAGATAATGACACATAGTTACAAAATGGTGTCGAATATATGATAGATTGATCTTGCCTTTAAGGCACTTTCACATTCTTTTTCATTTGAAGTCCTGGACTTCCAGAATCTCAACAGAAATGTGTCAAAATATTCATTTGGGGGAGAAGGATCAGTAAGTTTTCTGACATCAAGCAGAGAGAATTTCTTTGGTAGTTCTTAGCTTTCACGTTGCCTTTGTCTTCTACACTTAACAAAATCTCCCCTATGACTAGATACCTAAAGAACGAAAGAAAAATCTATGACCAAATCACAAATCACATCACTTAATTTTGACATTTCATAACAAGTTAAGGAATAGTCATTTAGTCACAGTCCCTATAATGTGTTTTTACCATATGCTGGAAATTATTTATATTCAGCAGGAATTCTGTGAAGCAATGTGCCTAAATTGGGAAAGTAAATACATATTTCTACATTTCTATTTTTATAACAGTTTCTCTTCTCAGAACCCTTATTGCAATATTCAGGTGCTGCATTCACTTTCTGTATTCTGAAATTGTTTTTATGGTACAACCTCCTTATTAGACTAAAATATAATCGAGAGAGAAATGCGCCTTCTTCAGTTTTATTTCCCCATCACTGAATAAAATGTTTTCAATATAATCAGTACATTAAAAAGACTTTTTGAGTTAAACTGCTGATGGGTTAAATGGTCCCATCTGAGCAGAGGACACTGACGTTTCTATATGCAATCCCATACCTGAACCCACACCAATTATCTGATAAATGATGTCTACTGAATATCATATTGTATTGCCAGTTTCAACATGTTTATCATTTCCCATTTCCCACAATATTTACTTTTCAATCCTGAATATACACTTTGAGCAGTCAATTATATTACCTTAGACACTATGGTTTAAAATAAGATTAAATTCTCTGCATTGCACTCCATTATACTCAGACACATTTTTCATTCATTCTTTTCATTCATTCAATCATTAGTTTGTGCATTCTTCAACCACTAAATATTTGAGTGCCTTCTATATGCTAAAGGAAGTAGCATATGCAATGGTCATGTTACATGGTTATGTATGGTACATTAAAGAAGCTGAAAAAGAACAAGGACGACCAGACTCAGAACAGGAACATGGTTGTGAAATGAACTTTGAGAACTTGGACAAGGCCCTAGCCCTCCAGGGAATTATAGGGTACATTAAATATTGATAATACTTTCTGTAGGATGTGTTAATGACTTTCTTCTCTATTTTAGAGCAAGAATGTGAGTATGTTGGATTTAATTTGTAAAGATCTGTCTGGCTCCCTGTTCAGAAAATATTGGTCAAAGAATTTGTTGCACAATACATGCACAGAACAAACTTAGGAGATTACTACTTGTCATCAAATGATGGCAATGGAGTAGGGTGGTGGTAGTAGTGAGTCCCTGAAGTACTGACTAATTACAGAGAGGGTTAGAATAAAAGAATACACCAAAAAGTATTTGATTACTTCTTTTCTGTTAGATATTTGGGTTGTTTTCAGATTTCTCATTTCTCCATGTACATAAACCTTTAACAAACCCCAATCTTTGATAAATTTCTTAGGATGAACTCCTATAAGTTAAATTACTGGTAAAGTATATTGATATTTTTAATATATGTGGGCATATTCTGACTTCTTTTCTTCCAGAAAATGTGTGATAATGTGCGTTTCCTTCAACTGAGTAAGAAAATATGTCACAGTATTAAATGTTCATTTTGTCAAGCTTTAAATCGTTGCCAAATTCATAGGTTAAAATAATTATTTTAATATACATTTATAAAAATATTTTGAGAGCTGTTTTCTTGAATTGTCATTTGATGATATTAACGAAATATATATCTTATTTGTGACTTTTTTCTAGATGTTCATTTGTCTTTTGATTTTGTTCACATTATTTTTCATATACGGTGCCAATTCCTAACTCAAATACTTTCCTTTTAATGAAGTTTAACTACCATTGCTACTCTATATTGTGATATAACTGACCCTTTTACTATTCTCCCCTTTTTCTCCATAACCCTCACCATCATTTAAATACTACATAATTTAAATAATTATGTGTCTATCCTAATATGCATGTAAAAGAAATGATCTTTTTCTAGTTCACTTATTGAAGTATCCCAAATATTCAGAAAAATACATAAATGTTGATCAATAAATATTTGTTGGTTGAATATTAAATTTTGTTTATTTAAAATCTTTTTTCCTATGTTTTCTTTTGCTACATGTATCAATAAAGCATTTCACTTCATCTATGAATCTGACAAATATTCAACTATAATTATTGTGGGCACATACTATTATTTCAGTTCCATTATGGTAATAGAAACTCTCTCTCTCGTGGTTATCCTTGAGAACTTTGTCCATTAGACAAATTCTTGCTTAATTGTCCATTAGATAACTTTAAAAATGATATTTGCATAGTATTACAAAAATCCCTGAGGTTTTGATTGGAGTAATGGCATGTTTGTTAATTCAGTTAATTTATAAAGATTTCAACGCCAGAATTTTACAGAGGATCGTGGAATAAAGCATTTGAGTTAGACCGTAATCTCATAGACACATTTTCACGGCTTCACAATTTTACAAAAGCTAAATGGAAAAATAAATACTTAAACATTATAAACAAAATGCTTAAAACTTGAAAACTAAACTTTAAAATGTACAGACACATTGATAACCACTAGAATCTTTGCAATAATATGACCAGTAAAATAATCTGTGTATGGTCACACTCGGGTTGGGCATAGATTAAAGGAAGTTAAAGTTAAACAGTGGAGACATTTCCTAGAAGGAGAGCAGAGATTCTCAGCTTCCTCTAACTAATAACTGTACTAATACCCCAATAAATTAGAGAATAATATCAGAGCCACATTGTTATTGTTCACATAAACTATTTATACATATTGCCAATTTAGTTAATAGAAATAAAGCTACATAAATATGAAGTATGCTTTAAGCATATAAATAGAAACTAGACATGCTTGCAATACATTTTATTCCTTAAAATATTTCAGTGGCTTCCCACTTTTCTTAAAATAAAATAAAAAGTTATCAGCATGGCCTACTGGGGTTAGTATTATTTAGCCTCTGACTACTTCTTCAACATTCTTTGATGTTACTGTCCCTTTCGACCACCACTATCTAAACAAATTGTTCTCTTGTATTGTTCCTTATCTATGGTGAGCCCTTTCTAATCCCAAGCCCTTTACATTGTTCTTCAGCGAGGCTTTCTTAGCCATTATATCAAAAATAGCCCACTCCCCAAACTTCTAGTTACTAAGTCTCCATCATTTACCCTTGGCATTTCCTTCATCATACTGAACATAATCTGACATTATCATGTTTACTTAAGGGAGAAAACTTCACGAAGTCTTGTAAATTCTTTGGAATTACTAAATGATCTGATAGCTTAGCAGTAATTAATAAAATATCCAATATTCTAGTAGTACAACATTCAGGAGTGGTTTTTTAAATGTCTTATTAACATATGGACATTAATGTGGCTCAGTTGTCAATTCCATTTTTTCTTTTTGTCTTTCTGAGGGGCTTTCTGCTTCTACTTCTAATTTCATGTAGTTTCCTAATGCCATGTCTCTCATTCAAATTCAACAAGATAAGGAATCAAAATTGTTAGGCAAAGCTCTCACATCAGCCTTTTCTTTGGTCCACAATGGAGTCTACAATTGTGTGCCGTTGCATCAAATGCTCTTTCTTCTGAAACAAGTAGCCATGGCCACATTAGGAAACAATATATAAAAACTTCCCAGGACTGCCTCAACTAAGAAGTATGAACAGAATAGTTACCTTTAGAAGAAAAGGGTGTTTAAGCAGTCAACTAAAGCAGAAAAAAAACCAAAAACCCACAACTGTTCCTATTATAGTGAACAAGTCATATTATAGGCTGAAAGATGATCAGGGAATAGCATAATCCAGTGAACAGCTTAACTAAACTATCCCTTACTACACTCTTGAGCAAGACTTTGAGTCTTTTCTAAAGTAAGACATAAGTAAATATGTTAGAAAATTTTGTATCATTGTAGTCATCAGATTTTTCAGGTAACTGCACCATTAGAACTTTCAGATATTGTGAAAAAAGATGTCAATAGTAATGATATGTTTGGTATTATTTTTAAACCACTTTTTATGAAATCTATGAACTATACATCCGGATAGTGGTTTAAAAACACCAAACATATCATTACTGTTGACATCTTTTTTCACAAGGGTGAGGCTCATTGTGAATTAAATTGCATGTCTCTCTATTCCAAGAGTTAAATTCTGCAGACCGTCTTTATAAACCACAACAGAGGCTGGGAACTTTAGAGCAAATACCATATTCTTTTGCCTTTTTTGAGGAATAAGAGTGATTTATCCAAGTGGCAAATCAATTGTTAAAGTAGAAGGTACTAGAATGGATATAAAAGCTCACAAATCTCTGTTGATTTTGAGTATACAAATGAAGTAGTGAGGTATGGTAAAGTCATCCCTACAACAAATAACATCAGACTGTTCTAATGTAGCTGTGCAAGTAAAATTGTTTCATTGGATATTCAAGAGGGAGATAAATATAAATGCTTCCTTATTTGAGTTATTTGTGGAAGAAGAAGAAATTGAACATACATTTGGAATCTTGGAGATGGATGTGGATTTCTATTTTATATTACAAAATATTCATCAAGTAAAAGAGTGCAAGTGCCTCAAATATATATATTATACTTTATTATATATCTGTATATCTTATATATACAACTATATATCTTACATATACATCTTACTATATAGATAGATTTTAAAATTACTATCAAAAATGATAATATAAGTGAGATAGATAGTGAAAAGTCTTTGGACGTAGACAGATTTTGATTCAAACTTTTCTTCTACCAATTTACATATTTGAATCTGAGACTTGGTAATTTCCCCCCATGACCCTTTGTTTCTTTAGATCAAGATTACAAGTTCTTTTGTGAGATTTTAAGTTTGAGGAATAGTAAATATAAAACACCAAGAACAGTGTCTGACCTTCAATATCTGGAAGTTCTAATGAAATTAGAGTATATGGGAATTGCAGTGTTTATTCACTTAATCTAGTTTGCGTTCAGTAATGATCTGAAATGTATGCACTTGGCTAATGTTCAAGCATTTACAGCAATATCAATTGTATTTATCCTTTAAGGTAAATAGTTTCTAATTCATTTGTTTTAAATTGTCTTCCTATAATGCTGAACTAAAGAACCAGCCTTCGGCTCTCTAGACTTTGTTGGGTTTTTGATAGTTGATTTACCCACACACACAGAGGCCTCACTATAGCTAATACATCTACATAATTACACTCGTGGTTCAAATTCATTGATTAAAACCATCTCCAAACAGTCAAATGTTTTACAGTAATTAGTTTAGTCATTAGTTTAGAAAAGAACGTTGAACCAAAAATGTGTTTTTAGCATTGGCATAGACATGTACATGTACATGTCTTAACTTTCATCAAATGTGTTACGTTTGATAACATTAGGACTGAAGGTATTATTTTGAAGTGACTACATGAGAAGAGATTAATAATTTAGAGTCAAATTATATATATACTTGTTATTGTTTTTGTTTTTTTAAGTTTAGAGAAGTATTTACTTTGGAAAACCACTTGTATTTGTTCAATAAGAACCACTAACTTTGTTTTAAAAATCTTTTTTAAATTGTGAAATACAACAAATATAGATAAGAAATATTTTAAAATGTACTGCTCAGTGATTTTTCAGAAAATGAACACCATGCAAGCACAACAACAGAACAATAATAGAACATTATCAACCATTCGAGTGCCATCCTCATTCCACACTTAATCACTACTCAGAGAAAACCACTATTCTCACTTGCATTTCTTTATAGATTCATCTCCTCATCTTAGTGCGTTTGGGCTGCTGTAATGAAAATGCCATAGATTAGGTGGCTTATAAACAACAGAAATGTATTACTCTCAGTTCTGGAGGCTGGAAAGGCCAAGACCAAGGCAACGACGCATTCAGTGTCTGGTGAGGCCCTGCTTTCTTATAGACGGCTGTCTTCTCATTGTAGCCTCACATGGAAGTAAGTGCAAACAAGCTCTCCAGGATCTCTTTCTATAAGGACACTAATCCCATCCAAAGAGCCCTCGTGACTTAGTCATCTCCTAAAAGCCCCATCTCTCAATAACCTCACCTTGGCAGTTAGGATTTCAACATATTAATTTTGGAGGTATGCAAACATTCAGACCATAACATTCCTTAATATGCATCATTGAAACAATAATTTTATAAAACATGGCTGGGCACGGTGGCTTATGCCTGTAATCCCAGCACTTTGGGAGGCCAAGGTGAGCAGGAGTTCGAGACCAGCCTGGCCAACATGGTGAAACCCTGTC
Organism: Homo sapiens; assembly: GCF_000001405.40. Taxonomy (NCBI): domain Eukaryota; kingdom Metazoa; phylum Chordata; class Mammalia; order Primates; family Hominidae; genus Homo; species Homo sapiens. The sequence goes on along the minus strand of NC_000018.10, from coordinate 29,621,216 downwards.
TCTACCAAAAATACAAAAATTGGCTGGGCATGGTGGCACACGCCTGTAATCCCAGCTACTCGGTAAGCCTGAGGCACAAGAATTGCTTGAACCTGGGAGGAAGAGGTTGCAGTGAGCTGACATTGTGCCACTGCACTCCAGCCTGGGCTACAGGGTGAGACTCAGTCTCAAAAATAAATAAATAAAATAATATATATATGTATATATATGGAACCATAATATGTATTTGTTTGCTTCTAACTTGTTTTAATCAACATTTCATGAGTTGTACTCATGTTATTGTGTGTGTGTGTATATATATATATATATGTGGTGCAGTTATTAATCTGTGTTTTCTCTCTTCTTAATTGGTCTAGGTAAAGAATTGTAAGTTTTGTTGATGTTTTAAAAGAAATAGTTTTTTGCTTTATTGATATCTTTATTGTTTTTCTGTACTCTTTTTCATATATTTCCACTCTAATTATTATATCCTTTCTCCTTCTTGTCTTAGGTTTACTTTGCCCTTCATTTTTCTATATTCCTAATGTGAAAGCTTTAGATTTTGATTGAAGTCCTTTTCCTTTTCTAAAATATACACTTAAAATTTAAACTTCTATCTAACAAAAACTTTTGCTGCATTCCAAACAGTAATTTTTACAAATTGTAGTTCAATTTAAATATTTTATAATTTATGTTATTTTTCTATCAGATGTGTTTTATTTAGTTTGTATTACTTAATTCCTAGATATTTAGCATTATCCTGGATTCTTCTTGTTACTATTTTCTGATTTAATATCATTATGGTCAGAGCAAGTAGCTTGTAGGAATTTATTATCTGATGCTACTTGGTGAAGGTTCTATGTACACTTAAAAATACTTGTATTCTAAAATATCCTCAAACTTCCAATTATCAATATAAAGTTTTTAATAGTTATATTTCAAATATTCAACATCTTTTCTGATCCTTCTATTACTTGTTTTTTTAAATTGCTGAAAGAGAAATATTAAAACCTCATATTTTCATTGTGGTTTGCTTTTTTCCCCTTTCTTTAATTTGGCCAACCTTTCTTCATGCTTTCTTCATTCATAAAAATGCTGTTTTTAGGTACTTTTACATATAGGATTATTATACATTTTAAAATGTTTGCTATTATAAAATATTTCCCTTTATCTCTTTAATAATTTTTTAATGAAATCTACTTTTTCTAGTATTATTGTAGCCAATCTAGCTAATTTATGTCTAGTGTTTGCAGTTATGTTTTTTTCTAAACATTTTCAAACTGTTTATTTTTATATTTAAAGTTTGGTTTTTATAAAGAGCATGAAATTGGGGCTTGTTTTTGTATACAACTGAAATTATATAGCTTTTAAATGGAGATTTATTTCAACTTAATATATTTATTGATATGTCTTTTAAAATAGCTCTTTATTATTAACTATTTTATTCCTTTGTACCTCTTTTTCTAAATTCAGTTGTGTGAATTGTACAGTGTTAGCAATTCATGTTATTCCCTGCATTTTCTTTCTTAGCCGTACCTATTTTCTCATTTTTACTGGTTGCTCCAAGGATTACAATGTACATTTTTAGTTTATGTCATTCTACCTTTAGATAATATATTATGTCACAAAGAGTGTAAATATCTCATGGCAGTGCATTACATTTCCTCCTTCTCATATCTTGTTTTCTTGTTGTTTTATATTTTACTTTTTAATAATTATAACCCCTAGTACATTATCTTTATTTTTGCTTTGAACATCAATCTCGTTTTATTCTTAAAACCATCAATATTGTCTTACATTTACTTTTATGTATACTATAAACCCTTATTATATTGTCATAACTTTGCTTCAAACTATCAATTCCTTGAAAGAAATTCTTTCCAAACTCAATAATTTATCCTAGCAATTTTTACTGTGTGGAACTGTTTGAAATAAATGTTCTCACGATTTCATTGAGAATGTCTTTATTTTGCCTTATTTTTTGAGGAATATTTTCATCTCAAGATTATCAACATGTTTTATTTCTTGTATTTAATATAAATATTATATTCTTCCCAATATTAGATATATGAATACCTAAATGTTTTTAGCTCTTAAAATAGACATTTCACTGCATTTAGTCATCTATTATTTCTAGTGAAAACTTGGCAAGCAGTTGTAGATTAGTTTTTCCATATGTAATGTCTTTTTTCTCTGATTGCTTTCAGGATACTCTCAATATTTTTCTTTTTCAGAAGTTTGAATCTAATATGTCAGTCCTTTTTTTGTATTTAAACTGCTTGAGCTTCTGTATGTATAAGTAAATATTTTTCACTAAAATTTTAAATTTAATTTCTTGAAAATGTTTTAATTTTTGAAAAATATATATTTTAATTTTTTTCCTTTATACTTCTGAGATGTAGCTCATTCAGCCTGAAAAATACTTTTTAAAGTTTTTCTTAATATAGCTGATCAGAAAGTTTCCCAGTATTTTTTCATTTTTTCTACATTCTTTTGTTCTGGTTATTGTTACAGTTTATTTTAAATGCCTTTCTTTGCCTCTTACCTATATTCTATTGTGTAAGTTTTCAAATATATACTTCGTTGAGTCACATTCAAATTTATTAATTCTCAAAGAGTAATGTTCTCTTCTATGTTTAATCTGCTCTTAAATTCATCAGTCTCCATTGCAGTTATTAAATTTTTACTTCTATAACCTAAAATCTTTTTTAGTAAATGTTGTTTTAGTATCTTTCCAATAAGACATCTTCATTTTGGCTTTAAAAATGGCTCAAATTAATATAAGACAAACATAAAGTAAATTATAAATGTTATTCAATGGATACTGAGCAATCCTTTATGTTTTTTTAACAAATTAATAATTCACAAGGGAGTAAAGATAATTTCCCCAAACATAAAGAATGATATATCCAAAGCTCGTTGTAACAGGGAGGGAAATCTAAACATCAACAAAAATGGAACAAAGGACAATACTTTTACAGCATACACCATTAAACAAATTATAAAATATTATGGGGTTATTATGCAAAGCAACCAAGATTAATTGCTGCTAATTGACTAAAGTCACAAAACGAAGTGTTGGTTTCACTTGTGATACTAATGCCATTTACAAGGTTAATTACTGTGTCACCTCAAAGCCCCCAGTTGTTTTTCATATTGTGGCAGAGAACGCTGGAACAGATGGACCAAAATAACATCTGGCTTAGGTGAGCAATAAAAAGTACAGCTGACATCCTTGAATGATTTCCTACAGTAGCATAGTCTCAGGGAAGGAAAATAATAAGAGAGAAATGTGGGTGCCAAAAATAAACAACTTGATATATAATTATTAGCATAGTGGCCCTTGCCAAATCCCAGGGTCAATGCCATAATCACCATCTAACAGGGCAATGGTAATGTTCTTATCAATAAAATCTTTTAAAAAATATTTATATTTGATTTAGTCAATTTGTCACTAATATCTTACCTTGTCGACCTTGCTTCCAAGCATGCTTGTGCATAAACTCCAAAAATAATGCCTTCAATTTTAAAGAAAATAACAGTTTTTAAAACATATCCCTCTTGATCCCCCGGATAACCCTACAAATTAGATGATACTACGTGATATCCAAATTGAAAACCAAGGCCCACAAAGGCTATATTTGAGGTTTAAAAGGTATAAGGATACAAAACCAAAATTACTGATTTTAACGTACTGCACTCACATTGAGAATTACATTATGCCAGTAACAGGAAAAGGAAAGCCTGTTAATAATGACTATCAGAAACTTTAAAACTACAATTTGCAAATTTTATTTCCTGCTGTTTTAAGTAATATTAGAATCATTTTGTTTTTCAAAATGGTGCATATCTAAGGAATTTTGTTCCAAACATTCTGCTATAAAATTATTTCAATTTTATTTTACCTACTAAACATAATCTTTCAAGGCCTGGGAATGAGCACCAATGCCATTTCCAGCATGCAAAATCTTCTCAAACAGTTCAAGTTGAAAATACACAGCCAAATAATACAACACAATTGCACTAGAAAAGAAATATTTATCAAAATTCTGAGATTGTGGCCATCTTTTCAAATGCATTTGGATGTTTTCTGCAGCTGGTTTATATGCTGTATTTTGTTTGTGCTGAAGACCTGCCCTCTCCTGGTTGTGCTCATTACAAGGAGCACAGGCTACACATGACACATTAGAGAGGTAGTTCAAAGGTGAGCTCTCTTGGCCTTAATTTCTCTCTGCAAGGTATAATAGTGTTGCTGCTGTCTTGTCAGGAAGGAAAGCATTGAACACTGCACATGTAATTAATTATCACTATTGTTATCAGTAGGATCCTGCTAGGCATACTCCTCCTGGCTTTGTTTTTCTCTTTCACCTTAGTATGTTTCACAACGTACTCCCTTTCTGATGAAGCCACAGAGCCACTTTCTATCCTTAGAGCTAATGTTGGTTTTTGTACCCTTTGAACGTGAGAAATCTGTGGAGAGGTGGTTATTCAAGCTATATTTTCTCTCTTTTTTTCCCTTAGGTATTTTTTCAGTCATAGCCTCCTTTTATTTTCAGCTCATCAGTATACATGTGTCCCAAGGAGAAATATTTTATTGAGATAATTTTAGTATAAAGAATACTTAAGCAGACTTATGTCAGTATTAGTAATGCTTTCTGAAACAAAATGGAGAATTATCTGTATCATTGAAACCTATTTTGTTCACATTCAATATCCATGCCAAAACGAAGACAGTAGTAATAGGCTACTATAGATTATTTCTACCAACTTCATTAAGATATAATTCACATACTATACAATTCATCCATTTAAAGTGTAATATTCAACGGATATTTTAGGGTGTTCACAGAGTTGTATGACTATTGCTACAATTAATTTTAAGATAATTCTAGCACTCCAGAAAGAAACCCTGTAACCAGCAGCAGTCACTCTCTTCTTCCTCTCAATTTCCCCCAAATTAGTCCCAGAAAATCATGAATCCACTATCTCTTCCTATAGATTTGTCTATTCTGAACACTCCATATAGATGAAGTCATGAAATATATCTTCTTTTGCAACTAACTTCTTTAATTTTGAGTGATGATTAACGGTTCATCTATATTGTAGCAAATATAGGTAGTTCATTCCTTTTATTGCTTTTTAAACTTTTTTTAAGTTCAGGGGTACATGTGCACGTTTGTTACATAGGTAAATGTGTGCCATGGGGGTTTGTTGTACAGACTATTTCATCACCCTGGTATTAAGCCTAGTACACATTAGTTATTTTCCCTGATCCTCTCCCTTCTCCAACCCTCCAAACTCTGATAGGCCTCAGTGTGTGTTGTTCTCCTCTATGTGTTCATGTATTCTTATCATTTAGCTCCCACTTATAAAGGAGAACACGTAGTATTTGGTTTTCTGTTCCTGTGTTAGTTTTCTAAAATAATGGCCTCCAGCTCCATCCATAACCCTGCAAAGGACATAATCTCATTGTTCTTTATGGCTACATTGTGTTACATGGTGCATATGTACCACATTTTCTTTATCCTATTTATCATTGATGAGCATTTAGGTTGATTCCATGTCTTTGCTATTGTGAATAGAGTTGCAATAAACGTATGTGTGCATGTGTCTTTATAACAGAATGATTTATATTCCTTTGGGTATATACCCAGTTATGCAATTGCTGGGTCAAATGCTATTTTTGTCCTTAGGTCTTTGAGGAATTTTCACACTGTCTACCACAGTGGTTGAGCTAATTTTCATTCCCACCAGCAGTGTATAAGTGTTCTTTTTCCTCTGCAACCTCACCAGTATCTGTTATTTTTTTACTTTTTAGTAATAGCCATCCTGACTGGTGTGAGATGGTATCTCATTGTGGTTACTGCATTTCTCTAATGATCAGTGAGGTTGAGCTGTTTCTCATGATTGTTGGTCACATGCATGTGTTCTTTTGTGTACTGTCTGTTCATGTCCTTTGCCCACTTTTATATGGGGTTGTTTGTTTCTTTCTTGTAAATGTGTTTAAGTTCCTTATAGATGCTGGATATTGAGCCTTGGTAAGATGCATTGCTTGCAAAAACTGTCTCTCATTCTGCAGGTTGTCTGTTTAATCTGTTGATAATTTCTTTTGCTATGGAGAAGCTCTTTAGTTTAATTAGATCCTATTTGTCAATTTTTGCTTTTGTTGCAATTGCTTTTTGCATCTTGGGCATGAAATCTTTGCCAATCCCTATGTCCTGAAATCGTATTGCCTAGGTTGTCTTCCATGGTTTTTATAGTTTTTGATTTTACATTTAAGTCTTTAATTCATATTGAGTTGATTTTTGTATATGGTATAAGGAAGGGGTCCAATTTCAATCTTCTGCATATGGCTAGCCAATTATCCCAGCACCATTTATTGAATAAGGAATCCTTTCCCCATTGCTTGCTTTTGTCAGGTTTGTCAAAGGTCAGATAGTTGTAGGTGTGAGGTCTTATTTCCAGGTTCCCTATTCTGTTTCATTGGTCTATATGTCTGTTCTCATACCAGCACCATGCTGTTTTGGTTACTGTAACCCTGTAGAATAGTTTGAAGTCAAGTAGTGTAATACCTCCAGCTTTGTTCTTTTTGCTAGGGGTTGCCTTGGCTATTTGGGCTCTTTTTTTTTTGTTCCATATGAATTTTAAAATAATTTTTTTCTAGTTCTGTGAAGAATGTCAATGGTAGTTTAATGGGGACAGCATTGAATCTATAAATTGCTTTGGGCAGTATGGCAATTTTCACAATATTAATTATTTCTATCCATGATCATGGAGTGTTTTTCCATTTGTTTGTGTTATCTCTGATTTATTTGAGCAGTGTTTTGTAGTTTTTCTTGTAGAGTTCTTTCACCTCTCTACTTAGCTGTACTTCTAGGTATTTTATTCTGTTTGTGGCAGTTGTGAATGGGAGTTCATTCATGATTTGGCTCTCAGCTTGATTGTTGTTGGTATATACGAATGCTAGTGATTTTTGCAAATTGATTTTGTATCCTGAGACTTTGCTGAAGTTGCTTATCAGCTTAAAAATCTTTTGGGGTGAATTCTACCAGATGTACAAAGAAGAGATAATACCATTTCTACTGAAAGTATTCCAAAAAGCTGAAAAATAGGGACTCCTTCCTAACTCATTCTAAGAGGCCAGCATCATCCTGATACCAAGACCAGGGAGAGATTAAAAAAACAAAAACAAAAACAAACAAACAAAGAAAAAACTTCTGGCCAATATCCTTGATGAACATCAATGCAAAAATCCTCAACAAAATACTGGCAAACCGAATCCAGCAACATCAAAAAACTTGTCCACTATGATCAAACAGTCTTCATCCCTTGGATGCAAGTTTGGTTCAACATACACAAATCAATAAATGTGATTAAACAGAATGAAAGACAAAGCCAAATGATTATCTTAATAGATGCAGAAAAGGCTTTTGATAAAATTCAACATCCCTTCATGTTAAAAACTATCCATAAATTAAGTATTGAAGGAACATATCTCAAAATAATAAGAGCCCCGTATGAATATCCTAAAGCCAATATCATACTGAATGTGCAAAAGCTGGAAGCATTCTCTTTGAAAACTGGAACAAGACAAGGATGCCCTCTGTCACTACTCGTATCTGATACAGTATTGGAAGTTCTGGCCAGGTTCATCAGGCGAGAGAAAGAAAGAAAGACAGTCAAATAGGAAGGGAGGAAGTCAAACTACCCCTGTTTGACCATCCCTATATCTAGAAAAGCCCTTTTATTGCTTAATAATAGTTTATCATCTAGGTATACTTCATTTTATATATCTGTTTGTCAGTTGAGAGGCATGTAGGTTGTTTCTATTTTTTGGCTATTATGACTAATGTTGCTATGAACATTTGGGCACAGGATTTTGTGTGGAAACATGTTTTCATTACATATATATATAGTGTATATTCACTGAATTATAAGGCACCTCTATGTTTAATCTTTTGAGGAACTACCAAATTACTTTCCAAAATGGCTGCACCATTTTATATTCCAACTAGAAATGTCTGAAAGTTCCAATTGCTCACACCCTTGTCAACACATTATGGTCTGTCATTTTTATAACAGCCATCCTAGTAGCTATGAAGTGGTATTTCTTTTGCTGTGGTGAATTGCATTTTTCAAATGGCTAATGACATTGAGCATCTTTTTAGATGTTTATTAGCCATCACATAAGATCATTCATACACTTTCCCCAATTGTCTTTGTATTATCAAGTTGTAAGAATTCTCAAATATTCTAGATACAAATCTTTATCTGATATATGATTTCCAAAAATGTTATCCCAGTCTGTGTTTGTGCTTTCACTCACTGATGGAGTCCTTTTAGGTACAATGGTTTTAATTTTGTTGAAACCAAATGTATCAAAATTTTTTCCTTTGTTGCTTGTATTTTTAGTGTAATATCTTAGAAAGTTTTGTCTGATCCAAAGTCATGAATATTTAGTCCTATATTTCCTTTAAATCTTTTAAAAATAGTTTTAGATTTTATATGAACTTTATAATACATTTTTAATTAATGTTTGTATGTGTGTGATTCATTTTCATGTGCCCATCCTGTTGTCTCAGCACAATTGCTTGAAAAGACTATTTTCCCCAGTGAATTATGTTTTCACCCTTGTTGAAAATAAATTGGACTGGGTGCGGTGGCTCATATTTGTAATCCCAGCACTTTGGGAGGCTGAGGCAGGTGGATCACTTGAGGTCAGGAGTTCCAGACAAGCCTCGTCAGCAAGGTGAAACCCTGTCTCTACTAAAAATACGAAGGAAAAAAAAAAAAAAAACTAGCCGGGCATGGTGGCGGGTGCCTGTAGTCCCAGCTACTTAGAAGGCTGAGGCAGGAGAATTGCTTGAACCTTGGAGGCGGAGGTTGCAGTGAGCCAAGATCATACCACTGCACTTCAGCCTGGGCAACAAAGCGAGACTCTGTCTCACAAAAAAAAAATAAGAAAAAAAGAAAGAAAGAAAGAAAATAAATAATTAACCTTAAATATTAAGGTTGATTTCAGATTTTCAATTAAATTCTCTTGATCTATATCTACCCTATGTCAGTTCCTTTCTTACCTGTTCACTTTAGTAAGTTTGTTTCATACATTTATACTAGAGTTAGTTGATTTGGCACATTTTGCATCATATCCTGATATCTCCAACCACCTAAATGATATTTTAAAATTTTTATATTAAGGTTGACTCCTTATGTTATAAAAATTTTATGACTTTTGACAAATCCGTGGCATCATGTTTCCACAATTGTAGTCAACCTCTTTGCATTCTGAAACATAGTCAACCTCTGATTTGTTTCCTGATGATGTAATTTTGCTTCTTCCGGAATGTCATACAAATGGCATCATACACTATGAAACTTTTGCAGATTGGCTTCTTTCACTTATTAATATGCAGCTAAGATGCATGCATCTCTGCATATGGCTTGATTGCTTATCCCTTTTTTTATCACTGAATAGTATTTTATTGTACAGATACACCACATTTTGTTTATTCATTCACCTATTGAAGGTCAACAACTTGCTCTAACTTTTTGGTTATTATCAATAACACTGCTATAAACACTCATCTGTTAGATTTTCTATGGAAATAAATTTTCAAATCACTTGGAAATATCCTTGGAAATATAGGTGATGGATTATACTCTAAGACAATGTTTACTTAGTAAGAAATGTCCAAACTACCTTTGAAAGTGGCTGTAGCATTTTGTACTCCCACTAGCAACGAATAAGAGTTCCTCTTGCTTATTGTCTCCAGTAACGATATTGTTGATCTTTTGAATTTTAGCCATTCTAAACGATGTTGACTTTATTTTGTTATTGTTTACATTTGTAATTCAATATCTACAAAAATGTAAAGTGTCTTTTAATGTCCCTATTTTCCATCTATATAGAGTATTTGATAAAGTGTTTGCTAAGAATTTTTTCCTTTTCTTAGTTGAGTTGTTACGTTTGAACTAACTGGGTTATGTTATAATTGAATTTTAAAATATATTTGTATATTTTGGATACCAGTCTTATACTAGATATGTGTTTTGCAATGATTCTCTTCCATTCTGTGGATTTTAATTTTATTCTTTTAACAATGCATTGTGAAGGACAATTTTTATTTTAATAAAACCTAACATCTATTTTTCATGGATTAAACTTTTAATTTTTTATCTAAAATCTTTTCAACCAATTCATTTTTATATAGATTATCTCCTATGTATTTTTCTAGTTGTTTTATAATTCTGAATTTTACATTAGCGTCTATAATTCTTGTGTAAGGTGAAACATGTGTATCTAGTTTCATCTTATTGTTCCATCAGTAGCAAGGTTTTGCATGCTTTGAACTTCCTACAGAAGAAATGACAGGACAGAATGCACAGGCTTTCTTATCTGCGGACCCAGATGTGCAGAAGAGGGACAGATGAGGCTTGAAAGCTGTCAGAAGTTAAACATCAAAATGGAGTCAGGCTCTTGGATACATCTTATTCTGAAAAAAGGTGAAGAAAGTGATTTGCATAAAAGAAATCTGATGCATTCAAAGGAAATTATATGTCCACAGAAAAACCTGGATATAGATCTTTATCACAAGATTATTCACAATTGCCGAAAAATAGAGCAAACAAAATTTCCTACAGCAAGTGAATAGAAAACAAAATGTGGTACTGATACAAGTGAATCCCAAAATTGGGACTCAGCCTAGAGTTCTTGGCTTTGCTCAGGAAAGAATTCAAGAACAAACCGACAGTGAAAGAAAGTAAGTTTATTAGAGCAACCCTGTGCAGCAGAATGGCTGCTCCATAGGCTGAGTGGTGCTATTCCATAGGTAGAGCAGCCCTGATTAGCAGCAGCAGCAGCAGTATATAGAAACAGTGGCAGTCCAGATTAGCAGCCTCTGGCTAGCTATATTTATACCTAGTCTTAATTATATGCTAATCAAGGGGCCAGATATTCAGAATTTTCTAGAAAAGGAATGAGGGATTTACCCAAACCATATAAGGTAATTTCATGTTTGTTGCCATAGCATTTGTAAACTGTCATAGCACTGCTGAGTTTCTTATGCAAATGAACCATAAACTTCCTAGTCCTAGCTGGTTTTGGCCAATATCTTTGCTATACCCTGTTTGATCAGCAGGGCCGTGATGCCTCTCAGAAATCAACTCTTGTTGATCTCCTATCTCAGTACGGGAATATTATACAGCACCAAAAAGAAATGAGCTATCCACCCATGAAGACACAGAGGAAACTTAAATGCATATTACTAAGTGCAAGAAGCCAATATGAAAAGGCTGCATATGATTCCAATTACATAATGTTATGGAAAAGGCAAAACTATGAAGAAAATAAAGGGATTAGTGGTTGCCAGGGGATGAGGGAAAGGGAGAGATGAATGGGCAGAGCCCATAGTTTTTAAGGCAATCAAACTACTCCGTATGATACTATAATGGTAGATACATAGATACATGTCATTACACGTTTGTCCAAACCCATAGAAGGTATAACACCAAGAAGAAACCCTAATATAAACCATGAGCTCTGGGTGAAAATGATAGGATAATGTAGGTTCATCAGTTGTAACAAATGTACCACTCTGATGGAGGATGTTCATAATGGAGGCGGCTACGCAAGGGTAGGGGCAGGAGTTAAAAAGTGAATTTTTGTACTTTCTGCTCAGTTTTGTTGTGAATCTAAAACTGCTCTAAAGATAGTTTATAAAAAAAATTAAAAAGTTGTAAGTGCTAAGAATGTATAAGACCTAAGAAATTATAATGCTGATAGAAAAAAGGAAGCTGGTTCAGTAGCATTATTCAAATCAAGTAAATTAAAAAAAATTCATTTTAAAATGTTTTTGTTAATAAAGTTAATTCAAGTATAACACTGAGCAAAATAATAACTTGGAACTATTATTACCCTGCCTGATCTCCTCTCACTAGAGCCTTCCAGCAGCCTCAGCTGGAAGTTAAATACCACAAAGATTTAACTATATCTCCAGATTTTGGAATATGTAGACAATTTCTATTTCTGTAATTTTACAATTATTTATTTTATTTTATTTTATTTTATTTTATTTTATTTTATTTTATTTTATTTTATTTTATTTTATTTTATTTTATTTTAGAGACTGGGATCTCCATATGTTGCCCAACCTGGTCTTTAACTCCTGGGCTCAAATGATCCTCTTGCCTCAGCCCCCAAACTAGCTAGGACTGCAGGTGCATGCCACCATGCCCACCTTAGACAATTTCTCATATACTGGCTGCCTAACTCAGAACCAGACGCATAATAGGTATCTAATAAATTGTGTTAAATAGCATACAATTATAATAATTGAATCAAATTGCTGCTACCACAAGTATAGCTTTATGCTTGGGGTATTATAAGCAGCTGATTTGTTATTTATGTGCCTGAGTTGTTTCCACACCGGACCCTATGTCTTATAATCCTGTCTCTTTCTTATATCACTCTGCCTTGGTCGTCTCATTTGCATACATCCAAGTTACTCTTCAGCTTTGCTGTAACCCATACTACCAAGGACAAATTATTTGCCCTAAATCCTAATCTACCAACTAAAGGTATGTCTCCCTCCTACCCTAACCTGCTGCTTGTAGCCTTATTCCTTACCAAATTGCCTTGTGAATCCAATTTATTATCTGTAAATCTATCCCATTATTATAATTCCTTTCAAGCTTAATTTTTCACTCAGATCACTGACATAGTTCCTTTCCTGCTGCTCTTTATGCTCTGGCCTATCTTCTTCCACACTTCTGCCAGAGTAATCATTCTAAAATTCGATACCATCTGGTCATTCATCAGTGTAAAGTAATTTACTGAATCCGCATTAATTTAGTTGAGATCTAAACCCTTTGGAATAGCATCAATTGCCTTTTAAAAAAATTTCATCCCCTCCTACTTTTAGACAGTTTCTATCACCATGGCGATAGTAATCTAACTTGATCCAGAATACAGCAACAAGAGGGAAGAAGACAGCTATGGCTCATCTAGGCAAGCAAATATCCTAGACTGGTACTTCAGGATGTAGATGCTAGGATACTACACTCATGGGTACTTTAGGGACACTTTCAGCTTGTTAAGACAGTTGCTATGCACCACCACTTATGTATAGGGGTATTGTGTGTTATCATTCTCACTAAGTTCCTTCTCAGTCTGAAGCTGCTGAAAACTTCAGATACCTACCAATAACAGTGGCTGTGTATCCCTTCAGGCCTAACTTCTCTAAGTAATGTCCATCGTACAGCCTTCTCCATCCTCCATTCTTCATTCTGTATAGAAGTTCTATGATAAATAATGAAAATATGAATAACAAAAATAGGACTAAATACTTATTGAATATTTACTTATACTCTAGTGTTTTTGGCTACACTAATTTAATCCTGACAAAGGTCATATCGGTAATATCATTATCCTCCTTATATCAGATGCAGAAATGCAAATTCAGAAAGGTTCACTTACTTGTACAAGGACACACAGCTATATCCAGGACACGTCTGTTATTAAAATCTTGCTACACCAGGCTTCGTAAATTGTGCTCCAAATATTCTACCACTGTTTTACATTGACTTTCTAAAAGTAGATGTCTTTACAACAGGACAATAGTAACAATGTCTTTCAGTGACTGAGGAAAAGCTAATAGGTCAATTAATGCTGCAAATAATGGAACAAACTAAACTGAAGCCTGAGAAGTGAGTAATAATAATGATAATTATGACTTTGTACAAAGTACATTCAAATACTTCATCCCATTAAATCTGAATTAAATTAAATAGTACATTCAAAAGTTTTGCTTTGATTTTATGTAATGCTGATGAGCCATGTGTCAGATGTTAATAATCTGGATTATATTCCAAGCATTTCAATGACATAATATGACTGCATCCAAGAGTAAATATTCCAAAAGCAGTTTTGAGCTGAAAATCTTCACCTTAAAAGCAATTACATATGTTATGGATGAATGATAAGTAGATTGAGCACATCTCCAACTCTTTAATAAATTTCTAATGTTCAAAATAATCTGAGGAAGAAGCATGTTCCAAAACTGTAATATGTCTTGTGGGCCTGTACTCTGCATACTTGTTGCACCAAGTTGACTTCATAAGTACTAACTGTAGCTACACTTATTCATAAAATCTATTTAAATATAAATATGCGTGTAAAACATATAATTAAATATAAATATTTAAATATAAATGTAAAGGATATTTCTTATAACAAAAAGAGAACACTAATTTTTGGGAAAAATAGGCATTTGGCACTCTAAGTGATTTTAGGAAGATGATTCTGTGTGATACTTTAATATCTAGAGATATAGTTTCTATGTGTTATAAAGTGATTTTAATCCACTCCTGTGTGTGTGTGTGTGTGTGTGTGTGTGTAAGTCTATGTATGTGGAAGAGAGAGAGAGACAGACAGACAGACAGGCAGACTGAAGAACAGATAGACAGAGAAAGGGAGAAATAGTGGATTTGTCTGTTTTCATGCTGCTGATAAAGACATACCTGAGACTAGAAAAAAAAAAAAACAGGTTTAATGGACTTACAGTTCCACATGGCTGGGGATGCCTCACAATCATGGTGGAAGGGGAGGAGGAGCAAATCATGTCTTACATGGATGGCAGCAGGCAAAGAGAGAGAGCTTGTGCAGGGAAACTCCTGTTTTTGAAACCAACAGATCCCATGAGACTTATTCACTACCATGAGAACAGCACAGGAAAGACCCATCCCCATGATTCAATTACCTCCCACTGGGTTTATTCCATGAAATATGAGAATTGTGGGAGTTACAATTCAAGATGAGATTTGAATGAGGACACAGACCAACCATATCATTACACTCCTGGCCCCTCCTAAATCTCATATCTTTACATTTCAAAACAAGTCTTGCCTTCCCAACAGTTCCCCAAAGTCTTAACTCATTTCAGCATTAACTCAAAAGTCCCTGGCCCAAAGTCTCATCTGAGACAAGTCAAATCCCTTCTGCCTATGAGCCTGTAAAATCAAAAGCAAGTTAGTTACTTCCTAGATACAATGGGGGTACAGGTACATATAGCCATTACAAATGGGAGAAATTGGCCAAAGCAAAGGGGGTATAGGTCCTATGCAAGTCTGATATCCAGCAGAGCAGTCAAATCTTAAAGATTCCAAAAGATCTCTTTTGACTCCATGTCTTGCACCTGGGTCATGCTGATGCAAGAAGTGAGTTTCCAAGGTCTTCGGCAGCTCTGCCCCTGTGGCTCTGCAGGGTACTGCCTCCCTCCCGGCTACTTTCATGGGCTGGGGTTGAGTGTCTGTGGCTTTTCCAGGCACATGGTTCAATCTGTTGGTGGATATATCATTCTCGTGTCTGGAGGACAGTGGCCCTCTTCTCACAGCTGCACTAAACAATGCCCCAGTAGGGACTCTGTATGGGGGCTCTGACCACTATACATCTAGGCATTTCCATTTAGCCTCTGAAATCTTGGCAGAGGTTCCCAAACCTCAATTCTTGACTTCTGTGCACCTGCAGGCTCAACATCACATTGAAAGTTTCCAAGGTTGAGGCTTGCACTTCCTGAAGCCCTGGCCTGAGCTGTACCTTGGCCCCTTTGAGTCATGGCTGGAGAAGCTGAGACACAGGGCACCAAGTTCCTAGACTGCAAACAGCATGGGGACCCTGGGCCTGTCCCATGAAACCATTTTTTCCTCCTAAGCCTTGAGGCCTGTGATGTGAGGAGCTGCCATGAAGACCTCTGACATCCCCTGGAGACATTTTTCCCATTGTCTTGGGGATTAACGTTTGGCTTCTCATTGCTTATGCAAATTCCTGCAGCTGGCTTGAATTTCTCTTCAGAAATGGTATTTTATTTTTTAATCACATTGTCAGCCTGCGAATTTTTCAAACTTTTATATTCTGATTCCCTTATGAAACTGATGCCTTTAACAGAACCCAAGTCACCTCTTGAATGCTTTACTGCTTAGAAATTTCTTCCACCAGGTACTCTAAGTCACTGTTTCAAGTTCAAAGTTCCACAAATCTCTAGGACAGGGGCAAATTGCCACCAGTCTCTTTGCTGAAACATAACAAGAGTCAAATTTACTCCAATTCCTAATGAGTTCCTCATCTCCATCTGAGACCACCTTGGTCTATATTTCATTGTCCATATCATTATCGGCATTTTGGCCAAAGCCATTTAACAAGTCTCTAGGAAATTCCAAACTTTCCCACATTTTTCTATCTTCTTTTGAGCTCTCCAAACTATTCCAACCTCTGCCTGTTACCCAGTTCCAAAGTCACTTCCACATTTTCAGGTATCTTTTCAACAGCACCCTACTCTACTGGTACCAATTTGCTCATGCTGCTGATAGAGACACACCAGAGACCGGGAAGAAAAATCAGATTAATGGACTTACAGTTCCACATTGCTGGAAAGGCCTCACAACAATGGTGGAAGACAAGGAGAAGCAAGTCACATCTTACATAGATGACGGCAGGCAAATAGAGAGAGCTTGTGCAGGGAAACTCCCATTTTTAAAACCATCGGATCTCATGAGACTTCTTCACTATCACTAGAACAGCATGGGAAAGACTCGCTCCCATGATTCAGTTACCTCCCACTGGATTTCTCCCACAAAATGTGGGAACTGTGGAAGTTACAGTTCAAGATGGGATTTGGGTGGGAACACAGCAAAACCATATCACATAGAGAAAGAGAGAGAGACAGAGTTTGTATGTGCATGTGGCTAGAATGAACGTCAGTCAGTTAAGATTATTTGGGATGTATGGAGGTGTTACTTCCAGACTGCATAATATGGATTAGTGGCAACAAGTAGAAAATTGTACAACAGAAAAAAAGTAAAATTAAAACCCATTGGTTCAAATGCATAGAATGTATAATCTTTTTTTCCAAATAAACTCATAACAAATTTATTCATATTTGCTAACAGCTGCTACATTCTAGCTATTCTTATTTGAAACATTCACATTTTCATATTAAAATCATCAGTTTTTATGTCCTAGCAAAATCCTCTGTTAAACTGATCCTGTAGACTTTCTATCTTCTCAAGTGCATTGATAAATAATCACTTGGTATTTTGTCAAGGCTTTTGTATTTCAATAAGTTATGCAGCATCTTTCCCAGGCTACAAGCATATAGTTATTGTACCTGAATATATTTTCAGTATAATTGCTTAGCATCTGCCTGCATTATTGGTAATAAAGATCCTGCTTCTCTCCAATTCTTTTTTTTTTTTTAATAATTTAACTTTCCTCTGATCCATCTAAGCGAAAAAAAAAGGTCTATTTGTACACAAAGGGAAAGATAAAATGAGTCACCTAAGTAGAAAAATTTACATTTTTATTGTTTTTCTCTGCTAATTTCTTATATGTTTACTAATTCTAAGGAATGATATGAATGTTATTAACATGCACTTAATATAAAATAGACAAACTGCTATGTGACATTGTTTAACTTCTTAATACATTGTATTTTCTCTTTGTGCTGACCTCTATCCTTTCTAAGAAAACTATATATTTTTGACATGAATTTTAAGACCAAGATAAGCTATATGGTGATTCTAGACAAAGAAATACCTTCTTGGGTGTCTTAAATGTTCACCTAAAATTGCCAGTTTTTAAGGTTGCACATAGTAATTTCTATTAAATCATTAGTCATTGAATGCTGCTTTTAAGCATAAGAATTAGGGTTGGGAAGCCACATCCTGCAGGCAAAGTCTGATCTACTGCCTGTTTTTGTAAATAAAGATTTATGGGATCACAACTATGCACATTAGTTAATACATTGTTTATGGATGGTTTCTAGCTCCAGTGGCACAGTTTAGTAGTTGCTACAGAGAGACCATATGGTCCCCAAAGCCTAAAATATTTACTTTGGTTCTTTAAGTAAAAGTTTGCCAATTCCAATATAAACAAATATAAATATAGATCTGTTTTTAAACATAAAGAATACCTTTTAATTTTTTTATTTTTAATTTTTATGTGTAAGTAGATATATATATTTACAGGGTACATGAGATATTTTGATGCAGACATGTAATGCATAACAATCACATCATGGAGAATGGGGTATTCATCCCCTCAAGCACTTATCTTTTGTATTACAAACAATCCAGTTACACTCTTTTAGTTATTATAAAGTGTACAGTTAAGTTATTGTTAACGATAGTCACCCTGTTGTTAAATAGTATGTCTTAATAATTATTTCTAACTATTTTTTGTACCCATTAACCACCCCCATCCCCTTGAGCTCCCTACTACCCTTCCCAGCCTTGGTAACTATCCTTCTACTCTCCACGTTCATGAGTTCAATTGTTTTGATTTTTAAACTCCACATATAATTCAGAATATGCAATGTTTATCTTTCTGTACCTGGCTTATTTCACTTAACATAATGATCTCCAGTTCCATCCATGTTGTTCCAAATGACTGGATCTCATTCTTTTCAACGGCTGAATAGTAATCCATTATGTATATGCACCACATTTTCTTTATCCATTCAACTGTTGATGGACACTAAGGTTGCTTTCAAATCTTAGCTATTGTAAACAGTGCTGCAACAGACATGGGGGAGTGTTGCTATCTCTTCTATATACCGATTTTCTTTCTTTTGGGTATATACCCAGTAGTTTGATTGCTGGATCACATGATAGCTCAATATTTTTTTGAGGAACATCCAAACTGTCCTCCATAGTGGTTGTGCTAATTTACATTCCCACCAACCACTGAACGAGGATTCCCTTTTCTCCACATCTTCACCAGCATTCATTATGGACTGTCTTTTGGATAAAAGCCATTTTAACTGGGGGCAAAATGATATCTCATTGTAGTTTTGATTTGCATTTCTCTGATGATCAATGATGTTAAGCACCTTTTCATATGCCTGTTTGTCATTTGTGTATCTCCTTCTGAGAAATGTCAGTTCAAATATTTTGCCCATTTTTGGATTGGATTATTAGACTTTTTCCCATATAGTTGTTTGAGCTCCTTATACGTTCCAATTATTAATCACTTGTTAGATAGGTATCTTGTAAATATTTTCTCCCATTAGGTGGGTTATCTCTCCACTTCGTTAATCATTTCCCTTGCTGTGTAGAAGCTTTTTATCTCAACGTAATCTCATTTGTCCATTGTTGGTTTGGTTGTCTGTGCTTGTAAATTTTTGCCCAGGCCAATGTCCCAGAGATTTCCCCAAATGTTTTCTTGCACTAGTTCCATAATTTCAGTTCTTAGATTAAGTCTTTAATCCATTTTGATTTGATTTTTGTATATGGCAAGAAACAGGAGTCTAGTTTCATTGTTCTGCATATGGATATCTAGTTTTCTCAGCACCATTTATTGAAGAGACTGTCTTTTCCCCATGTATGTTCTTGGCATCTTTGTCAAAAATGAGTTTATTATATGTGTGTGGATTTGTTCTGGGCTCTCTATTCTGTTCCATGGGTCTATGTGTCTGTTTTTATGCCAGTACCATGCTGTTTTGGTTACTATAATTCTGTAGTGTAATTTGAAGTCAGATAATATGATTCCTCCAGTTTTGTTCTTTTTGCTTAGGATAGTTTTGGCTATTCTGGTTATTTTTTTCTGGTTTCATATAAATTAGGATTGTTTTGTCTGTTTTTGCGAAAAATGTCATTGGTATTTTGGTAGGGATTGCATTAAAACTGTAGATCACTTTGCATAGTATGGAACTTTTGCAATATTGATTCTTCCAATCCATGAACACAGAATATCTTTTCATTTTCCGGTGTTTTCTTCAATTTCTTTCATCAGTGTTTTATAGTTTTTATTATAGAATCTGTCACTTCTTTGGTTAAGTTAATTTCTAGATATTTAATTTCATGTGTGGCTATTATAAATGGGATTACTTTATAATTTCTTTTTTTAGAGATATTATTCACTGTTGGCATATACAAATGCTACTGATTTCTGTATTTGATCATATCATTTGCAAACAAGAATAGTCTGACTTCTTCCTTTCCAATTTGGAAGCTTTTTGATTCTTTATCTTGTCTGATTGCCCTAGCTAGGCCTTCCATTACTATGTTGAATACCAGTGGTGAAAGTGGGCATCCTTGTCATATTCTAGATCTTAAAGGAAGGGTTTTTAGTTTTTTTCCATTTAGTATAAACATAAATAATCCTTTAAAAAATGAATTAATCTTTAATATATATTACATACCTGCTGTGTGCAAGCCACCATTTTGAGCAATATATACTAATTAATTTTATTTAATCCTCACTTTATGAAGTAGGCACTGATAGTATTTCTATTTTACAAAAAAATGAAGAAATTAGAGTATAGAGTAGTTAAACAGATACACAGGTTTACTCACTTAGTAAAGGGCAGAGCTAGGATTGACCTGAAGAAATCTAATTCCAAATAGAATCATGTGTTTGTACATTTTATATTCAACACAAGTGTCTGGAAATATGTTAAACTTTGAAATAGCAGTATAGAATACTGAATGTGGAATATATTCAATATAGAAAAATCCAATAATTTTATGCTGACATTAATGAACAATCTGTCATTGACAGAAAAATTTGATTTAAGAAAGAATTTACCATAGTCTCAGCGGTTTGATCTTGAATTCCTAAATTAAGAATATTTTAAATAATGCTTTAAATTATAAAAATACAACATAATTCCTAAAAACTAGTTAATGCAGTGAATAAATAGAAATAAGAGGCTGTACCTAAAGTTGATACTGAATCTAAAATGGACAGAAATCTTTCAAAATACTGACTTTTGTAGCATGAATTTAACCATAAATCAAATCAATGAACTCAAGACTATGAGTTTAACGTGAGTCCCTAACAGAAGTATTTATGAACTCAGTCATGACAAAAAATTGAGTCATTTAAAATGTGACAACAGTAGCACATAAGTGCTACATCAATAGTTAATTATTTTTTAAAATCCCCTTTTATTCCCTTCCTGTGTTAACAATGTCTACTAATGAGCATAACTGCAGAATGTTTCTTTCTTGGACAGCAGGATCCATAATCTTTGACCAGTGACTGTCTCTCTTAATGTTTCTGCAGAACAGTTTCCTGTCTTCCTGATTAGTGTAAATAACAAAATGGACTCTGAAATTACAGCATGCTAGTTTATTGTTGTGGCTGCTGCTTCCTTTGATTTTTGATTTTGTTTTCTGAAAAAAAAAAAGTCCCTTCTGTTTATAGATTTAGAAGGGATATTCTTTGATACTCACACCTCCATGGATAATTTAACTATTATTGAGGCAGTATTAAAAATGTGATATT
The DNA here is from genome assembly GCF_000001405.40 of Homo sapiens. Lineage (NCBI taxonomy): Eukaryota > Metazoa > Chordata > Mammalia > Primates > Hominidae > Homo > Homo sapiens. The sequence goes on along the minus strand of NC_000018.10, from coordinate 29,599,957 downwards.
AAACATAAGATACCAGAGTAAAAAGGGGAAACAAAAAGGAGGTAAAGGAAATGACAGTTGTAGGAAGGGCAGTTAACATTACTGAATAGAAATGCAGGTTAATTTGGATGGAGTGTAAAGCAAGGGGTAAAATTTGGAAACTTTAGGAAAGAGAATTTCCTAAGTTGTTTCCAGATGTGGGTAAGATTAAAAGCACTGCATTTTATTCAGACTCTATGTTAAATAAAATATTCTGCTTTTGGCCAGGCGCGGTGTCTCACACCTATAATCCCAGGACTTTGGGAGGCCAAGACAGACGGATCACGAGGTCAGGAGATCGAGACCATCCTGATCAACATGGTGAAATCCTGTCTCTACTAAAAATACAAAAATTTGCTGGGCATGGTGATGTGCTCCTGTAATCCCAGCTACTCAGGAGGCTGAAGCAGGCAAATCGCTTGAACCCGGGAGGCGGAGGTTGCAGTGAGCCGAGATCGCGCCACTGCACTCCAGCCTGGCGACAGTGAGACTCCGTCTCAAAAAAAAAAAAAAAAAATCTACTTTTTATCTGGGTAAAGGAGGTGACGTTGTCTTGGCATCTCTGACTCACTGCTTTCTTATGTTAAAACAAAACAAAACCCATATCTATTCTGTGAAAATCTCAAAGCTAGATAAGTATCAATTATAAAATAAAAAGATAATAGGAGAGAATGATATAAATCACATGAAGAATTTAGTTTTTTGTACTGTCATATAGAAGATGAAAACTGAACAAGAGACATACAAATAAATTGGACACTAAAATCAGAAGAAACAGTTATTTCCAGTAATGTTTCTGTGGATGTGTGGAGAACCTTAGGTGAGGGTCTCAAACAGACCATGGTAAAATGCAGAAGTATGTTGAGGAGAGAACTGAAGCAATCCTGATAACAAATGGGTTAACAGGAGCTCCAATAGCCTTCATCTATGATGAAGCAGGCATAAATCTACTCACAACTGGACAGAGATCGGGTAAACCCTTTTTAGATTAGGCTAGATCCAAATACTTTAGTGGGAGAGGGCTTATTTTTAAGAGTACATTAAAAAGCACTAGTATTCAATGTGTTCAGATGTTAAATTTGTTAAGTAGGAGAAAGCAATGAGCACTTTTTTTATTTAAAGTAGAAGAACATTCATGTGAAATATCTCCTCCTTAGATTATTCTTCAAAATTTTGACTATACAGAAAGTAGAAAATGGAGATTCAAATAGCCATTTGTCAGATACATGCAATGTTTATGGAGCTATACTAATTCATCCATATACAAGCCTGTTTTCTCTGTCTCTCTCTCTCTCTCTCTCTCTCACACACACACACACACGCCCCATAATTAGCAATATGACATTTGTTTTATTCAGTATAGATTGGCGAGGAAATCCAGTAGGGCCAAGGTTTACAGTGTTAACTAATATGAACTTTTTGTTGTTGTTGTTGTTTTTCACTTCATTTCCAGGCCTCTGGCTTCTTAGGACTCTTACTACGCTAATATATTCTCATTTTTAATTTCTTCACTGATTTTAATTACCTTCTCTCAGGCCTATAAAACTATTATTTCCTTACAAAGAAAAAACAAGATAAATGAACTTGTTTGCTTAAGGCCTTTACCAAGATTTCACAGATGGAGCTATTTCAAATAACAATATTGCTAGTAATTAAACTAAATATGGAACTGCCACTTCTATTTTTCACAAACTTTAGCCCCCACCCTGTTACATAACTCTAAAATTAACACTTGTTTAACATTTTAATGCATATCGCTTATTTTTTTCACATCTTCGTTTACTCTAGGCTTTCAAAAATTGTATTCAAGGCCAGACGCGGTGGCTCACACCTGTAATCCCAGCACTTTGGGAGGGTGAGGCAGGCAGATCACGAGGTGAGGAGATTGAGACCATCCTGGCTAACACGGTGAAACCCCGTCTCTACTAAAAATAAAAAAAATTACCCAGACGTAGTGGGACACGCCTGTACTGCCAGCTACTCGGGAGGCTGAGGCAGGAGAATCACCTGAACCCGGGAGGCGGAGGTTGCAGTGAGCCGAGATCCTGCCACTGAACTCCAGCCTGTGCGACAGAGCAAGACTGTCTCCAATAATAATAATAATAATGTTCATTACATAATTAGGATGTTATTTATGTTACAAAACATCCATGTGAAATTCTCATTCATTAACTTTTTTTTCTACTTTAATATTTTACAAAACCACCTTGAAGTTATTAAATGATGATGATGACAATACTACTCTGGATTTGCCATTGTATTAGTTTTATTACTCAAATTGAATTATATTACTAAAGTGCATTACATGAGTCATTTTTAATGATTTTTTTCAATAAAACTTCATTTATGGCCATTGCCATAATTTCCAACTTTATTTATATGAGATTGGCAAAGAAAAATAGCATATATTCAAGGTATACATAATGTTTTGGTATACATATACATTGTGGAATGATTACCACAACCAATTTAATGAACATATCCACCACCTTGTGAAAATATCTTATGTGTGGTGAGACCACTTGAGATTTGCTCTCTTAGCCTTCTTCGAATATAAAACACATTATTAACTAAAGCCACCATGCTGTACTTTAGATCTCCTTATTCATCTTACAATTTAACGTTTGTAATTTTTGACCAACTTCTCCCTATTTTACCAACTCTTCCCCCGCCAGCTCCAGGTAACCACCATTCTACTCCCTATTACTGCGAGTTTGATTTTTTTCAATTCCACATATAAGTGAGATCATACAGTATCTGTCTTTCTGTTTCTGGTTTATTTACACTTAGCATGGAGTCCTCTAGTTTTGTCTATGTTGTCTCAAATGACAGTGGTTTCTTCTGTTTTAAGGCGAAGTGATATTACATTGAATGTTTTTTGCATATTTCACTTACTTGCACACTGATATTCAATTTTCCCAGCACCATTTACCCCGTTCTGCTTTGCACTTTTGTAGAATTTTTGATTAGTGATTCAGTCTCTTTACTTGTTAATGATATGTTCAGATTTTGTATTTTCATGATTCCGTTTTGATAAGTAGTAGGTTTCTAAGGATGTATTCAAGTTTTTCTAGGTTATCCAACTTATTAGTATAAAATTGCTCATACTAGTTCTATATTCAATGGAATATTTTATTTATATATACATATATGTATATATAAATAAAATATTATTATATATTTATACATTTATAATATATTATATATTATATACAATATATAATATTTTATAATATATAAATATATAAAATACTATTATATATTATATATATTATAATATATTATATATTATATTCAATTTATAATATATTATATATATACAATATATAATATGTTATAATATATAAATATGTTACATTATATAATATTTTATAATATATAAATATATTATATTATATAATATATGTAATATATATTTTATTATATAATATATAAATATATATTTTATTATGTAATATATAATATGTATTATATTTATGTAATATATAATATATTTTAGTATAATGTATATTATATTAATATCATATATAATATTAATATAATATTTATACTAATATATATTGTATTAATATAATATATCTTATATTATATATATGATATATTATATATTATATTATATATGATATAATATAATATAATATATATTATTTTATATAATAAATATATTATTTTTATAATATAATATATTATTTTATATAATATAATATATATTATTTTATAAAATATAATATATATTATTTTATATAATATATAGTATATTTATATAATATATTATATATTGTATTTATATAATATATTATATATTGTATTTATATAATATATTATATATTGTATTTATATGATATATTATATATTGTATTTATGTAATATATTATATATTGTATTTATATATTGTATTTATATAATATATTATATATAATATATATAATATTAGTAAATATAATATAATATATATTATATTCATATATTATATATTATATATATAATATATCATATAAATATAATATATATTATATTTATATAACATAATATATAATATATAAATATAATATATTATATTTATATTTTATATAAATATAATATATATTTATATAATATATAAATATATAATATATATTTATATAATATATAAATATATATTTTATTTATATATTATATATTTATATATTATATAAATATATATTTTATTTATATATTATATATTTATATAATATATAAATATATAATTTATTTATATAATATATTTTCATATAATATATAAATATATAATTTATTTATATAATATATTTTCATATAATATATAAATATATATTTTATATATTATATAAATATATATAATATTTATATATTATATAAATATATATAATATATTTATATATTATATAAATATATATAATATATAAATATATTATATAAATATATATAATATATTTATATATTATATTTATATAATATATATTATATTTTTATATATTGTATTTATATGATATATATTATATTTTTATATATTATATTTATATGATATATATTATATTTTTACATATTATATTTATATAATATATATTATATTTTTATATATTATATTTATATAATATATATTATATTTTATATATTATATTTATACAATATATATTCTATTTATATAATATATGTTTATATATTATATTTATATAATATATATGTATTATATAAATAGAATATATATTTATATATTATATAAATAGCATATATATTTATATATTATATAAATAGCATATATATTTATATATTATATAAATAGCATATATATTTATATATTATATAAATAGCATATATATATTATATAAATAGAATATATATTTATATATTATATAAATAGAATATATATTTATATATTATATAAATAGAATATATATTTATATATTATATAAATAGAATATATAAATATATTCTATTTATATAATATATAAATATATGTTATATAAATATAATATATAATTCTATATTATTATTATATATTATGCATATATTATTTTATTATATTTATATATTTTTATTTATTTATATATTTTATTTATATATTTTATTATATTCATATATTATATATTATAATAATAAATAATATTTTATTATAATATATATTATTTATATATATATGTATATACACACACACACACACACATACATTTTTTTGATGTTGCTTTTTAGAGATAGGATCTCACTCTGTTACCCAGGCTGGAGCACAGCAGCATGATAATAGCTCACTGCAGCCTTGAACTCCTGGGTTCAAAGGAATCTTCTTCCTTATCTTCCTGAGGATCCAGGACTACAGGCACACATCACCACTGCCAGCTAATGTTTTAAAAAACTTTTTATAGAAATGAGGTTTCACTATGATGCCCACGCTGGTTTCGAACCCTGGTCTCAAGCAAATTCTCCTGTCTCAGTCTTGGAAGTAACAGGGATTACCCATGCAAGCCACTGTGCCTGGCTTCTGCCCATTTTTTAATCGAGTTTTTTTTTAGGGGATTTTTTTTTTTTTTTTTGCTATCGAGTTGTATAAGTTTCTTATATATTTTGGATACTACTTTCTTCATTTACTGCTTTTTTTAATCCATTCTGTAGGTTGCCTTTCATTTTGTTTATTGTTTTCCTTGCCGTGCAGAAATTCTTAGTTTCATATAATCCCACTTATTTATTTTTAGTTTTCTTGTCTGTCCCTTCAGTATCATAAATTTAAAAAATCATTGCCAAGGCCACTATCAAGAAGCTTCTCTTCCAGGTTTCCTTCTAGGAGTTTTATGGTTTCAGGTTTTACATTTAAGTCTTTAACCCATTTTGAATTGATTTTTGTGTATGGTATAATTTATGGTTCTAATTCCACTTTTTTGCATACTGATATTCAGTTTTCCCAGCACCATTTACTGAAGAGACTTATTTTTCCCCATTTTGTTTTCTTGATGCCTTATCGAAAATTAGTTGAATATATTATGCATGGATTTATTCCCAGGCTCCTGATTCTGTTCAATTGGTCTATATGACTGTTTTTATGCTAGGGTATGTTTTTTGTTTGATTACTATAGCTTTGTAAAACAATTTGAAATTAGAAAGTGTTATGTATCTAGCTTTGTTCTTTTTGCTCAATATTGCTTTAGCTATTTGGGGTCTTTTGAGGTTCTACATGAATTTTAGGGTTGTTTTTCTTATTTCTGGGAAAAAATACACTGGAATTCTGATAAGGATTGCATTGAATAAATCATTTTGGGTAGCATGGACATTTTAAGACTATTAATTCATCCAGTCCATGAACATGTGGTATCTTTCCATTTATTTGTATCTTCTTCAATTACTTCTACCAATATTTCATAGTTTTTAGTGTACAGATCTCTTACCTCCTTGGTTAAATTAATTTTTAGGTATTTAATTTTCTTGATGTGAGTGTCTTAATTCTTTTCTTAATTTCTTTTTCAGATAGTTCACTGCTAGTTTCTAGAAACAGAACAGATTTTTGTATTTTGCTTTTGTATCCTGTAATTTTACTTAATTCGTTTACTAAGTTTTACCATTTTTAGGTGGAGTCTTTAGAGTTTTCATATAGTATTATATCATTTTATCATTCTTATATCATTTGTAAACAGAGATCATTTTACTTCTTTTTTGGTTTGGAAATAAATCTTTCTCTTGCCTAATTGTGCTGGCTAGGACTCCCAGTACTATGTTGAGTAGAAGTGGCAAGAGTGAACAACTGCCTTATTCCTGACCTTAAAGAAAAGACTTTCAGCTTTTCACTATTAAGTATGATGTTATCTGTGAGCTTTTCATATATGACCTTTATTATGTTGAGGTCATTTTCTTTTATCCCTAGTTTGTTGAGATTTTTAAATCATGAAATGTTGAATTTTGTCAAATTATTTTTCTGTCTATTAAGAAAATCTTACGACTTTTTTTCATTGTTTTCTTAATGTGAGGTATCACATTTATCAATGTGCATATGTTGAACCATCTTTGTATCCCAGGGATAAATCCCATTTGTTCATCATGTATGACTCTTTTAATGTGCTCTTCAATTCCATTAGCTGGTATTTTGTTGAGGATTTTTGCATCTCTATTCATCAGGTATATTGACCTATAATTTTCTTTTTTTGTAGTTTTCTGGTTTGACTTTCACATCAGTGTAATGCTAGCCTTGCAAAATGAGTTTGGAAGTCTTCCCTCCACTTTATTTTTGAAAGACATTGAGATAGATTAGTATTAATTCTTAAAATGTTTGATAGAATTCGCCAGGGAAGCCACCTAGTTCTGCTTTGCACTTTTGTAGAATTTTTGATTAGTGATTCAGTCTCTTTACTTGTTAATTGTGTGTTCAGATTTTGTATTTTCATGGTTCAGTTTTGATAGGTAGTAGGTTTCTAAGAATGTATTCTTTTTTTTAGGTTATCCAACTTCTTAGTATAAAGCTGCTCATAACAGTTCTATATAATCCTTTGTATTTCTGTGATACCAGTTATAATGTCTTCTCTTTATTTTCTAATTTTTATTATTTACGTCTTCTCTTTTTTCGTAGTCTAGCTAAAGCTTTGTCAATTATATCTTTTCTTTTTTTAACTTTTATTTTAGATTCAGGGGGTACACGTGCAGGTTTGTTACATGGGTAAATTGCGTGTCATGGGGGTTTGGTGTACAGATTATTTTGTCACCCAGGTAATGAGCATAGTATCTGATAGGTAGTTTTTCAACCCTCATCCTCCTACCACCCTCCCACCTCTCAAGAAGTCCCCAGTGTCTATCATTACCATCTTTGTTTCCACATGTATTCAATGTTAAGCTCTCACTTATAAATGAGAACTTACAGTATTTGGTTTTCTGTTCCTGTGTTAATTCACTTAGGATAATGGCCTCCAGCTCCATCCATGTTGCTGCAAAGAACATAATTTGGTTGTTTTTTGCTTTGTTTTGCTTATGGCTATGTAGTATTCCATAGTGTTTATGTACCACATTTTCTTTATTCAATCCACGGTTGATGGCCGTGTAGTTTGGTTCCATATCTTTGCTATCTTTTTTTTAGGTTCTGGGATGCATGTGTAAAATGTGCAGGTTTGTTACATAGGTAAATGTGTGACACGGTGGTTTGCTGTACCCATCAACCCATCACCTAGGTACTAAGCCCTGCATTCATTAGCTATTAGTCCTGATGCTCTCCCTCCCCTTTTCCCCTACTCCCCGACAGGCCCCAGTGTGTGATGTTCACCTCCCTGTGTCCTTGTGTTCTCACTGTTTAGCTCCCACTTATGAGTGAGAAAATATGATGTTTCATTTTCTGTTTCTGTGTTAGTTTGCTGAGAATGATGGCTTCCAGCTACATCCATGTCCCTGAAAAGGACATGATCTCATTCCTTTTAGTGGCTGCATAGTATTCTATAGTGTATATGTACCACATTTTTTTTATCCAGTCTGTCATTGATAGGCATTTAGGTTGGTTCTAAGACTTTGCTATTGTGAATAGTGTTACAATAAATATGTGCATGTGTCTTTATAGTAGAATAATTTATATTTATTTGGGTATATACACAGTAATGGTATTACTGGGTCAAATGGTATTTCTGGTTCTAGATCCTTAGGGAATCACCCCACTGTCTTCCACAGTGGTTGAACTAATCTACATTCCCACCAACAGTGTAAAAGCATTCCTATTTCTCTACAGCCTTGCAAGCATCTGTTGTTTCCTGATTTTTGATGATCACCATTCTAACTGGTATGAGATGGCATCTCATTGTGGTTTTAATTTGAATTTCTCTAATGACCAGTGATGATGAGCTTTTTTTCATATGTTTGTTGGCCACATAAATGTCCTCTTTTGAGAAGTGTCTGTTCATGTAGTTTGCACACTTTTTGATGGGGTCGTTTGGCTTTTTCTTGTAAATTTGTTTAAGTTCCTTGTACATTCTGAATATTAGACCCTTCTCAGATGGATAGATTGCAAAAATTTTCTCCTGTTCTGTAGGTTGCCCGTTCACTCTGATGATAGTTTCTTTTGCTGTGCAGAAGCTCTTTAGTTTAATTAGATCCCATTTGTCAACTTTAGCTTTTGTTACAATTGCTTTTGGCAATTTCATCATAAAATCTTTGCCCATGCCTATTTCCTGAATGTCCTCTCTCACCACTCCTATTCAACGTAGTATTGGAAGTTCTGACCAAGGCAATCAGGCAAGAGAAAGTAATAAAGAGTAATCAAATAGGGAAAGAGGAAATCAAATTGTCTCTATTTGCAGAAGACATGATCTTATATCTAGAAAACCCCATCGTCTCAGCCCAAAATCTCCTTAAACTGATAAACAATTTCAGCAAATTTTCAGGATACAAAATCAATGTGCAGAAATCGCAAACATGCCTATAGGTACCAAAGCAGACACGTAGACCAATGGAACAGAATAGAAACCTCAGAAATAGGACCACACATCTACAACCATCTGATATTTGACAAACCTGACAAAAACAGGCAATGGGGAAAGTATTCTACATTTAATAAGTGGTGCTGGGCAACAAGTTCAGCACATGTATCCCAGAACTTAAAGTAACACTTAAAAAAAAAAAAAAGAATGTTGAATATTGGCCCCCACTTTCTTCTGTCTTACAGGGTTTCTGCTGAGAGGTCTGCTGTAAGTCTGATGGGCTTCTCTTTGTAGGTGACCTGGCCTTTCCCTCTGGCTGCCCTTAACATTCTTTCCTTCATTTTGACCTTGGAGAATCTGATGATTATGTGACTTAGGGTTGATTTTCTCATGGAGCATCTCACTGGGGTTCTCTTTATTTCCTGAATTTGAATGTTGGTCTGTCTTGCTATGTTACGGAAGGTTCTCCTGGAACTGAAGTGTGTTTTCCAATTTGGTTCCATTCTCTGCAGCTCTTTCAGGTACTCCAATCAGTCATAGATTTGGTCTTTTTACATAGTCTCATAGTTCTCAGAGGTTTTGTTCATGCCTTTTTATTCCTTTTTCTCTAATCCTGTCTGCCTGCCTTATTTCAGTGAGATAGTCTTCAAGCTCTGATATTCTTTCTTCTGCTTGATCAATTTGGCTGTGTATACTTGTGTATGCATCACAAAGTTCTCGTGCTGTGTTTTTCAGCTCCATCAGGTTGTTTATGTTCCTTTCTAAACTGGTTGTTCTAGTTAGCAGCTCCTGTAACCTTTGTCATTGTTCTTACCTTCTTTGCATTGGGTTACAACGTTCTCCTTTACCTCAGTGAAGTTTGTTATTACTATTTTCTGAAGCCTACTTCATATCATCCTCCATCCAGCTCTGTGCCCTTGCTGGAGAGGTATTGCAATCATTTGGAGGAGAAGAGTCACTCTGGCCTTTTGGATTTTCAGAGTTTTGTCATTGATTCTTTCTCATCTTCATGAGTTTGTCTACTTATGATCTTTAAGGCTTCTGCCCCCTGGATAAGGTTTTTGTGAGGACTTTTTTGTTGATGCTGTTGTTGTGGCTTTCTGTTTGATTTGTTTTTCCATAGTCGGGTCCCTCTTGTGTAGGGCTGCTGCAGTTTGCTGGGGGTTCACTTCAGGCTCTATTCATCTGGTTTGCTCCTGTGCCTGGAAATGTCACCCGACGAGGCTGGAGAACAGCAAAGATAGGTACCTGCTCCTTCCTCTGGGATCTCTGACCTCCAGGGGCACCAACCTGATACCAGTAGGAATGCTCCTGTATAGGGTGTCTGGCAACCCCTGTTGGGGGGGGTCTCACCCAGCTGGAGGCACGGGAACCAGGACCGGTTTAACGAAGCACTTTGGCTGTCCCCCTTGCTTGAGGGGATGTGCTGCGCTGGGGGGAACACACTCTTCTGGGCTGTCAGGATTCCTTAGAACTAGCACGGGGAAAGACTAAGCCTGCTGGCCTGCGGAGACTACGGCCACCCCTCCCACTAGGGGCTCAGGCCCAGGGAGATCAGAATTCTGTCGCTAAGACCCTGGCTGGTGTTGCTGGAGCTCCTACAGGGAGACCCCGGCTAGTGAGAAGGGATGGGTCACCGTCCGTCCTAAAGAGGCAGTCTGGCCACTGTCTGCCACAGCAGGTGTGCTGTGCTGTGGGGGATATCTCTTGGGACCAAGCTGTCCAGTTTCCCTGGCTCCAGCAGGGGAAAAGCACAGCCTGGAGCTATAGTGCTGGCTGCAGCTCCTCCCCCAGGGAGTTCAGGCGGCTTAGGGAGCAGGCAGCAGCAGTGATGCCAGCCAACCCTCCCTTGGGGAGCTCAGTTTTCTTAGGCGGCCACAGTGATGGTTGCCACCCCTCCTCCAGGAAGCTCAGATGGCTTGGACAGCGGGCAACTGCAGCAAAGACGGACGCCCCTCCCTCCGGGAACCGGGTGGTCTTAGGCAGAATTCAGCCGAGTGGCTGTTGAGAATTTGCGCAGCTCTGTGGTTGGGGCCCAAGGCCCCGGTGGCATGGGCTCAGGAGTAGGATCTTCTGATGTGTGGATTGCAGAGTTCTGTGAAAAAAGCATGGTTCCCCAGGCTGGGTAGCATGTTCGCTCACCGCCTCCTTTGGCTGGGGGGTGGGGACTCCCCTGCCCTGTGTGGCTCTCAGGTGGCAGGATGCACCACTCTACTTTTTCTTGCTCTGTGAGGGTCACGCCAACCGCCTAGTCAGGCCTGATGATAGAACCTGGATACCTCAGTTGCCAGTGCAGGATTCACATGCTATTTTGGTTTTTCTGGGTGGTAGCCCCCAGCTGCAGCTGCTTCTAATCGGCCATCTTGGCCCCATCCCTTGGCCCAATTATATCATTTCAAAAGACCAATTCTTAGTTTCATGTATTCTTTCTATTGCTTTCAAAGTATTTCATTTACTTCAGCTCTGATCTTGATTATTCCCTTCCTTTTGCTACTTGTGGAGTTTTTTCATTTTTTCTAGTCAGATCATTTATATGAGGTTTTTTAAAATGGTGTTTATTGCTAGTAACATCCCTCTTAGAGCTGCTTTTGCTGCATAACTTAAGTTTTGGTGTGTTTTCTTTTTTCATTTTTGTTTGGAAATATTTCCTAATTTCCCTTTTGATTTCTTTGTTGACCTATTAGGTGTTCAATAGTGTGTTGCTTAATTTTTACATGTTTTTTAATTTTCCAGTTTTTCTCCTGTTACAGAGTTCCAGTTTCATACTATTGTAATCAGATGAGATACTAGGTCTAATTTTCATCTTCTTATATTTTTAAGACTCATATTGTAGCCTAATATGATTTATCCTAGCAAATTTTCTGTGTGCACTTGAGAAGAACATGTATTCTGCTGGGTAAGATGTATGTTCTGGGTATGTTTAACATGTAGTTGATACCTAATGTTTCGTTAATGATTTTCTTTCTGGAAGATCTATCTATGGTTGAAAGTGGGTTATTGAAATGCCCTAGTATCACTGTATTGATGTCAATTTCTCCCTTTAGCTCTGTTAATATTGGTTTTATATATTCAGTTGCTCTAATGTTGGATGCCAATATATTTGCCATGGTTATTTCCTCTTGATGAAATGACTCCTTTACGATTACAAAATGATCTTCTTTGTCTTTTATTGCAGTTTTTGACTTCAAGTCTATTTTGTCTGATAAAAATGTAGCTATTCTAGCTCTAAGTTTCTATTTTATGGAATATTTTCCCCCATCCCTTCACTTTCAAGCTATGTATGTTCCTAAAGCTGACGTGAATCACTTGTAGGCCAGATATGTTTGCTCTTGTTTTTCTTTCACTTAATTGGAGAATTTAATCCATTTCCGTATAAACTGATTATTGACAAGAAAGGTCTTAGTATTGTTATTTTGTTAATTATATTCTGATTGTTCTCAATTCTTGTGTCCCTTTGTTTCTCTCTTTGTCTTCCTTCATGATTTGTTGAGTTTCTGTAGTGGTATGCTTTGGTTCTTTTCTCTTTATTGTTTGTGTATCCACTAGAGCAGCAATCCCCTACCTTTTTGGCACCAGGGACCCCCAGTTTTGTGAAAGACAATTTTTGCATGGTTGGGGGATAGGCTGGGGAGGCAAAGATGGTTTCAGGACAAAATTGTTCCACCTCAGATTATCAGGCATTAGATTCTCATAAGAAGTGCACAATCTAGGCTGGGCGCGGTGGCTCATGCCTGTAATCCCAGCACTTTGGGAGGCCGAGGCGTGTGGATCACAAGGTCAGGAGTTCGAGACTAGCCTGACCAACATGGTGAAACCCTGTCTTTACTAAAAATACAAAAATTAACTGGGCATGGTGGCACGTGCCTGTAATCCCAGCTACTCAGGAGGCTGAGGCATGAGAATCTTTTGAACCTGGGAGGCGGAGGTTGCAGTGAGCCAAGATCGTGCCACTGCACTCCAACCTGGTTGACAGCAAGACTCCATCTCAAAAAACAAAACAAAACAAAAAAAAACAAGTGCACAACCTAGATCCCTCATATGCGCAGTTCACAATAGGGTTTGCGCTCCTATGAGAATCTAATGCCACCACTGATCTATCAGGAGGCAGAGCCCAGGTAGTAATGCTTGCATGCTTACCCTTCACCACCTGCTGTGCAGCCCCATTCCTAACAGGCCACCTGCGGATACTGTTCCATGGCTTGGGGGTTGGGGACCCCTGCACTAGAGGATTTTTCCTATGTGGTTTCCATGAGGCTTACATAGAATATTTTACAGTTTTAAGAGTCTATTTTAAGCTGATAACCACTTAAATTTTATTGCATATAAAAACTTTCCCCTTTTACTTCCTTTCCCTACATTTTATATTTTTGATGTCATATTTTACATGTTTTTATTATATATTCATTAACAAATTAGATAGCTACAGGTTTTTGGTTTTTTTTTTTCCTTTTTCTTTTTTTCTTTTTTGAGGCAGGGTCTTGCTCTGTCGCCCGGGCTGGAGTGCAGTGGCATGATCTCGGCTCACTGCAACCTCCACCTCCTGGGTTCAAGCAATTCTCCTGCCTCAGCCTCCTGAGTAGCTGGGATTACAGGTGTGTGCCACCATGCCCGGCTAATTTTTGCATTTTTTAGTAGAGACAAGGGATCGCCATGTTGGCCAGGTTGCTTTCGAACTCCTGACCTCAGGTGATCCACCCACCTTAGCCTCTCAAAGTGCAGGGATTACAAGCGTGAGCCACCATGCTCGGTCGATAGCTACAGTTTTTAAATAATTAGGCTTCTAACCTTTATACATAAATGATCTACACACCACAATTATACTACTAGAGTATTCTGAATTTGACTCTATATTTAAATATAACAGGTAGTTCATATTTGCTTGTGTTTTCATGCTACTAATTAGCATCTTTTTATTTCAGCTTGAAGAACTCGGTTTCGCATTTCTTGTAAGACAGGTTTAGTGGTGACAAACTCCCTCGGGTTTTGTTTTTTTGAACAAATGTTTATCTTGCCTTTATTTCTGAAGAACAACTTTTCCAAGTTTTCTTGGTTGGAAGTTTTTTTTCATCATTTTAAATGTGCCATCCCGCTTTCTACTTGGCTGCATGATTTCCTCTGAGAATTAGGTTGATAGTCTTGTGGGTGAAGGTCCTCATATATGATGAGTCTCTTCTGCTGCTTTCAAAATTCTCATTTTATTTTTGTTTTTTGACAGTTTGATTATAATGTATCTTGGTGAATACTTCTTTACATTGAACCTCTTTGTAGACTAAGAGCTTGAAGTACCTGGAAGTTCATATCTCTCCCAGATTTGGAAAGACCCAGGCTCAAGCAATCCTCCTACCTCAGCCTTTCACGTAGCTGGCATTACAGGTGCTTGCCAATATGCCCAGCTAATTTTTGTATTTTTTGTAAAGACAGGATTTCGCTATGTTGCCCAGGCTGGTCACAAACTCCTGAGCTCAAGCTATTTGCCTGCTTCAACTTCACAAAATCCTGGGATTACAGGCATAAGCCGCTGTACCTAACCCATTATTTTTTTTAAAAAGTGTCTTATTCCTTCCTTAATCTCTTCTCCTTTTGATATTCTCATAATGCCTATATTGGGCCACTTGATGGTATCCCATAAATTTTACAGGCTTTTTTCATTCTTTTTCATTCTTTTTTTGTTATCGTGGTTTCTCTGAGTAATTAAAAATGACCTACCTTCAGGTTCACAGATTTTTTTCTTCTGCTTGATGAAGCCCACTACTGGTGCCCTCAATTGCATTTTTATTTCATTCATTCTGCTCTTATTCTCCAGAATTTCGGTATGTCTATTTACGATTTCTGTCTCTATTTTTTTTCTGTATTGCTTCTCTGGTTTTATTTAGTTGTTTATGTTTGTTCTTTTATGATTTCTTAAGTTTTCCTAAAACTATTATCTTTGACAATTTGTGATTCTTTCTTTCCCTGGGGTCAGTTACTAGGAAAGTATTTATTTCCTTTGGTAGTGTCATGTTTTCTTTATATTTTAATGTTTCTTATTGCCTTGAGTTGATGTCTGAGCATTTGACTGAGCAGTCACCTCCTCTAGACTTAACATACTAGTTTTGAGAGGAAAGTATCCCCACAGTGCCTTCACCTACAGGTGGGTGCAAGAGCACTAGCTGAGTGACATGTGACAGTTCCAGCTCCATGACATAGTCCTTGTGTAGGTTCATTAGCTAAAATTAGCAGTAGTGAAGATTGTAGGGGTCCTCAGCTGTCAAGGCTGTGAGTTTTGCAGTGGTAGCAAGGGCTGTTGGAGGTCTTCAGTGTTGAAGATTACTTGGGCCCTCCTGATCTCTTTTTCTCCCATGCAAGATGCCATGGCCAAGGAAATTCATCTTGGCATCCACACCAGCTCACAGGCACAGTTGCAGTGGTGGTGGCACCTTTGTCTATTGTGCAGTGCCCTTGAAGTAACCATGAAGCCAGAGTTGGCAGTATGGCACACAGGGAATGACTATGACTCTGGGGTCCTGGGCAATGGTGGCATCAATATCTGAGACATAGGCACCCCAATTGCAGTGTTGGTAGCTGCATACAAGGCATAGATGCTTGTGGAACAGCCAGGGAGCCAGGGTCCAAAGAGTGGGCACATGCAGAGCTACATTGACACTGGGGTCAGGAGCATGGCCTATCCCACAGCAGCAGTGGCTCCAGTGTCTAAGGAGTGGGTGCATGTGGAGCAGCAGAGGATGCAAGACTCAGATCTTGTACATGTGAGGAGTGGCCCTAGCTCCTGCATCCAGTAAGTGCATGGGGTTGCCCCCATCCTGGGTAGCATAACAGCAGCTTCTTCTTGGTAGCTGTGGGATGCAGCAATATCTCCTTTTCTGGAGGAACTGCAGTTATGATAGCTGTTGGTTACCTCAAAGGCAAAAGCTGCTAGTGTCCTCTGCAGAGTAGGACTCTGAGGGCTGTGTCAATGACCATGAATGGGACCTCCACTGTGAAAGCTGTGGGTAACCAACTGCTGCTGAGGGGGCTGTTGAGATACTTAGTAGCAAAGGCTACTGGAGTCCTCTGTCAAGCAGGCCACTGGGGGACCATGATGGCACCCACTGAGTGGCTGATATTTAGAGCCTCCATCCTTTTCCTTATACCTAGCTGTCTCCAGAAGCCTCAGGTGTACTGATCTCCCCAGAAATCCTTTCCGTGTGATTCTTCTTTGGTTTTTACTCCACTATTTTACTGCGTGTTATTAACTGAACTTTTGATCTTTCCCAGGGTTAATGTCATTAAAAGATAGCTATCTAATTGTTTTTTGTGGGGAGATGAAGGCTCGTATCTCCTACTTCACCATGTTGTTCATGCCATTCATTCCTAATAATATTAAACATGGAAATGATATAGCTGTTCTTGAAATAAAACATAATTAAAAGCAAATATAAATATTAGAAACCCAGGATAACTTTGCAGAAACACTTCTTGGCCGGGTGGTTTGCTATTATCGAATATCTAAATCTTGTTTTGTTCATAAAAAGAAGTAAATTGGGAGGATTGATACATAACAGAAATACTTGCATATCAACAGTAAACTTTAGAAAAAATAATACATTAAAAGTGACACCTGAGAGGAGATTTTCCAGCACAGTGCATGACAAAACCAACTTACTCAAAATTAAATGCATATATAAAGTATAAGTTTCTTTTACTTTTTGATGAATCAGAAGATCAGGTAAAAATAAGCCTGCATTCCTGATTGAAAGCCATTTACTGAAGCTTGACAGCATGTAGCTAGTTGTCTTTTAGATGGAGAAAGTGATCTCTCCTGCAGTACATTCCCCATGTGACTGTGTTTTTCTTTTTTTAAAAAAAAATTCTTATTTTCCCAATCTATACATGATAATTCCCTCTTCTCTATATATATCACTACTACAGATACTCTAACCTACACCCGTTTAAAACTCACACTTCTCCAAATACCTCATTCTTTTCCATATATCCATATCTTTGCACATGCTTTCATTCTAACCAGATTTGCTCCCCATCTTCTTTACATGTGAGCATTTTTTATGGATTCTTGAAGGGACTGCCTAAGTATCCTGGCCTTTGTGAAATCCTCTCTAACTCACTCAAATCAATTCCTCTTTTTTTTCCCAGTACACAATTCAATGTTACAATTTATTGTATTGTTATACAATTTATTACGTATCTGCCCTTTCATACTAGACAAGGAGTTACACAAGCATACTTGGGCCATATATTATTAGTTTTTGAATGCTTAACACTCAATAAAGTGCCAGGCCCATTTTATTACTCAGCTCAATACATTTTTGTCAGATTTTCTCCTCACCAAGCAGTGGAGAATACATTTTTTCTTTTCCTTCCTTCCCTCCTTCCTTCCTTAATTCCTTCCTTCTTTCCTTCCTTCCTTCCTTCCTCCCTCCCTCCCTTCCTTCCTTCCTCCTTTCTTTCCTTCCTCCCTCCCTCCCTTCCTTCTTCTCTCCCTTCCTTCCTTTCTCTTTTTGTATGCCACCAAGTGTTGTCATTTAAATTCATATTTTTGGTATTCGCTTTGAATTCCTATAATGACAGTGTTGAGCTCCTGTATCTAATTGCTTAATAATGATAGGAAAAAAGGGATCAGACTGCAATTTTTGTGCTAATAAAGAAATATTATTTCCTTGTCTGTTATTATTTTATTATTATTCAAATATAATAGTAACTGAAAGATTAATATTTTAAGTCTGGTTGTTGGCAGAACCAGGACTAGAACACAGATTGTTTCTCACGTATTTCCCCGCCCCCCCTTTTTTTTGACACCGTATCACCTTTGTCTTTAAATTGACTCAAATGCATCTATAGTGATTCATCTAACAGAAGCCCAGAGCTCATTCATATCAAAAGTTGGGAGAAATGGTGCATTTACCTTATCTTATTTAACTGAAAATTTGCCTCAAATGCATATCAGTTTTTTAACAACTGTAGGAAAGCAAGTTTATTATATTTTAATGTATACTATTAAATATGTGGGAACTACTCAGTATACATACAACTCTGCAATAATTTAAATTGTATTTTGAAGCCCTGTTTGCAAAATAATAACTTGAAAAAGTGAATGACCTATTTCTCATTCATGAAATTTTCCAATCTCAGGGTAGGTTTAGAGATCTTTTTATTTTACACATTTTCATCTGTGTATTTTCATCTGTGTATCTTCATATGAAGGTAATAATATCTGCAACATAAGTAGGACCTGAACTTTTCTGTTATTTTCTCAGTGTTGGTGATATAGTTAGTGCAAAGCAATGCATATTCTCTAATAGCCTTCTGAGATAAGTGGAAAATTCCACATAACCTCGTCTATAATAAGGTATTTTTCTACATTAGTGGTTCTAAGAAACTAGTTTTCTCTGATCGGGATATATAGGTCTATAAGGTGATTATATCTATGTCCTTGGTTTAATTATCCATATGCTCTGTGACCAAGATTGACTAGATAGATTATAAATACAATATATAAAGATAAGTGAGAAAAAGGAAAATAAAAATATATGCCTTAGAAGATTTTCATGTGTTCAACTTTAATATAGTGAGGAACATTTAGAAAACCAACGTGCAGCTATTGAAGGCTTGTTTTTCTTGTTTTGTTCTGATTTTATGACTTCAACTTTTATTTTAGATTCAGGGGATACAGTACAGGTTTGTTACACGGGTATATTGCATGATACTGAGGGTGAGGGTATGATTGCTCTTGTCACCCAGGTACTGAGCATTGTACCCAATAGTTTTTTCAGAACTTTCCCCGCTCCCTCTATTCCCTCTCTAGTAGACCCTAGTTTCCATTGTTGCCATCTTTATGTCCATGAGTACTCAATATTTAGCTCACACTTATAAGTGAGAGCACATGGTATTTGTTTTCCCATTCCTACATTAATTCACTTAGAATAATGGCCTCCAGCTGCATCCACGTTGAGTAAAGAACATGATTTTTTTTTGTTTTTTTTAACTGCTGTGTAGTATTCCGTTGTGTATATATACCACATTGTGTATATATACCGCATTTTCTTTATCCAACCCACCATATCCAAAATGGTGTAAGTACCCATTTTCTTTATCTATTCACCTACATTGATTTCATGTCTTTCCTATTGTGAATAACACTGTGATGAACATATGAGTATGTGTGTATTTTTGGTAGAATGATTTATTTTCTTTTGGATGTATACCCAGCAATGGGATTCCTGAGTCAAATGATAGTTCTGTTTCAAGTTCCTTGAGAAATCTCCAAATCGCTTTCTACAATGGCTGAACTAATTTGCATTCCCACCAACAGTGTATAAGTGCCCCTTTTTCTCCACAGCCTCGCCAGCATCTGTTGTTTTTTTCACTTTTTAATAATAACCGTTCTGACTAATATGAGATTGTATCTCACTGTGGTTTTGATTTTCATTTCTCTGATGATTACTGACATTGAACATTTTTTCATGTTTGTTGGCCACTTGTATGAAGAAGACTTGTCTTTTGATTTTTTTTAATTTTTGCGTATCTCTTGGAAAATATTTCTCTTCCAGTATTTTTGCTAGGAAATTTTATTGCAGGACTCAGAGACTATTAATTACTGGCCTGTATTTGTTATTTATTGCTGCATAATAAATTACTTCCAAATGTAACAACTTAAAATAATGTTTATTATCTCAGTGTCTGTGGTTCAGAGATTTGAGAGTGGCTCATCTGGGTGAATTCTGTCTTAGTGTCTCTCATGAACAGAGTAGGCCTGGAGAATCTGCTTCCAAGATGACTCCTTCACATCTCTTGGAAGATGCCGTTGTTTTCAATCATGGGGACCACTCCATGGATCTACTTGAGTGTCCTCACAATATGGCAACTATCTTTCTTCTGAGCATGAGATAAGAGAGAAGGGAAAGAACGGGAAGTTAAATAAGAGAAGTGAAATAAGAGAGAGAAAAAACAGTGATAGAGTAAGGACATAAGGAAGATTCTGAATGCCCTTTATGTTTTCATTTCTGTGAAATTCTATTTATTACAAGTGACTCACTAAATTCAGTCCATGCTCGAGGGTAGGGGAAACTAACTCCACTCTTGGAGATAAAGTGGTAAAGGATTTTTGGACATATTTTGAAACTGCTGCATGGCTCAAACTCACCAATGAAAGTTCTTTGGTTGTGGTTCTTTTTGTACGGTAGAAAAACTAGTTGTCTTAAGCACAGAAAGTGCCCTTTTTTCTGATTGATACTGCTGATGTTTTAGTGGGTGGAGTATTTTTTTTTCAGTACACCGTCAATATTTTTATAATACTACGAACACCAGCTTCCTTATAGGTGACTGGAAATTCCAGAAAATAAAATTAAATAATTTGAGAAAGATTAAACGAGTGTGGAATTGGAAAGGGGACCCAGATATCTGGAAAGACATTTAGGTTGATAATTTGAAAACAACACTAGAAATACAGATCTATGAAAATTGATCCTAGAACATTTTAGAAACCTGGAGAGATTGTCTTAGCTTGAAGATATAGTTCAAATTTGGGAAGAACAGATGCCAGTAAGGTATATTTGTTTTCATTATTTGTTTTTTTTAATGATATTGTTGTAAGACCAATTTGTCTCTGTGAATATTGGCAGTATTCCAATCAGAAACCTGATCAGATTAGTTCAATCGCTTATCCAAACAAATATCTCTCCCTTCCTCTATGTTTTACACTAATTTGACAACATTGGTATTCCCCTGATTAAGGTTCCATAATGCAGAAGGTAGTACATTGGAGAGGTTCATAGCATGAAATTTTAAAATAAGAAGATTTAGATTCAAATCTTAGATTCGGCTATGTACTCGCTATATGATTATAGGGAGATAAGTTCTCCCCTTTGTGTATAATCTTCTCAGCTACGAAATGGAAATAATGATGTGAATAACATAGCTTTCCCCACATGGTGATTGTGAGAGTTAAATAAGATAACACAGAAAAAGTGATTAGCAGCCTGACACATAGTAAAACCATACAATTATGACATATTATTATCAGTTGTCAATAATGTGATTTGAGGATTCATGACCAACCTACTAATTGAAGAAATGCTTGAAATGAAGATGATAATTACAGCTAAAATTATTTATTGGTTACCATGTGATAAACTATAATAAATGTTTTACAACTTATATTATATCCTCTCAACAAGACTATTACCTTTATTTTTTGAAATGCAAAACAAGTATTAGACGACTTCTCCAAGATTATACAGATTCAAATAGTCAAAACATCTATACCTGTGCAAGTAATTGTATTAGTGCTTGAGGAACATACAACTATATCAATAATATTCTATGAACTTAAGAAACATGTTTTTTAGCAAGGCACTCTTACTCAATTGCTTATCTCTGTATTTGACAATTATCTGACTGCCATACTTACAAATAATTGCATTTAGAACAAGAGAGAAGCCTTTTGCTTCATTTCCCTATGTGGTTCCACTTTTATTATAATATATTTTCCCGACTTATTAAAAAATGTGTTATTTTTACCAGCATATTTCTAAAAATGACTTGAGATGGCTGTTTTGTTTCTTTAGGAATCTTATTAACAAATGGAATGAGATTGAGAATTCAACAGAAAAAGTTCTGCTACTATAAGTAACCCTACTGCTTTCAAAAAGAAATTGGCATGAAAATCATTTTTAATACCACTATGAAGCATACATTGCCAAATCTTGTGGCCAATAGAAACATTTTTTAAAAGCATGATGCTTTGATATGTAATGTTTCCTTGCCATTTGGCTCACATAGTTTATTAGTGTTAAAATAACAAACTTTGATCATTTTTAAAAGTATCATCCCAAAGCAAGTAAAATCAAATGTTTCCAAATCCATGTTTGAAGGAATGTCTACAAAGACAGCATTTCAATAAGCATACAAGATGTCTTAGGTCAGCTTTCTCAGAAACCATATTCTGAGCTGGAGATTAGTTTTCAGGAAGTTTATTAGGAAATGGTCAAGGGCTTAACACCTGTGAGAGAATTGAGGAAGTAGAACTGAGCAAATTTGAAGACTAATCCATTCAGTATAAAAGCCTTGGCTGCTCCTAAGAGGAACACAAGAACTAGGGTAGTCTGCAGAGGTGTTCCAAAATGAGGCAACATGGCTGACCTTTGTACCCCCAATGGACCCATCGTGGAATATGAACTTCCCCTAGGAAGGGAGGATAACCTTTGGTGAGGCAGATCCCCTCTGCTGAGGGAAATTATCCTGGAACAATACCATCTACATTGCAGATGAAGGAGTGCATCTGGTTGGTGTCTCACAGAAATATTCAATGCTACTATGCCGTGCCACTTACAGTCACTTGTTACACATTATAAATTTGTCTTGTTTAGAAATGGATACTATAGGATTCTAGATGATTTCTTGTTGTGGTAAATCTATGAGAGGGGAGTAGTGGAATAATCTGTAGACCCCACTGCTACAGCGGGTCTCACAACTGCAGCTGATGTTCAGCATGCTTCTTCTCTACTAGTCATTCTATGCTCTTCTCACAATCCACAAGCTCCAAATGGATTGCCTGCTGGTGTGATGTAGAACCTCATCCTTCAGGAGTCTGAGCAAGTACAGGCCGTGGCTGCTCCACTTTTCCATTTAACCTCAAAATTGGGCAAGGAAATAGAGGAGCATGCCCCCAAGAATGAATTTATTGGCAAAATATCTTCACTGTATATTCATAGTTCTACTGCCTCTTGATCATCAAGGCCAATTACCCTGCCTGGATGGTGATTCCTTCTCTTTCTCCTTTGCACAAGAGTCAGCAGTGACCAAAATAGTGACTACAGTTTAAAACTTTATGAGAATCTTTATGTGCCCTCTGGTGACAGAGTTCTCCTTCTAGAGAGCAGTATCTCTAAGCCCACAGAGACCAGGATTGCCTGGACAGGAAGCAGAAAATGGGTCACTGGATGTGATGGTAAACAGGGCATCACTGGTAGGATTTTGGATTTCCTGATATTACATCTGTGAATACATTACATTACATAGCAAAGGGAATTAATGTTGTGGGTGGGATAAAATTAAGATGGATAGTCACCTAACATTATTTTTTATTATCCTGGTAGGTCTAAAGTAATCATATGGGCATTTAAAAGTGGAAAAGGAAAAGCAGAATGGTAGGACAGACAGATGTGATTGTGGAAGAAGAGACAAGAGAGATAGAAAGCTTGAGAGGACTTGTGCTATTACTGGTTTTGAAAATGGTGGAAAAGGGCCACAAGCCAAGGAATGTGGGTGGCCTCTAGAACCTGGGAACAGCCCTAAGCTAATAACCATCAAGGAAACAGGAATTTCATTCCTACCGGCTGCTGCCATATTCCAGGTATTCGAGGGGTTCTCAAAAAGTAAGAATTATGAAGACAATAGGATTGGATGATGGTCTTAAGTGCAATAACATATGCAAAGACAGTGAATGGTATTGGAAAAAAATAGAGAAGGTTATTAATGGAAAATTTAATGCAAAATGTGAAAGACACAGGGTTTCCTTAGCAACATGTAAAGAAACTCTCACCTTCTTAGCCAGAGAGCTGAAAAGCTCAAGGTCAGTTCCAAGACTTAATTTAAAAGATTTCAGAGGCAAAGAAATGTCATCAATGACAAGGATAAGGGCCTTAATTAAACAGAATTGGGATCCTGAGAGTTAGGATTGACAATATCTGGGTTGAAACTGTAACCCCTGGAAATCTCAAGGCACCCCAGATTTTATTGATCTGCAGCAATGACACCTTCCTCCTTTTCAGTGGCTGGTACTCCACTGTTTGAAGGTGATGCAAAGGCCTCTTGTAAAATAGCATGTGCTCTCCCCTCAGGATATACTCCCATCTCTCCTCCTAGCCACTAACCGTTAACTAATGTCAAGTCACAACATAATCCAGCTAGATAAACGCTGGGCCTGCTAAGAAAGGAAAGGGACCATACCTCATGGAACTACAAACCTACTATGTTCAGACAGGAGATGAGAGAGTCCACAGGGAACTGGATTTTGAAGGTGTTGTAAGAAGGAGGGGGACAGAATAGAAGGTGAGATGGGAGTGTTTATCAATATAGGGTTAGAGTTTCAACCCAGATATTTTCATTCCTAATTATCCGGATTCCTATTCTGTTTAATTAAGGCCCCTATTTATCTTTTAAATTAAGTCTTGGGACTGACCTTGAGCATTTCTGCTCCCTGGCTAAGAAGGGGAGAGTCTCTTTACATGTTGCCAAGGAAACACTGTGTCTTTCACACTTTGCATTAAATTTTCCATTAATAACCTTCTCACTTTTTTTCCAATGCCATTCACTGTCATTGCATATGTTACTGCACTTAAGACCATTATCCAATCCTATTGTCTTCATAAT
This sequence comes from Homo sapiens, assembly GCF_000001405.40. Lineage (NCBI taxonomy): Eukaryota > Metazoa > Chordata > Mammalia > Primates > Hominidae > Homo > Homo sapiens. The sequence continues at coordinate 29,575,205 of NC_000018.10, read as the reverse complement.
TCCTATTTTCTGAGATCCTCTCAAATACGTGGAATACTGCAGCAGCCAGTTACAGTACATGCCTTTTCCCCATTCTACTACCAGTCAAATTTTAAATTTCACAACTGTACTTTTATGGCACACCAGAGGCTAGCCCTATCCATGGGGTCCTCATCGCCACTGTCCAGGGGATGATGATCCAAAATCCATATTTTAAGCTTACTTTCTTAGGCTATTCTTAGTTCCAACATATTCTAAGATGGATTCCTTGGGGAAACAGACTGTGAGATGGAGATTAGTAAGCAAGAAGTTTATTGGGATGTACTCCAGGACACAACTCTGAGGGAGTCAAATAAATAGTAACAGGTAGAGGGAGAAGTTGGACTGCTATGCAGTGAACAAAGACCTCAGACAATCCCACAGGAATCTCTGAAGCTGGGATGGCCTTCATTTGTTGGAATTGTGGCCAAAGCCCTGACTCTTTTTTACCTCCAAGTCAACCAGTCTTTGGATGTGACATTTTCTTGGGATGGCATACAACCTTGAGCAAGGCAGTTAGTTCCCTTTAGGCTGAGACCAGTTCCCAGTACAGGCTCACCTGGGACCCATCCACAGCCAACACTCCTGGCAGCTGAGGAAGGTAAGTTGCTAGTCAAGACAGAAATCTAAGCAAGAGGATTTGCAGGTTTATTTTTTAAATGCCTCCAAAAATTTAATGCCAAACAAATTTCATAATTTTCAAATTGAGTGAATTATAGGTCTATAAAATCATCATTTTTATTTGATAAATACCTTGATGAAAATTAGTTATCTTCTGTATATTCAGATATGAAAACACAATATTAAAATTCACACCGTTCATGAAGGCATTAAGAATGTAAAATGTTTACTTCGGACGATTTTAAAAACTGTTTATAGTAATTAAAACACTGGGCAGTGAAATTCAACTTAATGTAATTGATGTATAGAGACAAAATGTATCTTTCACATAGATGGAATAAATTACTATCTTGCATGGACTTTGCTTTACATAGAATAATCTGAAATTAGTAATCCAACTGATTCAAACTTCTTTATTATTTTTAAGAATAATTTCTTCAGTGAGAACACCGAATCATGATTGTTTTGTTGTTTGTTATACTGGTTAAGTATAGCCATTAACCGGCCAAGAATATCAGTGTAATTGTAAAGTTCTCCTGACCTCCAAATCTAGTCATTTTCTTTTAAATGAAGGATTTAGATTAAATAGACTATAACTTATTTGATGTGTAAACTCTCCATCACTTACATCTCTTGCATTCAAAGTTAATATCACTGGAGAAAATTGTTTGAGAGGCAGCACTTTTAGCACCGTAGCTCCTGGAATTTTATAATCTCAAATATAATAAGCTTGGGAGCTGAAATTTATGAGTGCGTACTTGTGGTGTGAGGAAAATGTGGACAAAAGGTTCGGGTCAACAAATACAAGGTTAGAGGCAGCCAATTAGCCTGAGGAACAAGCATCTAGTGTCCCTTTCTCTTTCCTTTTTTTTCCTCTAACAGCTGCAACATCCTTTTCAATCAAATATCAGCCACAGTAACATTCTCTACTGATAAAAAATATGTCAATATACAGTACCGATAACAACATTTTTAGCAATAGAATTAGATTAGATCTCGTTGAGGCAAGCAGAGAGCTTGTTTGTTCTTTTTTACTTTTTAACTGACATTTTTATCAAGATCTCCTTATTATGGTCATTTTTAAGAACATAAATTTATGCTTCTGAGAAAGAAATGTATCTTCTTCATAACCACATTAAGAAATGCTTAATCTGTAAATGCAAATATAATTAAACTTAGCGTCTGAAATAACTAAACTGGGATGTAGAACTAGAGAATTTTTATCTCAACAGTTAGGAATATGCATGTTAATGAAGAATCAGATTTACTGGACCACATATAATACAGGATCAATAAATAGATGTTGACTCATTGAGTGTTTTTATACCACAGAAGTGATTTAATGCTTCATTCCTTGAGGAATGAAATATGCCATAGAAAGAGATTTCCTGTAAACTGATGTTTACATTTCGGTGTGCTTATTTTAATCTTGTTTGTTGATATTTCCACAATACACCCCTGTTTGATTAAGTAGTAGATTAATTGAATTTAATGATTTTTACTATGTTCTTTATTTTTCTTTAAATCAACCAACATATTAACCTCATAATGTTGATATTTTTGAGACAATGTGCCTCTTTTATGCAATAAAGACTTTTAAAATGTTTCTCTACTTTCACCTCGACTATTCCCTATTCCCCATGTGAACAGCTTGCCCTAGCTTATATATTATAACTAGCAAATTGTAGACTTCAGAAGTTAGCATTAGATTGCAAGACCTAAGCTTTGAAAAATTCTGCATCCCAGAGGTAAAGAAAATTATGCTTTCTATATGTGGTCCCAAGGTGTTATGTATACCATTACAACTAAATTTAAAACAATCATATTTTCCTCTTCTATAAATCTAGAGATGCTAGAAACAAAAATAAACTTATCTAAATCATTGTGATGTGATTACCATAAACAACTTTTTTATTGGATTCTATAAGTTTATCATTTCATTCTGTCCTCCATGGTGCTGCTAGAGTGAATAAGTCACTTGCGTCTATAGACCTTTTTAGTAGCTTTCCACTGCTCTTGCAAAATACCCCAAGGTCTTCAATATGTCTATGGGGCTGTGCATGATTGAGTCCAGCCTTCCTCTGCAGTTCACCAAAACCAGCAGGCTACTCCTCTTGTCTCAGGCACTTCCTATTCTTTCTGTCTGGAAGAGTTTCCAAACTCCACTCTCTTTCAGCTTCCTGCTTCCCACCTCACCAAACTAACTCCACTGTTTATCATGACTTAGTTCATTCTTTAGAGTTCCTTCTCTGATTGCTCCTTTCTTCAGTTACCTTAGGTAACCCTTCATGTGCCTGCTTACCTCCCTCTATGTCCCTTCAGCAGTAGATATGAAAATTATTCAATATTTGTGAGATTACTTTGAATGGCCCCCTATCCACTAAACTTTGTTATATAAAATAATCAATTCAGTATTATTTTCATTTTGGTTCTCAATTATTCACTAACTGTGTTTGGGTATAAAACTGGGCGAGCTGCTTAACTTCTCTGCTTCAGTTTTCTCATCGGTTTTAATAAAATTGAAATAATACTAGTTCTTATCACATAAGGTTGTTGTGAGAATAAAATTAGTTAATATAGGTAAAGCTACTAGAACAGTGCATGGCACAACGTAAACATACAAAAATATTAGCTATTGTTAATATCAAAATCCCTCTATGTATATTGATAATTTGTTATAAACTATCATATTCTTAGTAATATTTTATGATATGTATAATGTATATTTCTTAATTTGAAGTAGTATTATTTCTTAATAAAAAGTAGGCTCTCTACTAATTAAGAATTACAATTTCCTATAATTTTTGTTGAGACAAATCTCCCAAGTAAATGTTGTCAATGAAATAATATGAAATATATACATATATAAATATACAATAATATGGTATACTAAAACAATATTTATTGTTTCCTCAGAGGCTAGCATCATACCAATCTGGTCCTTCTTGTATGAAGCCATGAGTCTTTGGCTGGTGCCAGTTTCTCTGACTACAAAATGACAATGTATAAAGTCAAAGTGGGACACAAAAAGATGTTTAAGAGAAACATGCAAAGGTACAAACAGTTGTTCAAAATAAGAAAGACTTGTTTTGGGGATCAGAGCCCAAAAAAGTCTAAGAACTAAGAAACTACCAAGTGTAAGAATGAACAAAAATTCAGACCAAAATGACATAAAGTATGACTGCTGGAAACAGGCTGCTACTGTTATCTGCCAAGGTTTGTTTTCTGCTGTATGTAGGCTGGATTCACAGAGTCATTTAAATTCCAGGTGGAGAGGGAAAGTAGAACCTCCTTTATAAATAAAAAATTAATAAACATTTAATGCAAATAATAATCCATTAATAATATATCTATATGATTCCAAAATAATTAAATGATGGATATTACAATATAAAATAAAATATGAATCTATTCTTTCTCAAAAATGACCTGTCCAAGAAGCTGATGTAATGATCTATGTATATTTATTGAATAACTTACCACAACCAGCGTTCTGTCAGACCTAAACTTTTTAAAATCTTGCTCATCTGGTTTACTCACAACAATTTCAGAAACATTGGGGCAAACAGTTGATAATGCCTCTTCCTAATGGTACTTCAAGGAATGATTTCAATATGGCATTTTGTTAGTATAAAAATGTCTAAGCTAAGAAAAATCAAGCACATATTATGAAAATAGCTGTAAATATCTTGCTTGCAGTTTGTCAAGGCTGCAAACAAGGACTTTGTAAAAATCAATATATACCATATTGGGCAGGTATTGTGTTCACTCTGGGATACAAGACATCAGAGAGATAAGTGCTAAGAAGAGCAAGGTTAAAATACTAAAGATACAGTGAAGAACAAGAAATAAGACTTTGAAACTAAGGAATTTGGCCAAGAAATTGACAGAAATGAAGTAGATAGTTATATCATTCAAATAATTCAGTGAAATGGCATTTCCCTTATGCAGTCCTGTCTTTAACTGGATTAGGTGCATTTGTTCTTGCTTTAAGGACCCCGTACCAGCACTTGATATGAGTTTAATAATTTTTTATGGAATTTAAAATGTAATGAATAAATTATAAATAATACACATATAGACTACATTTAGGCCATACATATATGATTTCATTGTGTATATATGTTTCTGTGAATAACTACCACCACCCTCTTCCTACTAGGGTGTTAGCAAAGATCTGAAGAGTAGAATATTATTTCTCTTTGGCTCCTCAGGGAAGCTCCTTTATTTCTGAGTTATGTTTTTGATTCATATTATTTCCGTTTATTAGCCTAGATTCCTTTCTGAAAATAATGCTCAAACTCTGTTTGTGGGAGCCCCTCACTCTGGCTATAAAGGCTCCAGCTCAGCATTCTGCTTTTAGCAAACTGCAATGGTATAGCTAATTGCTATTACCTAAATCTATGCACTTCAGAGAATTCAGAATGTAGAATGTTTGTGGATGTACTTATTCACGGTAGGCCTCACTCATTTAGACAGGAGAAACAAAAAAGAACAAAGTATCTCCAAGACTTCTGTGATTCAATTCAACAAGTGTTTATGACATGCCTGCAACACATTTCCACCTTTCATACTTGTTACTGAGGTTTCTGAGTTGTATTCTGGTAAAAATGTGTCTTTTAATTTTATTAATCCTCAAAATGTGCATTATAAAACATAACTTTAGCTTACACATGCATAAGATGTGTGGATGCCAAGCCAGATCTCTTATTTATATACAATTCATATCAATGATACCCCCACCTAGAAACTGTTATGAGTCAACTTTAGGACAAATATTGATGGCAAAGTTACAGGGTATTGGAAAATTTTAGCAAAATACATTGTTAAGTTGTAGGTTTTAAGTTGAATATACTTTCTATGACATTAGAAGCACCTGAGACTCCTTCAAATTGCTGGAAATAAATATGCTTTTTGTATGTAAGTAGTCAGGCAAAGAAGGAAGGAAAGGGTATCCATTCTTATTCCATCAGAACAACACTAAAAACATCTTTAATGCTGATATTTCACATAGTAGAGTATTGCAATTTTTCATTACTGAAGAATATGCTAAAAGAAACTTTGTACCCTATGTTCCAACAGATAACTTGTTTATACAGACATTTGTCATTTGAGAATGAAATAGTATTAAACATCTCAGGCTAAAAAGAAGAAAGTAATTTTAAATTTAAGAACAGAAGGAAAATCCTAAAAAATGAGAGTAAATAAAATTTAGACAATTAAAATACAGTACTGAAATAGATTGATCATCAAACTGAATATACTTTTCCATAAAGAAACACGTGGTCTTAACCTGTCTTAGCTTCAAATCCCTTTCCTTTAAAACGATGATATTGGACTGGATGACCTATAAAATTCTGATCTAAAATTCTAGAGATTTTATGATCTTCAGTAAAAGGGACTTTGCAAAGAAGACATTGAATAAAATATTTCAAAAGAAATAAAGAATCAGATCAAAGGTAACACATCCAAAGTTAGATTGCCCAAAATTCAGGTAAAAGGATTTTAACAGAACATTGAATTCCTGATCCCAATTGGTACTTAGGGGAAAGCCATTGTAAACAATTTAGATTCCAGACAAACTTTCTACCTAATCTTGACTCATTGTGAAAATGCCATTTTCCCATTTACAATTGCATTTATTTGTTTAGTTACTTTCCACTGAACATTACTTGAGGATTTTCATTCTATTTGTCATTTGAATAATGTTCATTGGTGTGGCCTGCAAGTACTATCCAATATAAGCCAGCATCTATTAAAATAATACAACTTCTCAGCATAGGTTACCTCAGTCATTTCGAGTGGGAGTAATGAGTTGAAGGGGGCCCAGGGTAATAAATCCTGAAAATCTACATCCACTGCATTTCTGTGATATAGGAACTTATATTCAACTAAACCCTCCTTTAAAACTCAATCTTTTTTATTATTACACTTTAAGTTTTGGGATACATGTATAGAACGTGCAGTTTTGTTACATATGTATACACATGCCATGGTGGTTTGCTGCACCTATCAACCCATCATCTACATTAGGTATTTCTCCTAATGCTATGCCTCCCCTAGCCCCCCAGCCCCCAACAGACCCCGGTGTGTGATGTTCCCCTCCCTCTGTCCATGTGTTCTCATTGTTCAACCCCCACCTATGAGTGAGAACATGCAGTGTTTGGTTTTCTGTTCCTGTGTTAGTTTGCTGAGAATGATGGTTTCCAGCTTCATCCATGTCCCTGCAAAGGACATGAGCTCATCTTTCTTTATGGCTGCATGATATTCCATGGTGTATAAGTGCCACATTTTCTTTATCCAGTCTATCATTGATGGGCATTTGGGTTGGTTCAAAGTCTTTGCTATTGTGAACAGTGCTGCAGTAAACATTCGTGTGCATGTGTCTTTAGAGTAGAATGATTTATAATCCTTTGGGTATATACCCAGTAATGGAATTGCTGGGCCAGATGGTATTTCTGTTTCTAGATCCTTGAGGAATTGCCACACTGTCTTCCACAATGGATGAACTAATTTACACTCCCACAAACAGTATAAGAGTGTTCCTATTTCTCCACATTCTCTGCAGCATCTGTTTTTTCCTGACGTTTTAATGATCGCCCTTCTAACTGGCATGAGATGGTATCTCACTGTGGTTTTGATTTGCATTTCTCTAATGACCAGTGATGATGAGGTTTCCTTCATATGTTTGTTGGCTGCATAAATGTCTTCTTTTGAGAAGTGTCTGTTCATATCATTTGCCCACTTTTTGATGGGGTTGTTTGTTTGTTTTTTCTTGTAAATTTGTTTAAGTTTCTTGTAGATTCTGGATATTAGCCCTTTGTCAGATGGATAGATTGCAAAAAATGTTCTCCTATTCTGTAGGTTGCCTGTTCACTCTGATGATAGTTTCTTTTGCTGTGCAGAAGCTCTTTAGTTTAATTAAATCCCATTTGTCAATTTTGGCTTTTGTTGCCATTATTTTTGGTGTTTTAGTTATGAAGTCTTTGCCCATGCCTATGTCCTGAATGGTATTGCCTAGGTTTTCTTCTAGAGTTTTTATGGTTTTAGGTCTTATGTTTAAGCCTTTAATCCATCTTGAGTTAATAAATCTTATATAACATTTGTAAGACAACTGTAAAAGTATCATTGGTGTGGATACATGTTTCTTATTCATTTAATCTTGAATAAAAATAATAAACCATATGTTAATGAATAGGAGTGATTGCCTTAATATTAATTGACATGGGTCCTTGTCTTGATGAGGAGCTGCCAGGCTGTTTTCCAAAGTAGCTACAGCATTTTACAATCCCACCAGCAATGTATGATGATTTTGATTCTTCCACATCCTTGCCAAACACTTGTTATCATCTATATTTCTTTATTTTAGCCATCCTAGTGGATGTGAAGTGTTACCTTGTACGTTTTAATCAAAATTTTCCCAAGGACTATATTTTCATATACTATTTGGTCATTTGTGTAATTTCTTCAGAAAAATGTGTATTAATATTCTTAAGACATATTTGAATTTGTTCGTTTTTATTATTGAATTATAAATATTTAAATATTCTGCACACAAGGTTTTATGTATTTATATTTTCTGCATAAAATTCCCACAATAAGTATGTGATTTGTGAATATTTTCTTCAGTTCTTGGGGTCAAGTTTTTACTTTCTTGATGGGGTCCTCTGCAGCAAATAAAAAGTTATAATTTTGATGAAGTCAAATTTAATATTTTTTTCCTTCTGCTGGGGTTGCTTTAGATGTCATATCTAACAACCCATTTGTGAAATCCAAAGTCATGAAGATTTAACCCCTTGTAATTTTATAAGAATATTATTGTTTTAGCTGGGCAATTAGGGCAGCAATTCATTTTAAGTTAATTTTTGTGTATGCCATGAGGAAGGGCTCAAAAGGTATTCTTTGGCATCTAGATATCCAGTTGTTTTACCATCAGTTGTTGAAAAGATGATTATTTCTCCATTGAATTGCCTTGTATCCCGGTTGAAAATTATTATAACATAAATGTAAAGGTTTATTTCTGAATTTTCAATTCCATTTTTTGGTCTATGTTTACTCTTATGCCAATACTACACTGTCTTAATTATTTTTTCTTTGTAATAAGATTTAAGGCCAATAAGTGTATGTTCTCCAAGCTTGTTTTTTTTTGTCAATATATTTTGGTTATTCTGGGTCCATTGCATTTCCGCTTGAATTTTATCTTCAGGTTAGCAATTTCCCACAAATAAAGAGCTGGGTTTGTGACACGGATTGCATTCAATCTATAGATAAATGTGGAAAGCATTGCCAATGTCATAATGTGTTCTTATCTGTGAACATGGGATGTCTTTCTTTTTTTTCATTTTTCTTTTTTTTCTTTGTTTGAGACAGAGTTTCACTCTTGTCACCCAGCCTGGAGTGCAACGGCACAATCTTGGCTCACTGCAACCTCCACCTCCCAGGTTGAAGCAATTCTCCTGCCTTAGCCTCCTGAGTAACTGGGATTACAGGCATGTGCCACCATGCTCAGCTAATTTTTGTATTTTTAGTAGAGACAGGGTTTCGCCATGTTGACCAGGCTGGTCTCAAACTCCTGACCTGAGGTGATCCACCTACCTCGGCCTCCAAAAGTAATGGGATTACAGGTGTGAGCCACCGTGCCTGGCCAGGATGTCTTTCTATTGTTTGTGTTTTCCTTATCTGTTAATGATGCTTTTTAGTTATCAGTTTATGTCTTAACATTATTTTGTTAAATTTATTCTTAAATATTTTATTATTTTTATGCTATTAAAAATAGAGTTATTTTCCTAAATTCATTTACGGAATATTCATTGGTAGTATATAAATGAATCTGTGTATTGATCTTGTATCTTGCAACCACACTAACATATTTATTCATTTTAAATTTTAAGAGCTGCAGAGATAGGTTTGCTCTTTACTCTCCAAATGGATGCCTTTTATTTTTTATTGCCTAATTGTTCTATTAAAATCCCCAGAACAACATTGAATAGAAGAAGTGAGAGCAGACAACCTTGTCTTTTTTCTGATTTTAACAAGAAAACATTCATTCCTTTATTGTTAAATAGGATGTTAGGTGTGCATTTTTGCATATGGCCTCTTAAAAGTTGAGGAAGTTAACAGGTACTCGTATTTTGTTGAATGTTTTATCATTAAAGGTTATTGGCATTTGTCATTTTTTTCCTGCACTGTTGAGATAATCTATGACATTTCATTCTTTATTCTATCAGTACAGCATATTTTATTGATTTTTAAAAATTTGTTAACTTTGCATTCGTGTAATAAATCCTACTAGGTTGTAATAAATAATATTTTTCTAGAAGCTAGTTTTTTTGCTAATATTATGTTGAAAATTCTTGTATCTATATTCATAAGGGATATTGATCTGTACTTATGATGTGTGTTTTGTTACCCAGGTAATAGTGAACTCAGAATGCACTGGGCAATATTCTTCCTTCTTCTACATTTTAAAACAGGTTGAATAGGATTGATCTTAATTCTTCTTTAAACATTTGGTAGAATTCACAAGTGAAGCCACCTGTGCCTGAACTTGTCTTCGTGGAATTTTTTTTTAAATTACTCATTCAATCAATTTACTTATTGTAGGTCTATTCAGATTTTGTAGTTCTTCTTGAAAATCTTTTGATTGTGTGTATCTATTATTTCAAAATTGGTCTATTTCTTCTAAGTTAACTATTTTGTTGGCATACAGGCGTTCACAGTATTACGTTACAAACCTTTTTATTTCTGTAAGGTCACTAATTTTGTCTCCTCTTTTATTTCTGATTTTAGTAATTTCAATCTTCTCTCTCTTCTTGTTGGTCAGTGTTGCTTGCATAATCTTTGGGCTTCCTAATTTTATTAATTTTTCTGATGAACTTTTCTCTATTGTTTCACTATTCTCTATTTACTTTCACTCTGATCTTCATTATATTTTTCCTTCTGCTTTCTCGAAAACACCGTTTTCCAGTGTTTTAAGATAAAATGTTGGATTATTGATCAGAAATTTTCTTTTTATTTTGCAATATAAGTGTTTTACACCTATAAATTTCACTCTAACCTCTAGTTCAACCGTTGATTTTTGGCATGTTATGTTTTCATTTTCATTCATATAAAAGGTATTTTTAATGCACTTTTTATTTTTTGGACCCATTTAGTGTTTAGGCGTATTAATTTCCATCTATTTTTGTATATCCCCAAAGAGTTTAGTAATTTCTAATTTAATTTCATTGTGACTAGAGAACATATGTTGTATGACTTCAGTATTTTTTAATCTTTATTGAGGGTTTTTTGTGCCATAGTATATAGTCTATCACAGAGACTATGTATTATTGGGAAGAATGTGTGTATTTTTATTAGTAATTTATTCAGCAGATTTCTTTTGGGTCTGGTTTTGTCATAGTGTTGTTCAGATCTACTTGCATCACAGTGGTGCTCAAATTTTATATTTTCTTGTTGATCTTATGCCTAGTTGTTCTATAAATTATCAAAAGTAGGGAACTGAAATTTCAATGATTATTATTGAATTATATATTTGTTCTTTTAGTTCTGGCAGCTTTTGCTTCAATTTCCGATTCCTGTCTTTGCCTAAGTCAAATATTCTCCTTTTTTTGTACCTTTGATTTTCTCTTACTATATTTAAAAATATATATTTTCTTAGTGATTTCTTTGGGCTATAAAAATTAACATTTTCTTTTTTCTTTCTTCTGCCATTTCAACTGTGATATTATTCTAGTAATTTTTCATTTCAGTAATTTTACTTTTAACTCCAGAAATTCCGTTTGTTTATTTTAAAGGTAATTTCCATCTGTTTGTTGTCTACATGGCAAGATATCTTACTTGTTTTTCTTTAATCCTTAGACATAGTTTCCCTTAGTCCTTTGAACACACTTAAAATTGCTGATTTGTCTTTTGTCAAATAAATTCAATGTCTGGGCCTCATCAAAAACAATTTCTATTCTATTTTTCTTGCAATGTATGGTATGAATTACACTTTCCTCTTTCTTTGCACTTTAATATTTCTTTGTTGAAAATTGGACTTTTTAACTAATTTAATATGGTTACATTGGAAATCGGGTTTTCTTCCTTCACCAGGGTATCTTGTTTTTGCTGCTTGTTGTAAACGTTATTTGTTTGTTTAGTGAATTTCCTGATCTAATTTTCTAAAGTTTGCATACTTTATCATGTGTGGCCACTGAAGTTTGTCTTAATTAGCATAGAAGTCAACTAATCATTGGACAGAGATTATGTCAATTGCCTTGAATTGATAAGTTTCCCAGCTTTTGCTGAAGAGTTCTCTGTGTGTTTGGGAGTAGATCAGTGCTATAGCAGGCAGTTTACATCTCTGCTTTCAACTTTACAATAGCTCTGTTATATATATCTATACATAATATGCCACATATAAATTCACAATTTATTTGGTTGCTCTGTGTGTGTGTGTGTGTGTGTGTGTGTGTGTGTGTGTGTGTTGTGGAATGCTACTCAGCCATAAAAAAAGAGAATTAAATAATGACATTCAGAGCAGCCTGGATGGACCTGGAGATCATTATTCTAAGTGAAGTAACTCAGGAATGGAAACCAAACATTGTATGTTTTCACTCATAAGTGGGAACTAAGCTATGAGGATGCAAGGGCATAAGAATGATACAATGGACTTTGGGGACTTGAGGAAAAGGGTGGAAGGGTGGTGAGGGATAAAAGACTACACATTGAGTACAGTACACACTACTTGGGTTATGAGTGCACCAAAATCTCAGAAATCACCCATAAATAACTTATTGACGTAACCAAAGCAAAAAAAAATGACAAAATTTATACACACAAAAAAACAATTCATGTAAATGTGGTCTTACTCTCTCTCAAATAATTTAAATTTTAAAAGATGAAGAAATTTACTTCCAGGTTGGGCACGGTGAGTTATGCCTATAATCCTAGCACCTTGGGAGGCTGAGTCAGACAGATCACTTGAGTTCAGGAGTTCAAGACCAGCCTGGGCAATATGGCAAAACCCCATTTCTAAAAAAAAAAAAAAAAAAAAAAAATTAGCCAGTTGTGGTAGCATACCTGTAGTCCCAGCTGCTCAGGAGGCTGAAGTGGAAAGCTGACTTGACCCCAGGAAGCAAAGGTTGCAGTGAGCTGAGTTCTTACCACTGCACTTCAGCCTGGGTGACAGAGCCAGACCTGTCTCAATCAATCAATCAATCAATCTGTCAAAAACCTTTACTTCCAGCTTATAAACAATCTCAAGGTCAGCCAGAGGGGAGAGTAAAGCCTTCTCAGATCTTCTCTAGAAAAGCCTATGGCCTTCTAGATTCCCACAAATATTTTAGAGGTTTTAGAAGACTCCTATGGACGTCTCATTGGCATCAACTGTTATTACCCTCACAGTCAGCTGAGGTTGAACAATTGCCATTGATAATTTTTGACAAACACCATAGAGATAAGGCTGTTTACACAGCAAGAACTGAGTTAGGTCAGTTCCAAGGCCTGGAATAGAGTTGTTAGGCTGTTACCACATGAGTCCAGGAGAATCAAATCGTGATAATTCTCAGGGGATAGAACTCTTGAGAGACTCCTAACCCATTCTCATTTTTTCAGTGGCTGCAAGGATGCAGAGTTTTATAGCTACCATAATTGGTTTCAAGGCTACCATGGAGCTGTGGAGAGGAGGATGGGACGAGGACACGTCAAAATAACCTAAAGTTTATTGTTCTTACTGAAATTCAGCCATTTTGTTGAATAAATGCTGCTTCAATTTTTCTAAGTCTCTAGTTAATTTTCAGAGTTCTGAAAACATTGATTTTAACAAATTTTGTCAGTGTTCTCATAGCTTTTGTGGAAAGACAGTTTTTTGTAGTTCTTAATCTGCCATTTCGGAAGTGCTTCTCCAGTATTTCAACTTTAAAAACGCTTTTCTATGTCATTACAAAAAAAACAAAAACGCATGAAAAAGCAATATAGGGTTAATCTCACCATTTGACCAATAAAGAATCAGAGGATGAAATAACAACCTGACAAATGTTTCCCAAACAGGCAATGCCGATGACAGAATTAAAATTGATATGCCTTGATTCTCTTCAGTTTCATCCAGAATTGCATAAAATTATAATATATGATTTTCATTGTTAACATTTAAACTCATAATACTTTTACTGACTTCCTCGAATATGGTACTTTATGAAAAGGTGATCAAATACATATCTACTATTTAGATAAGAAACATTAGCATCATTGTTCTTGTGATCAGACATTATTTTACACTCGTAACTCATCACAGTCTCCTTCTGAGGGCTTAGAGTTATGTTGCACTTTAAAGATATATAAATTATGTTATTTAATATGTGTTTATATTGGATTTTGGGCTTGAGTTAAACTAAGATAAATGTAGGCTCTGTTAGTTATTGCAAGATACTAAATTGTAAGCATTCATTCTTTCAAGAGAGTACCCAAGAGCAATTAAACTGCCACTTATGTGTGTAAATAATTCAGGTATTTTTCTGTTTTCTCATTGACACTCCCATGTAAAGAGTAAATGAGGAACTGCCATTTAAAGCCACTGTATAATTCAAAGACAAAGATAATTCAGGCAGACACTTATTGCACATAATTTGACTAACCTTGATGAAGTGCAAAATGTTATAATTACAGAAAGGCAGATATTACATATTTATCAGTATAAGTTTAAATGTTTCTTTTTTTAATTGAATTGTACTGGGGAGAAAAGCATAGCAATTACATAAAACATACTGAATATATTTAAATTAGTTTATTAAAGTACTTTTTGGAAAAAAGCCAAAGAAACCAACTCTGCCAAACTTCAATAAAAGGAATTCATTAGCTCACATAAGCAAATGAGAAACAGAATTACCAAGCTTAGGAAAGAATAAAAACCTATTAAATCTTGGTATTTTTTCCTGGTATGTGGTCTCATAGCGTTTTGTGGGACAACATCATCCTATTCCTCAGTTTCAGTGTCCCTCTATTCCTAGAGTCTCAACTCAGTATACAAATTTTCAGTTCAGAGAGTTGTGTTGGCCTAGTTTGATATCTATTATTACCCCTGTAGTCAGAGGAGCAGGGCCCTGTGAACTTGTTCATGCTGTTTCTTTCACTGTCAATGAAATCAGGAAGTGAAACTTTGTCTTCAGTATTTCTGGTCTGAAGAAAGCAGTTATTCTTTGCTCAGGGTCATAAGAATTTTTTATCCTTGTAAGGAACATAGGGAGCAATTAGATGTGCTATAAACAAGTCTTTATTCAATGTTTCAGTTTAGACTCATCTAATTCTGCCCATTTTAAATCTATATTATGCCAAGAAACATCATCCTTTTATGTGTCATATACTGTAAGCTAATATTAAATTAGTTAATAAAATGAAGTGCGAGAATGGCCAACTCCCTCAAGGAGAAACTTGAATGCTTGTTCTGTGGATACATCATTCTTGATTAATTCAGCTTGAACCAATGTATATTTCAAATTTATTCTCCCAGTTGCATTCTTCTGATTCTACTTTCCCTCCATACCCTGCCTCTGTCTGCACTCCCGGCAAGGTTGAGTTTGAATAATGGCTACCACGGAGTCACAGCTTCTCCAGGCTAGAAAGATGCAATAGGCATTATAATGAGCGTTTGTTGCCTTATGTCCTTAGGGTTTCCAAGTCTCAGAGATTAAGTTTTTTGGTTTTTTTCTGAATTAGTATCAATTTTTGGTATTTTTCTTATACACATTATGTTTACTAATGTTAAAAACTTACCAATACGTCATTATAATTATTACCTTTTCATCTGTCATCATTTCCTTAGCCTATTACAGCTTAGCTCCCAGCCACTGCTTTGGCCGCAATGGCACATATTTGTTACATGTATATTAGGTTTCTACATGTTATAGGCCCTGAAGTACATATACGATAGGATTTTATACAATTGTTTTTCAAATAAGACAAAAAAGGAAAAAGAAAGTAGTAATAATGGCTGTTATAATCACCTAATCACTTATATGTAGCTTATTATCCTCTTGATTAATATTTTATTATTATCAAGAAAACTTTCCCATAATCTCCTCATTATTTATCTGTTATTAAAGAAAGATATGGCAAAATGTCCCCAACAGCCTGAGTTTCAACATCTGTGGGCACATTGACAGGTGATGTTGAATCTTGATGAGTTTCTCCCTAACAGTCCATGGCTTCTATTTTATTAATTGGAATGTAAATCACACTGCCTTTCCCCAAATCTTAGTCTAATAACCATTTTCTAATCCCAGTTTCTCTGAGAGAGCATATTCCCAGCAAAATAGAACTGATGTCTTAATGATTTAGACTTCTTCAAAATTGGAAGCAACTAAAAAATGAGTATCAGACTTACGGGGATCTCCATAGGAGGAGCTCAGGGAAGTCTCCATAGCTTGCTGCTGTTAGATGTTTGTATTTGTCTGCACATCATAACTCTCAAGAGAGTCTGATTGGCCTACTTGAGATCACATGACAACTTTCTTAGTCGACACAGCTGCTAAAACAAAATACTATAGACTGGGTGGCTTAAAAGCAAAAATGTATTTCTCATAGTTCTGTGGGCTGGGAAGTCCAAAATCAGAGTGCCAGCATAGTAGGGTTCTGGTGAATCCCTGCTTCCTGGTTTGCAGATGGCCATCTTCTTTGTAAGCCCTCTGGTGGGATAGAGGGAGACGGGAAGAGGGAGGGAGAGAAAGAAGGTATAGGAGAAGGGGAGGGGCAAGGGGAGAGCATCCTTTCTTTACTTATAAGGACACTAATCCCATCATGAGGTCTCCACTCTAATGACCTAATTAGCTTCTAAAGACCCCATCTCTAAACATTGTCACATTGTGAATTAGAGTTTTAACACATGAAATATAGAACACATTCCATTCATAGAACCACCAAATCAAGTGAATTCAGCAATTCAAAACCTAACTCCAAAATTATATTAATTAGTTGAAGATGGAATGAGAGGGTAGGAGTTTCTAAAAGAAGAGTAACTCCAGGAAGAGAAAATATGACACCTCCGTTTCCTTCCCTTAATGACAGATTGAACAAATTCAGTAGATTTTAAGTCATTTTTGATCACCAGAGAAGTACAAAGTCAACTCTAAGCCCATCTGTCTCTTCCCTAAGCTTGCTTCAGAACCAGCCTTTGACTGGGGATCTGTACTAGGGGAGAAGCTATAGTCTGAAGATTGTTCCTTCTTTTCTTAATCCCCTCTTTCATCTGTTTCTAATATTGCCAAGACTAGGGAAAGTGGTGCATATGCTTCATTCTTGACTGGGAAGCAATTGCAATTCTCTTTCAGTTGCTGCTACCTTCTGGCTAACACTGACACTTCTATGTGGCAGGCATCTTGGGCACAGGGTAAGGGTTGTTTTTTGTTTGTTTGTTTTCAGCTTTGGCGATGGGGGTGGGCAGGTGCTGTGGGCTATTCTTACTGCATAGTTCACTGATGCATGTTTTATGTGTTATCAAGGGTCAGCTTGACTTCTTTCAGCTCTTGCCAACTTAGGTGCATTTTTGAAACTGTTCCTACCAAAATACACTTGATTGGCAGGGGGTCATTTTTCTTGACATACCAGCAAATACTGTACTGCAAATCTAGCCATATTCTGTAGTGTCCACTTGATCCACATGGATATGCGTAGAGCATTAACGTCATGCCAAAGAGTGGGAAAGAAGGTACTTCCTGTTGCTCCCTTTCTCTCCTGCCATTTCTCTCCAAGGCACTACTCATCTGCTGAGCTTGTCACAATGGCAGTTCAGCACAACAGCCCCCTAAGCAGTGAGTGAGAATGAACAACTTCCTACGTGTTTCTTTGACACCTAATTCTTCACTCAGCACCATAAGACAGGGCAAAAAAAAATTAATTCTTCACAAAACTGACTTCAGTATCATTTGTTCACTTTCTGTTTATATCTTGTCAAAAAAAAAATCTATGTACAGTATATAGGAAAATCAGTCCTTTAAGGTCCTATGTGTGGCAAATAATTCCCTGTTCTATAAATTAACCCCTTGAAATGTTTTACTATATTTTGGTAAAAATGAAGTTGTAATTTTTATGTAATAAAGTGTATGTTTTTTTAATTTTATTATTATTATACTTTAAGTTTTAGGGTACATGTGCACAACATGCAGGTTTGTTACATATGTATACATGTGCCACAGGAAGTGTATCTTTTTTATAATTCTGAATTGCATTTTATGCCTCAAAATCTTTTTATCTATAAGACTATGATTTCATTCACTTTTGGCACTCATAAAAATGTACCTGTGTAAATAGATATTTGATTCATTTGAAATTTATTTTATTGTAAGGTGAATGGCGAAGGTACTATTTTATTTTAGTAGATACCCAGTTTTCCCAATATAATTTACTTAATAATTTGCATTTTCTTCACTGATTATAATGATCACTAGCATATATTAAGTATCATGCTGTTTTCTTGGAAATCTACTTTTAAGCATTAATCAGCTGCTCATTTTCTAGATTCTGTATTTTTGGGTTAGTTTTGTAATTGTTTAGAATGATATATTTAAAACTATAACATGTCCAGTAACATGGCATATCTTTCTAATTGCTTAAATCTTCTTATATGTTCCTTGGTAGAATTTTAATATTTTCATAATTTAAGTACAATACACTTATTAAGTTTATTTTCAAGTGTTTGTGACATAATAAGAAATATATATATTTGTTCTCTACACCCCGGTTTCTGAAACAGAGTTGCTAAAACACTTGTAATTTTCTGAGTGTCAGGGATGTTAGGAACATCATTTGTTCTCATATTTGGTCTTTGACCCTGGTTTCTGACACAGAGCTCCTAAATCTCTTGGAATTTCCTGGGTGATGAGAGTCTCTTTTGTTTAATAAGTGACTTACAATGATCTCCTAGATAGCTTCAGGATGGGGTCTGGTCACCAGAAAGACCAAGCCATGATTAGAAGCTTAGAACTTGCAGCTCCCCCTACCCACTTGCTCCAGGAAATGGACAGGGCCTGAAGATTGAATTAATAATCATTTCTATGTGATAACGTCTCCATTAAAAAATTTCCTAAAAGACAGTGTTCGACAGCTTCTAGGTAGGTGATCATCACATCTACCTGCTGGGAGGGTGGTGCATCTCAGCTCCCTGCAAACGCAGCTCCTGTGCTTCCGGATCTCAGCTTTGTACCTCTTTATCTGGCTGGTCATCTATGCCTTTGACCATCCCCTTTATGATAAACCAGTAAAGGTAAGTAAGCACAGTTTCCTGAGTTCTGTGAACTGTCATTGCAAATTTGAACCTGAGGAGGGGGTTGTGAGAACCCCTGATTTATAACCACATTAACAGTGTACATAGTTAAGTAGGGACTCACTGCTTGCAATTCACATTGCCCTAGGGTGTCGAGTTGTGGGACTGAGCCCTTAACCTGTGAGGACTGCACTAACTTCAGGCTAGTATCATAATTGAATTGTAGTACACCCAGCTGATATCAGATAATCGGTTGGTGTGAGAAAAACAACAACAACAATCTCATATCAGACGCATTGAGTCAGTAAAGAGAAAAAAGGAATGGTGTTTCTATGCAGTATTTTATTCTCTATTGGTTATTCCTCTGATTCTGTGCTTCTTTCTTCCCATTATATTTTCTAAATTGTTATTGTATTAATGTAAAAATGTCTCTGCCTTATTATTGCTACCTGCAAAATTAACAAAATATCTTATATTTAATACTTTTTCAGTTGACTGTATTGGGTCTTCCAAATGAAAAAAAAATCTTTAGGAAAGAGTGATAACTTTGCCTTTTGCTTTCTAATATTAATAATGTTTTTGGGGGTGAGGTTTTGAATTAATTGGTGAAGATCTTTTGAGCAATGTAAATGATATCAATTTAATAAAATGTTGGGGTTTTTTCTCCTCCTCTTCCTCCTCCTTCTTTACCTTGTTGATGATGATAGAAATGTACCAAATACTTCATTATTAAACAAGATAAAGGCTTTGCTAACACATGTGCATGTTTGTATGTGTTTATGATATATTTCAGCTTTGATCTGGAATCAACCATTATTTATTATTTCTATATAAATACTTAATGAGTTAATATAAATAAATGTCTTAATATTATATTATATTTGATTTGCTGTATATTATTTTAATATTCAGAGATTCTATTTATTGGTATTTATAGTAGATATTTCACATCACTCTTCATAACTAATATTGGTCTTAGTGGTGGTGTTGCTTTTAAAATTTATCTTTGCCAGTTTGCTGTATTAGCCCAGACTCTCTAGAAAGCAGACTCTGAACAAAATATTAAAGTGTTGACACATTAATTAGGATGTTCAAGTTCAGTAAAAGTGAGGAAACAAAGATAAACAAGGCAAGGAAAATTGGAAGTCCCATGATGATGGGTCATTGTTGGTCATTACTTGATGACAAGCCAGGCAGAGACATGGCAGGTAGCTCAGGAAGCATGTTCTCTGGCCATGTATACAACTTTGCTATAGTTGTCATAACAAAATACCAAGGATACAGTGGCTTAAACAACTGACAAGTATTTTCTCACAGTTCTGGAGGAGGGAAGTCCATGATCTAGGTACTGGCAGGTTTGGTTTCTTCACAGGCGTCTCTCCTGGGTGTGCAGATGTCCACTTTCTTGCTGTGTTTTCACATGGTCTTTCCTCTGTACGTCTGTATCCCTAGTGTCTCTTTGTGTGTTCCAATTTTCACTTTTTACAAGGACATCAATCAGGTTGGATTATGACCTATCCTAACAACCTCATTGTAATTCACTTACCTCTTTAAAGACCCCATTTCCAAATAGTTACATTCTGAGATACTGGAGGTCAGGACTTCAACATATTTAAGGAGAAACAAGTCAGCCCATGGCAACTTGCAAAAGAAATTTCATTTCTGAACACTCCACAGAGGGAAAACGGAGAGAGGATCTATTTTTGTTAAACCTCCCTCATTTTCCATTGACCAAGGTTCATCCCATGGGAACGTAGCTCTCTCAAATAATGGCATTTCACATAGAAGAACTTAAGGAGTCAATCACATAAATAAATTCAGATCGTGGGGCTTGCTGTCCAGAAGACCTAGAACTTCAAGTTGTATTCCAGGCCAAACAAGTGTATTGAAAATATTCTCTTTTGCTGTGCAGAAGCTCTTTAGTTTAATTAGATCCCATTTGTCAATTTTGGCTTTTGTTGCCATTGCTTTTGGTGTTTTAGACATGAAGTCCTTGCCCATGCCTAAGTCCTGAATGGTAATGCCTAGGTTTTCTTCCAGGGTTTTTATGGTTTTAGGTCTAACGTTTAAGTCTTTAATCCATCTTGAATTAATTTTTGTATAAGGTGTAAGGAAGGGATCCAGTTTCAGCTTTCTACATATGGCTAGCCAGTTTTCCCAACACCATTTATTAAATAGGGAATCCTTTCCCCGTTGCTTGTTTTTCTCAGGTTTGTCAAAGATCAGATAGTTGTAGATATGCGGCATTATTTCTGAGGGCTCTGTTCTGTTCCATTGATCTATATCTCTGTTTTGGTACCAGTACCATGCTGTTTTCATTACTGTAGCCTTGTAGTATAGTTTGAAGTCAGGTAGCGTGATGCCTCCAGCTTTGTTCTTTTGGCTTAGGATTGACTTGGTGATGCGGGCTCTTTTTTGGCTCCATATGAACTTGAAAGTAGTTTTTTCCAATTCTGTGAAGAAAGTCATTGGTAGCTTGATGGGAATGGCATTGAATCTATAAATTACCTTGGGCAGTATAGCCATTTTCACGATATTGATTCTTCCTACCCATGAGCATGGAATGTTCTTCCATTTGTTTGTATCCTCTTTTATTTCATTGAGCAGTGGTTTGTAGTTCTCCTTGAAGAGGTCCTTCACATCCCTTGTAAGTTGGATTCCTAGGTATTTTATTCTCTTTGAAGCAATTGTGAATGGGAGTAAACTCATGATTTGGCTCTCTGTATGTCTGTTATTGTTGTATAAGAATGCTTGTGATTTTTGTACATTGATTTTGTATCCTGAGACTTTGCTGAAGTTGCTTATCAGCTTAAGGAGATTTTGGGCTGAGACAATGGGGTTTTCTAGATATACAATCATGTCATCTGCAAACAGGGACAATTTGACTTCCTCTTTTCCTAATTGAATACCCTTTATTTCCTTCTCCTGCCTAATTGCCCTGGCCAGAACTTTCAACACTATTTTGAATAGGAGTGGTGAGAGAGGGCATCCCTGTGTTGTGCCAGTTTTCAAAGGGAATGCTTCCAGTTTTTGCCCATTCAGTATGATAAAAATTTTCGCAACCTACTCATCTGACAAAGGGCTAATATCCAGAATCTACAATGAACTCAAACAAATTTACAAGAAAGAAACCAACAACCCCATCAAAAAGTGGGCAAAGGATATGAACAGACACTTCTCAAAAGAAGACATTTATGCAGCCAAAAGACACATGAAAAAATGCTCATCATCACTGGCCATCAGAGAAATGCAAATCAAAACCACAATGAGATATCATCTCACACCAGTTAGAATGGCAATCATTAAAAAGTCAGGAAACAACAGGTGCTGGAGAGGATGTGGAGAAATAGGAACACTTTTACACTGTTGGTGGGACTGTAAACTAGTTCAACCATTGTGGAAGTCAGTGTGGCGATTCCTCAGGGATCTAGAACTAGAAATACCATTTGACCCAGCCATCCCATTACTGGGTATATACCCAAAGGACTATAAATCATGCTGCTATAAAGACACATGCACACGTATGTTTATTGCGGCACTATTCACAATAGCAAAGACTTGGAACCAACCCAAATGTCCAACAATGATAGACTGGATTAAGAAAATGTGGCACATATCCACCATGGAATACTATGCAGCCATAAAAAATGATGAGTTCATGTCCTTTGTAGGGACATGGATGAAATTGGAAATCATCATTCTCAGTAAACTATCGCAAGGACAAAAAAAGCAAACACCGCATGTTCTCACTCATAGGTGGGAATTGAACTATGAGAACACATGGACACAGGAAGGGGAACATCACACTCTGGGAACTGTTGTGGGGTGGGGGGAGAGGGGAGGGATAGCATTAGGAGATATACCTAATGCTAAATGATGAGTTAATGGGTGCAGCACACCAGCATGGCACATGTATACATATGTAACTAACCTGCACATTGTGCACATGTACCCTAAAACTTAAAGTATAATAATAATAAAATAAAATGAAAAAAGAAAATATTCTCAAAGCAGTGTAGTTCAGAATCTGAGGAGCTGTACATATGGCTTGCTTCTGAAACAGTTTTCTTATAATCATGTTGACTTTGTAAGGGGAATTTGGGAGCTTTCATTTTCTTTCTGCAGTAAATTGCATCAGAATTATTTTTTCAATTAATTTGAAATAGTTCACTTGAGAAATCATGTGGGTGTGACATTTTGGAGAAGAATATTCTTCATCAACATTCTCTATTTGTCTTTAATGATAATTCATCTATTTAAGGTTTTATAACTTTTCAAATCAAACTTAATAACATATATTCCTAAAAACTTCTCTATTTCATTTATTTTCAAATATATTTGTCTTGCTTTGTATGAAATTATTTTTCAAAAGACAAATTAATCTCTTTTTTATTATTGAACATTTCTACTTTCTGGCTTTCATATTTAATCTATCACTTATAATTATTTCTTACTTCTAGTGTTTTTTATCCTATATCAATTCACTAACTTCTACTTTTAAAAAACTTTTTAAGTCTCCACTATAGTTTTTTTTTTAGTAGAAAAACACATGACAGCCGGGTGCAGTGGCTCACGCTTGTAATCTCAGCACTTCGGGAGGCCGAGGCCGGCAGTTCATGAGGTCAGGAGATCAAGACCATCCTGACTAACACAGTGAAACCCTGCCTCTACTAAAAATACAAAAAATTAGTCAGATGTGGTGGCATGCGCCTGTAATCCCAGCTACTCAGGAGGCTGAGGTAGGAGAATCGCTTGAACCCAGGAGGTAGAGGTGGCAGTGAGCCAAGATCGCTCTATTGCACTCCAGCCTAGGCAACAGAGCAAGACTCTGTCTCAAAAACAAACAAACAAACAAACAAACAAAAACAAAAAAGAAAACCGCATGACATAACAAGAAACAACAACGACAATAAACTTTCTAATTTTCATCATTTTCTCTTGTTTTCATTAGCTAAGTGTTTGGCTTTTTCACTTGACAAGTCTGAGCCAATTTCTTTTAAATGTATATCCATTATGTAAATATTTGGTTTTCTAAAACTGTCTAACTGTTCTTTATTTTTAAGATACTTGAGTCTAAACCTTTTAAATGTATTAACTTCTATTATCATTGGAATATTTGATTTGAAAATCTGCCTTTTTGACTTTTAGTCAAAAATTTTATTGAGTATAATTTATATACAATGAAACAACAGAATCCTAATTTATCTTTTCTTTTTGTTTTTTCTTTGAGACAGGATGTTGCTTTGTCACCCCAGCTAGAGTGCAATGGCATGATCTCAGCTAACTATAGGCTTCACCTCCTGTGCCCAAGTAATCTTCCCACCTCAGCCTCCTAAGGAGATGAGACCACAGGCACACAGCACCAGGCCTGGCTAATTTTTGTATTTTTTCTAGAGGCGGGGTTTCACCATGTTGCTCAGGCTGGTCTCAAACTCCTGGGCTCAAGCAAACATCCTGCCTCTACCTCCCACAGGGCTGGGATTACAGGCATGAGCCACATCACCCAGCCTAGTTTTTCATTTTAATAAGTTTTGAAAATTTTATACATCCATGTAACCTCAACCCAAAAAGAGATATAGAAAGTTCTCTTGACATCTCTTTCCAGTCAGTTTTCAAAACTGCAGAAGCAACCACATTTTAACTTCCAACATCAAAGATTAGTTTCATCTGCTCTTATGTCATTAAAATGGAAGCATACAATATGCATTCCTTTTAGTTAGCATAGTGTTTTTTTAAATTCATCCGTGTTGTCATGTATGTGGGGATTAGAGTGGGCCCTAATTCAATTTGGTGTGATTATAAAAAGAAGTTTAGACACACAGCAAGTGCACATGTGCACAAAGGAAACATCATGTGATGACATGGCAGAAAGGCAGCCGTGGCAAGCCAGGAAGAAAAACCTCAGAGGAAATCAAACCCAGCAGCACCTTGATATTGGGCTTCCAGCCTCCAGAGCTTTGAGGAAGATAAATTCCTGTTATTTAAGCCACTCACGCTGTGTATTTTGTTATGGCAGATGTAGCAGGCTAACACATGGATAAAGCTGCTATGAACATTTCGATATCCTGGACTCTTTTTTTGTTTGTTTGTTTTTGAGATGGAGTCTCACTCTGTCTCCCAGGCTGGAGTGCAGTGGCACGATCTCCACTCACTGCAACCTCCGCCTCCCAGGTTCAAGTGATTCTCCTGCCTCAGCCTCCCGAGTAACTGGGACTACAGGCGTCCACCGGCTAATTTTTGTATTTTTAGTAGAGACGGGGGGTTCACCATCTTATCCAGGCTGGTCTCAAACTCCTGACCTTGTAATCTGCCCACCTCGGCACCCCAGAGTGCTGGGATTACAGGCGTGAGCCACTGTGCCCGGCCCCTGGACTCTTTTTTTTAAATAGACATGTGTTTTCTTTCCTCTCGGGCAAATACCTTATAGCAGCAGTCCCAACCTTTTTGGCACCAGGGAATGGTTTCATGTAAGACAGTTTTTTCATGCACGGTGGGTGGGGGTGATGGTTTCAGGGTGATTCAAGTGCATTACATTTATCATTAGATTTGCATAAAAACCCCACAACTTAGATCCCTTGTGTGGTGCAGTTTACAATAGGGTTCCTGCTCCTATGAGAACCTAATACCACCTCTGATCTGATAGGAGGTGGACCTCAGGCGGTAATGCTCGCTCACCTCCTGCTGTGAGGCCTAGTTCCTAACAGGCCACAGACTGGTACCAGTTGATGCCTTGGGGCTTAGGGACCCCTACCTTAGAGTAGAGTTTGATGTATATCTTATTTTTAAAGTAACTGCCATACTTTTCTCTAATGCAGTTGTATAATTTTACACTCTATCAGCAATGTGTGAAAAGTTCCAGTTGTTCTATATTTATGCCAATATTTAGTTCTGTCAGTCTTTTTATTTGAGTCATTCTAGTGAGTGTAAGATGGTGTTTCATTTTGCTTTTAATTTGCTCCTTCTTGATAGACCAATGACGTGTCTTAGTATGCTTTGTGCTGCTGTAACAGAGTGCCTCAGGTTGGGTAATTTTTAATGAACAGAAATGTATTAGCTTACACTTCTGGAGGTTGGGAAATCCAAGTACAAGGGGCCAGCATCTGGCAGAGACCTTCCAGCTGTGTTGTCCCATGGCAGAAAGGCAAAGAAAGGGCAAGAACAAAAGTTGGAACTCT
This sequence comes from Homo sapiens, assembly GCF_000001405.40. NCBI lineage: Eukaryota > Metazoa > Chordata > Mammalia > Primates > Hominidae > Homo > Homo sapiens. The sequence continues at coordinate 29,549,159 of NC_000018.10, read as the reverse complement.
CAGCCTCAAGACCTTTTACAATGGGCATTATCCATGCATGAGGGAGGAACTCTCGTGAGGTAAACACCTTCCATTGGGCCACACCTCCCAACACTGTTGCACTGGGCCACACCTCCCAACACTGTTGCATTGGGCCACACCTCTCAACACTGTTCCGTTGGGACACACCTCCCAACAACTGTTGCATTGGGCCTTAAGTTCCCAACACATGCTTTTTGGGGTATAGATTCAAACCATAGCAACATGGAACACATTTTCATGTGCTTACTAGCTGCTTAGCTTTTTGTTGTTGTGCTACCTCTGTGTTCAGTCTCTTATGTATTTTTAAGTAGTTCTATTGAATACTGAGTAGTTTATCTTTATTTTATTGATTTATGGGACATCCTTGTTAAAAAAAAATGATGCAAGTATACTGTCAGGTACATATAACAGAAATATTTTTCCCCAGCTAATATCTTGCCTTTTTATTTTCATGATTACTTTTGATCAACAATTTTTTTAATTCTGATGAAGACAAATTTATGTATTTTATGGTTAATACTTTTTGTATCTTGTCTGTTTTGGGAAAAACTCTTAAAACTGTTTTTCCTCTGCTCTCACACCACAGCAATCAACCCAGAAGACTTCTGCAACCAAATGTGTGGGGATTTTTCCCCACCAACAAGCAGTAGACACCAGCTGAGTATTCTCCAATTAAATTCTGATACTATCTCCAGGTATTCAGTGTAGAGTTTGTTCATCCCAAAGACTCCCCCTCCCTCCACCACCCCCGCCCCTGAACACCGGTTTCAAGTCTGGGCCTGCAGAACTTCTCACCAACAAGATTCTTCAAATCTGGGTTCCCACATCCCCTACTTTGGGTCCAATTAAATTGCTGGAATGGCTCACAGAACTCAGGGAAACACTTCCTTATGTTTACTGGTTTATTGTAAAGGATATTATAAAGGATACAGATGTAAAGACATGTGGAGGATGAGGCATGGAGACAGCTGTGCAAAACTTCCATGCCCTTCCTGAGTGCACCACCCTCCAGAGTCTTCCACATCTTCAGGCTTCCAGAAGCTCTGGAACCCATTCCTCTTGAGTTTTTATGGAAGCTTTGTGAAATCAGCATTTCTTCTCCCGGGGGTATAGACTGGGACCTTTTCTGGAGAAGGTCTTACACCTACAATTAAAAAGGCAGGGAAGATTAGAGTCCTGCCTTGGGGCAGGTGAAAGAAGGGTAGGAGAAGGTCCAGAGAGATTCTGTTTCCTGAGACCTACCCCTGAGACCTCACACACCCAACATTATAACAAAGGACTGTAACAAAGGCTATGGGAGGTATGAGTCAGAAACTGAATGAAAACCAATACATATGTACATGTATTCTGATACATACCATTGTCCCACAAATTTATACTTATTCCAAGGCTGCAAAGATATTCTTATGTGTTTTCCTCTGTAGACTTTATGACTGGGCTTTTTAATTTTAGTTCTGTGGTACATCTTGTATTAACTTTTGGGGTATGGAGTAAAATTGCTTCAAAATAATTCTTAAAGAAGATACTTGTAGAATTCTTGAAGCCTTTTATTTGTACAGATCATTTTTTTTTCAAAATAAAAAGAAAATATTGGCCATAAGCTAAAAGTTGGAATGTTGTTTGCTATTTCATATATAACGTCTTTCCCTTCTGCTGCGGCTCCTCTAGGAATGAAAAGAAAACATGGGTCTCTTTCTTCTCTCCTGTGAAGGGTTTGCCACTTTCTGAAATTTTATTCATTTAAATTTCTTATATTTTCAGCTGTATACTGTTTTTCATTTGTTTGTTTCTTATGATGAACGATTATTCAAATACATTAGTAGGTTGATGAAAAAGATTTCTGTGATAGTGAGAGGGACCCACTGCAATCAGGAGACTTCTCTGCTCATGAGATAAGTAAGCATCTCTTTCTAAACAAATAAACAAACAAATTACACCACCACCACCAAAAACAACAAGAGTACTATGATTTTTGCAGCTGATTTGGCATTTTTTCAGTAGGTTCAGAAATTGTCTCTTAGGAGACCGAGATCCTTTCTAGATCTTAACTGAAAATGGAATTCCCATATATACTGATTTTTCTTGCCTTCTAGATCTTCCTGTATACTTTGTTATTTTGTTTGTTTTAGTTAACCTGGAATCTTGAAAAATATAATATAGATAATTTTAGTTTCTGTACTATTACTGTTACAAATTTAATTAACATGACAAGCCTCTATTTTTTATGTACTACTTTTAGAATAAAGTACTATTGCATTTCATTTTACTATAATTTCCTTCCTAATATATGAGGTACATGTGGGTGTAACAGCTTTCTCTATGCTTCAGATGGGAAACATGACATGTGATTTAAATATTGAAGAAAAGTTTCAGTTCACTGTGAAGAAGGAAGAAAGATGACCCACCCAGACGTCAGAAGTAACATTTACAGAGGCACTGAAGTAGAATACAGAATATTAAGTGTGTGTTTAGAAATAGCTAGTACTAAGACATTATATGCCATTTAATATTATTATATTTAACATCTTTTAAAATGTGTAATATTTGTAATTTAAATAATATTACCAAAATGTTTTTCCCCTTTGTTCTATATTTTAATAAATCCAATTCTCACTGCCACAATTTCATACCATGGGTTCACCATTTCGGATGTGTTGATTTTGAGTTCTTATTTGGGTAGCTGAAATAATGTTAAGCTGAAAAATGTTAAGAATTTTCTTTTTAGAAGACTATATTGGTGAAATATATCTAATCTATTACACATTTAAGACTATTTTTTCCTTGATATATTGCAGAAGTCATTTCACTCTTTTCTAGTATTAAATGTTTTATGAAGAAAAAGCAAAAAAAAAGATTAGTTTGTTTTTCATCATCTTAGATACTCATTATTTTTCTCTGATTTTCATAGGATGATTTAGTTATTTTTAGCAACTTTATAATATATGCTCTTAAACTGTTTGCAAGTTCTCCCCTTTTTCTTTTTTTGTTGTGCACATGGAAATGTGGAAGAGCAAGGAGTTCACGATAAAATCTATCTATGCACAGAACTTTCCAAAGTTTATGTTGTAAGTTGTGTCTCTCACATTTTGGGCAGTGTTAGGGTATTCTCTGCTCCTTTTACTTATTTTTGTAATTTTTTTCCTTTGAGAGAAGGAAATTTTACTCTATTTTTTAAATTCATAAAAAATCCCAATATGTTTTGTTCTAATTGATAAATAAACTGCCCCATATTATTTCTCTGATAGTAAAAACCAAAGTTGGAAAACACATAAAAATCTATGTATTTAATATCACGTAACAAAAATACTTAAAGTGTAGTATTTTGGCTATGATGGTTAGCACTTATTTTAAACATTTAAATACATTTGTATTTGAATTCTGAAGACTGAGTGGGAAATTTTTTACAAGTTTACATTTTGCAAGTATCGGTCTACATTGCATTTTGTTGTTAAGTGTCCCAACTTTTTCTCCAGATATTCTAATTCTATCAAGTTGGCGTTTTATTTTTAAAGTTTAAATAAATTAGCATGTCATACAAAGCCATCCTACATTTGCAAAATCAGGTTCAATTACTCAACATGCACTTAGGATTCTTTATTCCACATCAGTACCTCTGTAAATGTTATTTCTATTGCCTGGGTTGATCATCGTTTTTCTCTCTTCACAGTGAACTGAAACTTTTCTTCAGTGTCAAAATCATATGTCATGTTCCCCATCTGAAGCATAGGGAAAATTATCATATCCATACATAACTCATATACTGGTAGCAATTTTGTATATTATTTCAATCATTTATTTGTACTCCATGCTAAACTCTGTGCTCCTAGAAATTAAGGGTTATATCTTATTTATCTTTGTGTTCTTAGTGCCTACATTGTATATTGCCTTAATGGTTTAAATAACTCCTGAATGAGTGGACCACAATAGTTCCATGGCTACATGGCTAACTTTCACTAATTGCTGAGCCACTTTGCCTACTATTGTGAAATGTCATATACAAAATGGTGTCACTCTGGTTCAGATTTCTGAAATGAACATGACCTACATCCTTAAAAACAAAAACAAAAACAAAACAAAACAAAACAAAAACCCCAGGAACCTGTCTTGAACCTTTGAACTTGGCCAAACAGCCACAATCACAACATACTTGAAAACAACTGAATTTTGCCAGCACTGCAACTCCTGAATAGCAACAACCAATGAACTATGAACTCCTGTTCTAAGCCTGTTGCCTCCACCAATGATAATTCTTTCAAAACAACTTCTGTAATCACCCTTAGCTTCCTTTTAAAAACTCCTCTTCCCCTCTCTGTCTTCAGAACACAATTTGACTTGTTGATGAAACTGTGTCTCCCAAATTGCAATTCCGAAGACCCCAGTAAATGCCTTGTCTTACTGCTTTGCAGTCTGTTTTTTTGCCTCTTCTTTTGACACTAGGCAAATAAAATTTAAAATTCACCAAAATCTATTTAAGTCACAAAGGATAATTTTAAAAAAGCAAGGCTTGCAATTTTTGAGCCTTTATTTAACTTAGTAATAATCTGTCAATACATTATATTCCTCATAGACTCCTTCCCACTCTACTTTCTTGTAAAAATATCTTTGATATTTTTAGATACAGAGTATGTCAAAAATATCACCTAAATATAAGGTACATATAGGGAGATTTAGGTGGGTGGGCAAAACTACGCAAAAGCATTAATTCTATGAGCACCAATTCTTAAATAATTATAAGGCAATAGCTTAAACCTGAACTATTCTTTCATGTAAGTTGTAGTCAAATTGGCTGAACTATGTGCAAAAGACATTATCTATGACAAAATGTATGAGAAGTCAGAAAGTCATCATCAGTTAAGAAAGGGGCAAAAGGGCTCACCCCTATAATCCCAACACTTTGAGAGGCTGAGACAGGAGGATCACTTGAGGTCGGGGGTTCGAGACCAGCCTGGCCAACATGGTGAAACCCCATCTCTACTAAAAATACAAAAATTATCTGGGCGTGGTTGTGTGCGCTTGTAATTCCAGCTACTCAGGAGACTAGAATCGCTTGAACCCAGAAGATGGAGGCTGCAGTGAGCAGAGATTGCATCACTGCACTCCAGCCTGGGTGATGGAATGAGACTGTCTTAAAAAAAAAAAAAAAAAAAGGTGGAGTGGCAAAAGGTAAAACTTACAAGTTTAACAATGAATCGTCAATATGAAAAGAACAAAATACAAAATAATTTTCTTTGGAAACATTTGGTATTTTAACATACTTCTGACTCAAAGTTGTATATCTTATTGCTCAATTAAAGTTTCAACTTAAAAGGAACTCTAGTTGAGCCAAAGACAAGAAATAATGTTGACCTTGTAACATCAATATTGGTCATTTTTTAAATAGAGAAAATAATTATAAAGTTTTCTTGACATTGGATCAAAAAGCCCTATGCCAAATTCTTCAAATTCTCAGCAGATATCTGTTTCATGTTTTTAGTGAAACAACATACATCTACCAGCTGAGAAAAGGTTATTTCAAAATGCTTATTTTGCCAGAATTGTAATTATGTATTTATATGGGTGCAGAGGAAGACACACATCATTCTTCACAAAGAGAAAGATTAATAAAATATTGATAATAAAATGATTTAAATTCACTCCACTTTCAACTAAGTAGTGATTTCAAATTAGAAAAAAAAATGATCACTTTTATCTTTTCATAGTTTCTCTTGGCTGTTGCCAGTAAGACTAAAAGCATTTGTGTTAACAGATAGCCATCTCCCTTAACAACATGTTTTATGGTGCTAGTTGTTCTTGGAGTTAAATAACAATTCAAAATAACAGAACTTTTCAATATCTTATGCAGGGCTTCTCTGGTAAATGCTGATTTTAACCCTCATCTCAAAACATACTATGTTTTCTTTAATGTCTAATAAACAATAAGACTTTTTAATAATATCTAATTGTTTTGTGATTCATTTTAGTTTTCCACAGATACATGATTTTCCCATATGACTTCAGGAATAAAATAATGCACCTTATTCTGTTCTTTAAAAGTTCTTAGAGATGGCTTGTAAATCTTTAACTGTAAGGTAGACAGAAAGTAAATTTTATATGATTACTTATTTTATATGATTAGTTATGTTCTCTGCCTTGTTCATTACTGTATCCCAGATCCTAGAACAGTGCCTAGCATATGTGGAACAAATAAACAAATTAATTATGAACTCATATAGAGCAAAGTGAACTACTTTTATCTAATTGCAGGAGGAGTTTACGCTACAATGTCTTATAAAAAGATTCTCATTTATTAAAATATTTTGCTAATCAGGAGGCTTAATGTGAGTCACCTTCAAAGTTGGTGATTTTAGATTGTTACCTTCACTCTCCCAGAAATAATACTCATGTCTTCTCTAAGAGCATTCAAGGTGAATTCCTCACAGCAACATCTTGCTCCTTTTACTGGCTTTGTGTTCATCTAAAACTCCTTGGCAATAGCTTAGAGCAATCTGAAAACTTAAATGTAAACCTAAGAGTCAAACAGGCTCTAGAAGTAACTTTGTGATATTCTCCTTACATCCTGGGTGTTTTGATAATGCTCCTGCCTCTTTCAGAGTTATGTCTTATGTTTCAAATGAAGAGATTGACTCCACTGCTATTACTGAACTACAAAAATTCTTTCAGCCATACTATAAAATCTATTGTAATGCTTAACAATAGAAACCCATAAAACTTTTTTTCTTCAAATTTATGGGATATAATGTACTAGGCAAGGGAATGTTTACTCCAAAATAATTTCCATTCTTTACACTCTGTATGTATCTTATATAACTAAAGAACAATTTTTATAACACAAAAGTCACTTGGAAAAAAAGATGATATAATTAACAATACTAAAAATATTATTCAGTTTACATTTGAATTTAGCATAGAAAATTTAACATTGATGAAAATTAAATCACTGCTTTATTTTTCTTTAGTTGCTACTGGTCAGAGACTGTCCTGAAAATGCTTGTTTCTTTCAAACTCTACAAATTGATTTGAATAGAAGCAGAAAGATATAGATTATCATAAATTCCCAGGGAATTTTTCTAGCCATCTATGAGCGAATTAGACTTTTTGCTGCCACTGCTTTTCTTACTGATTTCAATTATCTCCAAACAGACCCAACAAAGCACAAAGAGCCCTACGGAAAAATAAACATCCAAAAATAGAAAGTACGTGAACGTACAACAAGACTTGTACAAAGACCACAGGGGAACAAGTACCTGCCAAAGGGCTATATAGCTGCAAAGTGGTGTCTGTGTAAAAGCAAAGCAATTGGTAATAAAAATGAATTCTTCCTAGAACAAATGAGTGTGAAGTTAATGGTAAATGAGGAAACACATCTATTTTCAATGAGACTGGGAGAGTAATAAAAGGGCAACAGACTTCAGCATCATGTTTGATTGAAAAGTGAGATTTTAAAATTACAGTTGACTCTTGAACATGGGGATTAGGGTTTCCAACTCCCTGTACATCTATCTTGACTCCAAAGCCTTAGCTGCTAACAGCCTGCTATTGATCAGAAGACTTACAGAGCACGTAAACAGTTGATTAACACATATTTTGTATTTTATATGTATTACATACTGTGTTCTTATAATAAAGTATGCTAGAGAAAAGAAAATACTATTAAAAATTATGAGAAAGAGAAAACATATTTACTATTTATTAAGTAAAAATTGCTCATCACAAAAGTCTACTTTGTTATCTTTACTTTGAGTAGGTTGAGGAGAGGGAGAAAGAGGAAGGGTTGGTCTTGCTGTCTCAGGCGGGGTGGCAGAGGTGTAAGAGGTAGAGGATGGAAGTGGAGGCAGGAGAGTCGGGTATACTTGTAAGTTACTTTGTGTAACTTTACAGAAACACTTTGTAATTTCTTTCTGTTTTTCTTTTTCATTTCTCTTAAAATGTTTATATATAGTACCAATCCCTGTTCCACAGTTTGCTTTACTTTGGGTGCCCTTTTCATAGAAGAGTTTATGTCATAAAAGAAGCCAAAATCAATCTTGCTTAACCAGAGCCCTTTTGCTGGACTGTCTAATGTCTCTTTGTTTTCTGGCACCACTTATTCTAAGTCTTCTTCCTTACCATCTGGCGTTGGTTCAGAAGCACTCAAGCAATCCCCATCAAGTTGTCTTCTCTTAATTCCTTTGGTATGGTGTATATCAGCTCTTGGAATTCTCCAAGATTCATACCTTGAAACTCTTCACCCTCATCCTTCTTTTTTTTGCCATATCCACAATTCCTTTCATGATTTTCTTTATTGGCTGTGTCATAAATCCTGTGAAGTTATGCACAACATCTCGATACAGTTTTCTATATCAGGAATTTATTGTTTCATGCCGGATGACTTCCATGGCTTTTTCTATAACAATGATGGCATTTTCAATGATGTAATCCTTCAAGACTTTCATGATGTTCTCTCTGTTGGAGTTCTCTTGCATAGCATTGATAATTCCTTCCATAGAATATCATGGTTAATGAGTCTTAAAGGGCCTCATGACTCCTTGATTTAGAGGCTTAGTGAGAAACATGTGTTTGGGGGCAAGTAGACCATTTTGACACCTTTGATGTGGAAGGAGGTCATAGGGGCATTCTAGCTGGCCAGGGGAATTATCCAATATCAAAAGAACTTTAAAAAGCAGTCTCTCACTGGCAAGGTTTTCTCTGACATCAGGGACAAACCATCAATGGAACCAATCCAGAAAAAGGGTTCTCCCTCTCCAGGCCGTCTTGTTGTACATCCAAAATACTGGCAGCAGGTGAAGAACTTGAGGCTCGGGGATTAGCACCTTCATATATAAGGGCAGTCTTGATCACCAAACTGCATTTGTACAAAACACTAGAGTTAGCTTTGCTATTCCTGCCTTAAATTCTGGTACGCACTTCTCTTCCTTACTAATAGATATCCTTAGTGGCTTTTTGTTTTTCAGAATAGAGCATTTTTGTCTGTTTTCAAAAACTGTCCAGGCAGATACCCTTCTTTTTTTCAGTGATTTTCTTAATGATATTTGGGGAACACATCTGCTGCCTCTTGGTTAGGACAAGCTGCTTTTTCCATTATGTTGATATTTTTAAAGCCAAACTTCTTTCTAAATTTATCAAACCATCCTTTTCTGGCATTAAATTCCACAGCTTTAGAGACTTCACCTGTTTGTGTTTGTTTGTTTGGTTGGTTTGTTTTGTTTTTTTGCTTTATCGTAGTAACTTAGATTTTTCTAAAATCATATTAGTCTCCATAGTTATGCCTCTCTTATAGCAGTCCTGTACCTACATAAAATCTGCATTTTCAATACCATATGAAAAGGTATTTCACAAAATACCTTTTTCGTGAAAGGTATTTGGCTCCTGCTGGGATAGTTGCAATGATAGCTTCACACATTTTATTTTCATTTTTTGCAACAACCTTTAACTGGATTCATTTGTGTTGAAATTGTTGGGACCTGCAACTACAGACCTCTATGATACATATTAAGCAACTCAACATTTTTCTGTAATGTTGTGACTTTTCTCTGCTTTTTGAGAGCACGTCCAGCATCACTAGCGGCACTTCGTATGGGTCCCATGGTGTTATTCAAGGTTTTGGATATTGCGCTCTACAGGATGAACATGATGCAAGAACCACAAGAGCTCATTTTTGTACCATCATATTCAATTTACTGGAGGGATGAAATGCTCACAGGGAGATTATTAGCATCACAGGACTCTTTAAGTGGACACTCACAACAGTTAATCTCGCTGCAATAGCAATAGAAGGTGACTACGAAATAACAGTGGTACAGTATGAACTACTGCTAATTTTATGCAATTATGATTTAATACTGAATCCTTGCATTTGTTTATATTTCTCTTAACTGTGAATAGTGCCATTCACAATCTGTAAGTGTTAGTGTGTCGGTTTTGACAAATTTTAACTTTTTATCATAGATTTGTGTATATTTTATGGTAGTAAATGATAAAATAGACTACATTCTACATACATGTAGATAAAATAGACTACAATCTACATACATACAATACTTTGTGCATTCATGCCATATCTAACTTTCTGTTAATTTTTTAAATATTTCTAGTCTATGTAACTTATTTAAGAGTTTTTTCAAATTGTCACAATCTCAAAAACATTTCCAATATAATTGTTGGAAAAAACAGCATGTAAGTGAACTTGTGCCATTCAAAAGTGTTGTTCGAGGGTCAACTGTATATTGCTGGAAGCATTAAAGAAGTAGTTAAATCAAATCAAGTTCCTGTCTTTGCTTTGCTACTTGCTCATTGTGTAAGCTTAGGCAAGTATCAATCCTCTCTAAAACTACTTGCATCTAAAGGAATAAGGTGATATCACTAAGTTAACATATTCTTACAATGATTGAATGGTTTAATGTATATAAAGTTTTTAGAGTTCCCTAGCACACAGTTAATTCTTAACAATAATTTAATAAGACTTGTTCCTTTTGCTTGGAGTCATTTCTTTTCAAACAGGTGACTGGCTAAGGTTTGTAAGAAACTTTCTGTAGCATTATAATACCCAGGACCTCTCATCATTGATCTAAATATCTCCTCCCCATACACACACACACACACACACACACACACACATACATATATATGTCTATACATGTATGTAGGAGATCTTTATACATACAGGTATATATGGAAACCATAAAATTATATCTTAAAAGATTACTTTAACAATAAGGGATGTCTTCCCTGTAAAAAAAAATTGTAGTTTTTAGCTCTAAATCTACTTACAAATGGACCCAAATGTCAGCTTGAAATAAAGAAAGCCATTGGCCTTGGCATCCTAAGACCAGGTTTTGAATCCATCTTGGTCATGTAGCTACGTAATCCTGGACAAGTTAAACTAAAAACTTCAATTGTTCATCTGGAAAATAGTGACAATAACAACCCCATCAGAATTTTGTGAAATTAAATGAGATAATATACATAAAGGAAGAAAGCCTAGGACACAGAAGATATTCAAGAAATATGAGTCTTTATTTTACTACAATTACAGCAATAAGTGTTCAAAGGAAAAATTGATCATCAGTGGCCAAATCAGCTCTACATTCTCTATAACATGGTGAAATCTAGGTGACAAAAAATTGTGCACTTGGAAGGATTAATGCATCTATTTTTAGTTTCCAATAAAGTATTAAATATCAAAAGTAAGCATTTCCTTTAGAGAGAAGTATTAATTTTACCACACTCTAAACTACATGAATGTATTCTATTATCCTACTGGTTTTTATAACTTAAACTGTGCCCTCCTCCTCAAAAGGGAACAAGTATTCAAAACTCACTTTCAATCTTTTGTGGGTTTTTTTTTTCATATTTTTTCTTATGACAAACACTTTTGCCATTTATATATGCCTTCCTAGTGGTATAGCCTGTTACGTACCTTGTTAAAAATGATAGAATGTTAGTAGAGTAAGTGAGCATACCAATCATATTCTTTCAAATAACATAATAAGTCTTTTTTCTTTAAAGTGGTCAATAGACACAAACATGAAGTACAAAAAATGATTTATTTTTCCCTTCAATTTCTACGAATAAAAACATCATTAAAATGGTACAAACATAAAAATTAAAACCCCGCCTCTACTAAAAATACAAAAATTACCTGAGCATGGTGGTGGGCACCTGTAGTCTCAGCTACTCAGGAGTCTGAGGCAGGAGAATCACTTGAACCCAGGAGGTGGAGATTTCAGTGAGCCAAGATCACTCCACTGCACTCCAGCCTGGGAGACAAAGTGAGACTCTGTTTCAAAAAAAAAAAATTCTGTTATGAATGAAGGCTTTTTTTTTTTAATTTGGTGGAGGAGAAGGTAAGAAAGTGACTCTTTGTATCATCCTTTTCTATCATTCAGTCCTTGGGTAGATCTTTATTTTTAAGAACAAGGTGGCTGGGCACTTTAACTCACACCTGTAATCCCAGCAATTGGGAGGCTTAGGCAGGAGGATTGCTTGAGCTCAGGAGTTTAAGACCAACTTGAGCAGCATGCAAGACTCTGTCTCTATAAAAAAAAAAAAGTACATTAGCCCAGTGCAGTGGCATATGTCTGTCATCCCAGCTACTCAGGAGGCTGAAGTGGCAGGATTGCTTGAGCCCTGGAGGTCAAGGGTGCAGTGAGTAGTGATCAAGCCACTGCCCTCCAGCCTGGGTGACAGAGCAACACCCTGTCTCAAAAACAGAAAAAGAAAGAAAAAAGAAACAAAATTCGTGAGTTAGCTATCCAGTGATAATTATATAGAATCATTTCCTATGTCCAAGTCATACACATCATATTTTATCAATCTTTGGTGGCTCCTTCTCAACATATAGCGGTTAGATTATTTGAATATTTTTTCTCATTTTTTAGAGGTCCTATTAAGCAATCCTCTTCATTCCTCCTTTGTTTATTCCAGACAATGATGAAGAAGTGCCATTTACAAAGTATGGTAGAAAATAAACTGATTTTTTCATACAATGAGATGAAAGATCTTCCCTCCTAAAGAAGTAAGACACAAGTGTAAGTATATGGTAATAGGTAAAATGACATAAATGAACTTCAGAATATTATGGCTATGTGTAGGAGGAAATGATTACTTTGAGGTAGGAGGGAAAGAAAGAGCTACTCAGAAAACTTGTTTTGTACTCTGTCTTGATAAATGAGAGGAACTGTTATGGGTATACTTGAAAGAGTAGATATGCCAAGTGGGAGGCATGACTGTGTAAAAAGTAACATACAGGAGGGAAATCAGAAATCTCTCATAATGCAAGTCATTTAGCTTGATGTGGCCACAAGATGTATATGGTTAAGTGGGAGACTATAGTGGCAATTTGGAGTGGTGAGAGAAAACAGAACATAGAAAGACAAATGAGAAATTGGTCAGGAGGACAGATCACCAATTTTTATCAAGAGAAATCCATGGACTAGTGCTCAGCAAGGATGAAACAGAGAAGAAAACTGCAAGAGAAACTAGAGATGTAAGTCGGGCAGGACTTAACCATAAGCAGAAATGTAAGTAAAATTAAATAGGAGTCTTTGGTGATGCCAAAAATTTTTCTCAGAATAACTGGAAGAACCCTTATTTAGTTTTGTGTTGATCGGCTTTCTGATGGAACTTGTCACAAAAACCTCTGAATACATGCAGCAGATATCCAACTACCTGAATGAATATCTGAATTCTATTTTCTTCAACATATTAGCACTTCAATACAGACTACAAATCCAAAAACTATTGCTTCCTTTTCTATAGCTAAATATTAAAGACTGTAGCTTAACTTTCCTACAGCAAGATAAATAAATAAATAAATAAATTATTTAAAAACCTTCGAGGTTATACAGAGGTGATAATACAGTTATTTCCATTGAAAATTGTACTATTTTAATCTAATTTAATATAAAAATAAAAATAAAAAATAACATATATATCATTATAGCATAATATACACAAAGAAGTTGTATATACCATTATAGCATGACAGATAACTAACATATGCCTTTTCAATCCATTATTAAGACAACTGAAATAATATAGTTATATAGAAAGTATATATACATAGTGTGGCTCATGACAAATATAATACTATCAACAGTCTTACCTTTTATTTGATTATCCTTTTTCATTTCAAGAAATGCAAAATTATCAGTGATGATAGAAAAAAAATCCATTCCATATATATCAACTCCCTTTCTATTTCTGTTATCACTCAGAGAGAATATTTTCACCAAACATAAACAAGAAAAAGAATAATCAAACTTCTAAACATACCTGGCAGAATTTTATCATCCTAGAATCTCTAAATAAGAGTTTGAGTTAAAAACAAGAGCAGATCATCTTATAATGCCTGGAGATATTTATAACTCCTCTATGTGTTATATATCTGCTATTCCCACACTCTCTGTCAGGGCTGAAGCAAAGACCATGTTCCTCATGTTACAGGACATTTCCTTGCATGTTTACAGAGGTGGCAGGATTTTACAAACTTGAGGACACCTTTGCATCTTGAAGACATGAGAATTATTTGTGCCTTTAGCATCTGTCTCAAAATAAAAAATATCATTCTGTAAATATATAAGCCCTCACAAACCCAGTAGCCTGTACAAAACCCTGCCTAACTTACCTGTGTTTGAGAATATTAGTCCTTACAATTAGACCGATCTAACAACTTGTTTTTGTGTTTAATTGCTCCTGAGTATACTCCTTTAGTCCATGTTGCATAAATATTGTAAATATTAACTTACATGTAGAGAGCACTATAAAAATAATTACATCTTTCTTTGTATATCCACTTTATTTGAAACCTATTTATGAATTTTGGGTTACCATAAAGTCTGTTAAATATTTTCATTCATAGTTTCTCACTTCTTCTGCTCCTATTTATTATATTTTAATATATTAACATTTTAGATTTAATGTTTATTTATGAAACATTAGTTACTTAAAGTAAATATTAGAAAGTGGTAATGAACAAGAGGTTATGTGAATATAATTAGTGTCCTAAATGGAGAAAATTGGCACTCACTTTTTGTCAGCATCAGACCTTCCTCAAAACCTCAAAGAAGATACTATAAGTTGGCCATTGATGTACTCCTTAAGTCAAAATACATGTGAACCAAAATATAAATGACTTCTGTTTGTAATTCAAAAGATCTATAGGCCATACTACACCTTAATGAAAATAATAAAACTTGTCCTATATACAACCTAGAGTGTATCTAAAATTACCTTACTATGAGGCTTCCAGAATTATTTAATTTTTTAAGAATATCAGTTAATTAGAAACTAATGTAAAATATATATTCTAATTAAGGAAGCAATTCCTGAGAAGCCCATGACATGGATAGAGTATTAAGGAGTTTACTAAAAGGAAATCTCCCAAGACAATTTCCAAGGTCATATTCTGGAAACGGGATGTTTTAAACTTCCCATTTCAATTTTTAAGAGAACCTTAAAAATGAGCCACAGCCATAAAATTCACAGTTTTATGGTAAACTTCTGTAATAAGTTATCACCTGTCTCCATTGATCAAGACAAACATTCAAATATTCTTCTTTTATATGGGTTCTGTCATATATATTTCATTATTTTATTTTATCTGAATAAATTAGTAGACAGTATCTCACACTAGAATTATTGTTTATCAGCCCTTCCTCCCTTTCCTCTCCTCTTTTCTTCCTTTTCTCTCTCTCACTCTGTATATTCTTCAATACATTAGCACTTTATAGCAGGCTGTAAACTAAATTATATCTAAGAATTATACTCCATCCTCTGAACATTTCTCTGTCAATCAGAACATTAGTCAGCAGTAAGGTTATATGAGGTTTGTTGATTGAAAATTATTTTTAACTCTATTAAATTATTTTGTAGTCTCTCTTGTCTTTTCCATCCTCTCTTGTCTTTTCCATCAGTCTTAAAATTGAAACAAAAACAATAAATAAATAGTGGTACTACTGCCATTAAGATAAGATAAAATATTAACTCTACAGTATATGTAATTTGGTGTTATATTCTTTTTTTAACTTTTATTTTAGGTTCAGGGGTACACATGCAGGTTTGTCACATAGGTAATCTATGTGTCACAGGGGTTTGGTATACAGATTATCTTGTCACCCAACTAATAAGCATAGTACCCTATAAGTAGTTTTTTGATTTTCTCACTCCTCCCACCTTTCACCCTCAAGTAGTGTCTGTTGCTCCCCTCTTTGTGTCCATTTGTCCTCATTGTTTAGCTCCCACTTACAAGCGAGAATGTGTGATATTTGGTTTTCTGTTCCTGTGTTAGTTGTGTTAGAATAATGCCCTGCAGCTCCATCCACCTTGCTGTAAAGGACATGATCTCATTCTTTTTTATGACTGTGTAGTATTCCATTGTGTATATTTACCACATTCTCTTTTTTCAGTCTACAATTGATGGACATTAAGGCTGATTCCATGACTTTGCAATTGTGAATAGTGCTGCAATAAACATACATGCATGTGTCTTTATGGCAGAATTATTTACATTTCTTTGGGAATACACCCAATAATGGGATTTCTAGGTGGAATGATAGTACTGTTTTAAGCTTTTTAGGAATCACTACACTGCTTTCCACAATAGTTGAACTAATTTACATTCCCACCAAGAGTATACAAGTGTTCCCTTTTTTCCACAATCATGCCAGTATGTTACTTTTAAACTTTTTAATTATAGCCATTCTGACTGATATGAGATGGTATCTCATTGTGATTTTGATTTGCATTTCTCTAATGATTAGTGATGTTGAGCATTTTTTTAATGCTTCTTGGACACATGTATGTCTTCTTGTGAAAAGCATCTGTTCATGTCCTTTGCCCACTGCCCACTTTTTAATGGGGTACTTTGTCTTTTGCTTGTAAATGTGTTTAAGTTCCCTACAGATTGTGGATATTAGAACTTTGTAGGTCAAAAAAAATTTGCAGTCTCCAAATATTTTCTCCAACTCTGTAGCTTGTCTGTTTTTTTTTTTTTTTTTTTTTGGTGTAGAAGCCCTTTAGTTTAATTAGGCCCCATTTGTCAATATTTGTTTCTGTTGCAATTGCTTTTAGCGTCTTTATCATAAAATCTTTGCCAGGTCCTATTGTATTTCCTAGGTTATCTTCCAGGGTTTTTATCATTTTAGATTTTACATTTAAGTCTTTAATCAATCTTAAGTTAATTTTTGTATATAGTATAAGGAAGGGGTCTAGTTTCAATCTTCTGCATAAGGTTAGCCTGTTTTCTCAGCACCATTTATTGAATAGGGAGTTTTTTCCCCATTGCTTGTTTTTGTTTGCCTTGCCAAAGATCAGATGATTGTAGGTATGTGGCATTATTTTTGGAATGTATTCTCTTCCATTGTTCTATGTGTCTGTTTTTGTACCAGTACCACACTGTTTTAGTTACTGTCATTTTATTGTATAGTTTGAAGTTGGGTAACATGATGCTTCAAGCTTTGTTCTTTTTGCTTAGAATTGCGTTGGCTATTCAGGCTCTATTTTTGGATCTATATAAATTTTAAAATAGTTTTTTTTTCTATTTCTGTGAAGAGTGTCATTGGTAGTTTGAAATAGATAGCATTAAATCTGTAAATAGCTTTGGGCAGTGTGGCCATTTTAAGAATATTGATTCTTCCTATCCATGAGCATGGAATGGATTCCATTTGTTTGTGTCATCTGTGGTTTCTTTGAGCAGTGTTTTGTAGTTCTCACTGTAGAGATCTTTAACTTCCCTGGTTAGCTGTAGTCCTAAGTATTTTATTATTTTTGTGGTTATTATGAATGGGATTGCATTCTTGATTTTATAAGATGTCTCATGACCAATTTTCTTTTGTAAACATGAGAACTAGTTCAACACTTTGGTCTTTAACAAGAAAACTGAACAATAAGTTGTGTTGTACATCCATAGCTAATTCTCTGTGGTGGGTTTTATGTTTATCTAACTCCCAGTGATGATGTTTGTAACTCATGCAATTGTTAAATAATAAGTGGTATTTTTTCAATAAAGTACATCAAATAAAAACCATTCTTCATAATAAATACAATATCATAGGTGTCATTTTGAAAACTTTATATTTATCCCTTATAATATTCAAATAATATTTTAATTTTTAAAAACTTTTAAGTAGTGTCTATTTCGCTGACCCTAAGAAGATGTTTGCCAGATATACGTGAGCTACTGAATTTCCAATAGGATAAGTTTAAATATGAAGATCCATAACTTGAAATCTGTAAATAAAACTAATATGAAAAGGTATATCAACAGCATTCTTAACTGAGATATTGAAAAATATGTGTAGATTTGTAAGGCAAAGAGGTTGCTATTGTTAGAAATAGTTATTTTCTGTTTATAAATTATTCATATATACTCTCTGCATTGATCAAATTTACAGGTTAATGGTCATTCCAGTTTACATATGTTTGACAAAGCCAGAGAATTTCTGAGAAATCTGGCTAGGAAACAAAACCCTGGTAATCTTCACTGGATCATGAAATTGCTGTACTAATGAACAAGTCAGACTGACCAAAACCCACAGTAAAAGTGAAGACTAATATTTAGCAATTTCCTAAATTTCAGCACTCATAAATATACATTTGCTTAACTGTTGGGCTGAAAGTACATACAATTGTTACTTATTGACTTCAATTCTCATTTTGCAGACCTCCCAACAGATTATCGATATCATTTGCGTGTCCTAAACAGGAATTAGGGAACCCTGAATACTACTATAACAAGTATGTATTATAAATTCTAAATAGCAAACAATTTCACACCCATGCAATACTCTATTCCTCAAAGTTCTTTGTACTTATGGGCCATGATGGATTCTGAGCAAATTGGAGTCATTGTCTGTCCCTTCTTACCTCCCTTTCCCCATCTCCTATCCCAAGTGAGCCAGCTTACTTGCAGGGCCGTGAGCATATTATCAGTCATACTTTCTTCTTCCTCAAGTGTTGTCTTCTCTGCTGGGACCACTCTTATTATTATAATACTCTTTCATCTGGCTCAGTCCAATTTTGCCTTCAGTACTCAGCAGAATCTGTGATATTTATGAGAATTTACTGATTCTGTAGCACAATTTTTAAAAATTATTCTGTGTATACCTCTAGCATGGAATTAATCACAATGCATTATAAACATTATTTGGTTTGTCTGTTGCTCCAATTAAGCTTTTTTTAAAAAAGAGAAGCATTAATATTAATATTTATATCTTTAATATAACTTATTGAATAAATAAGTAAATTATATTCAATATAACCTTCTAGTGCCTTATGTTTCTTAATCTCTTTGTTTAATATGAACCTATAAACATAATGATTGGCCCTAATATTTTAATGCACATATACTTTAATAATGTTCTGTAATAATGAAAAATTTTAGTTTGGGGGGCATTGACACTATTCCCATCACCACACTAATTACTTTTCCTGAAGCTCTGAATATGGCAGGGTGGTAAGACTGAAGGCTGGATTCGGCTTTATTATTAGCTTTAAAACCAGCTACATGTTCTCTTCTTTGGGGGACTGCTAGACCTTACAAATTGACATCTGCTACTAAGGCAAAGTCCCTGGTTTGTGGCCAAAATTCTCAGGATTAAGAAAAATCAAAAGGATTTATTTAAGTTATATTAGCCCTTCTAGTGCCTGGTTTCAGACCATTCTCTGGTTCCCACAAGGATATCATTTTAATGAGAGAACGAAACTACTTATATCTTATAATTAATTCCAAAAGGCAATCTTTTAGAAGCAAATTATTTTGCTGATGTTAACAATTACTGGCTTCCCATTGAAGGGAAGAGGGTACAGTTTTATAGTCAGATTAAACCTAAACTTTTCGGCTCCAAAAGATTTCCATCTCAAAGCATTTACATTTGCTTCCAAAAATTCCTACTTAGTTTTTTCTTAATATTTACTTTTTAATTATAACTGAAACACAAATCTATTTTCCAGAGTTCATTTATTTTTGTATGCAATACCAAATGAATTCAACCTTGATTTGATCATTACACATTGTAGCTATGTATCAAAAATCATATGTACCCTCAAAATATGAAAAACTATTATGTATCAATACAAAATTAAAAATAAATATATATTGTTTAAAAACTCCACTGTTTTGCTTTATCTAATGTAATTCTCATAACAATCCCTTAAAGTGGCTACTATAATTTCATTTTAGGGATCATAAAAGTAAAATTTAGGTTAAAAGATTTTTTTTTTAATTTCAAAAATTAGAGCTAGTCAGCGAAAGATAAACAAAGACATGTCTTAGCAACTCTAAATTTAAATTCCCATAAAATCTCACCCAACTCTTCCAGAAAGTCTTTTAGGATGCCTACTTCTACTACTTATTCTACCATTTGAGATAGCCTTTTGTTGCCAGCCCTGATGGAACTGATGTTTATGTCAAGGCTTTTGGCTCCTAACACTACAGAGCTACAAACCTTCAAGTGACTAAGGTATCACTGCATTCCAAATGCAGAAGCCATGGTTCTTCTGTGCAAAAGTACTAAAATGCACCCCTTCCTGACTCTGTGTCACATTTTGTTATCTGGGCCTAAGTGGGTACTACATAAGTTTCAATGTGAAAGCAGTTCCTCTAGCTTCTATTTACAGATCCTCTCTCCTTAAGTCCTGGGATTGTTTCTAGGAAGCTGGATCAAGTGATTAATGTCGAAAACAGGTAACATGCAACCTTTCTTTTACCCCATCATTCCTAACATATCCCCACTCACTCTGTCTCCAAAACCCTTATTGGAAATAAATTGTCTCATATAAATTAAGTTGGTCAAATTTATTTACTTGTGCAATCCCCCAAATACACCAGATATATCTGACATAGGTACATTTCACCATTAATTTACCAGCTCCTAAACTACTTTGGGTAACATAGTAGGCGCTCATTAAATATTTATTGAATAAATGGATGAGTAGATGAGTGCATTTCTCAAACCATATCTTAGAATTAATGAATGGATGAGTGCATTTCTCAAACTGTATCTTAGTAATGACAGCTTTCACTCCAGTTAGTGTACCCTTCTCTTTTCCTTTCCACCACTATGCCCTTCTCCCTCTCCACCACTAGCACATACATGCACACACATAAACACAGGAATACATGCTCGGAAAGTGACATATGGAAAGGAAAACTAATTTTAGATTTATTTAAATAAAGTTGTTCAAACAAATGACTAGCTACATTTTCCTAAATTTTCTGTTGCAGTTTCCATTGTTCATTCTTTTTAGAACATGTTTCTAACTTTACCACATTAACTACTTAAAAAAAATTAAGACACCTTTTGTATGCCAGTTTTTCTCTGATGCAGTCTCTGACTTCCCTAGGGAGAAAAAAAAAGTTAAAAAAAAGTCACATACAGAACTTATCTAAAATTTCAATTCATCACTGAAGAGCAGTTATTGTAATAATCAACTTTAATGAGTCAACTCAATCATTTGAACAATAGAAGAGCATAGTAAATAGCTGTTTACTGTAGTGAAATTGACCCAGAGCCACAAAGTGTTGAAACAAAAAGCAGTGTTTTTTTGATGATGGAGGTGGATAGGTGTGACCAGGAACAAATATGGTACTATTTTATTTTTGTCTGAAGTTAATGTCTGTGTTAAGCTAGAACTTTACTATGATTAATTGTAGCATGTGTTCTCTCCATTTCTTAGCTATAAAATGAAGAATGAACTGATCTGGTCTAAAATGCACACCCTCTCTTTTATTACCAAGTGCCAAAGACTCAAAAGTGTTCTGCCCATAGCAATCTCATTATAATATGGGCTAAGGATCCAACTTGAATGAGGTTATTATATAACCATGTTTTGGGAGATATTCAGTATCACTTCAAAAACTTGATCTTTTTTCTTGATTTTAGTTTCCTTTATCCTAAACATTCTGCCTTATTTAGCCTTCGGTGACACTACTATATAAGAATTTTAGTGCATATATAGAAATGTAATTTTGTTCATTTGTTTACTATAAACAACAAATATTGATTTATTCATATGTACAATATATTTTTGTTGTATTTATCTACTATGATTAGTAAACATCAACAGAAGGATGTGCTGGATGAACTGTGTCCCCATACAATGAAGGCAAATGTGTTTCTACTTCCCTTGGAGGCCATTTTAGTACTCAGATTTTCTATCGACAAGATGCTAGCCCACCTGTCCTAGTCCTTTTTTCTTGGGAAGATTGGGAAATCCATACTTAAAAATAACTGTGAGAATAAATAATTCTCAACTGCATTGAGAATTCAGTAGAATTTCTGTTTAAAATTCTCCCTTAAGTGAATAATAAACCATCTCCAAAGACAGTTTAGGAGCTATTGAAATGGCTCCTTCCTTCACATCGATAAATTTATTATCTGTTTTAGAAAAACCTACAAGAATAAGCAACAATGATGTTAAGTGTACAAATTTACTTAACATAATCAATAGTGGAGGATGGAATGTCACAGCCAGGAAGTCCCTTAGAGTGTGATTCAGTCAAACTTTAGATATTAAAGGAGGTTTAAGTGCAAAACATAATCTTCACTCTTTGCTCTAAGTCTATACATTTAATTCATTTTGAAATGTCACATAGAAGTAAATATATATAGTTTATGAATATAAAAAGCCAAGACAGGCACAATTAGTAAAAGGTCAAGGCACTCTGTCAGATCATTATTGAAGATTTCAGAATCTCCCTTATACTTTATTTAGGAAATAAGTAACAAATCATTCATGTCCACTTATAATATTACAAAAGGCTACTCTGAATGTGTTATGTATTAGTTTCCTGTTGATGCTGTAACACATTATCCCAAACTCAGTGACTTAAAATAATACAAATTTGTTATCTTGCAATTCTCTAGGTTAGAAGTCCAACATGGATCTCATTGGAATAAAAATCACGTTGTTGACTGAGGTGCTTTCTTTCTGGAAGCTCTATGAGAAAAATTGGTTGCTTTGCCTTTTCCAGTACCTAGAGGCCACCTGCATTCCCTGGCTCAGGGCTCCTTCCTCCATCTTCAAAGCCAGCAATATTGCACTTCTGTAAAAATTCTTTGGTAGTTACATCACCCTGTAACTCTTCTCTGCCTGTGTCTTCTACTTTTAAGGATGCTTGTGATTCATACTGGGCCTACCTAGATATTCCAGTATAATCCCCCAATTTTAATGTCAGAAACATTAATTCCAACTGAAATCTCAATTTAATTGTCTCTGACATATCCACAAGTTTCTGAAATAAAGAGATTCAACTCTGTAGGGGTGGCCATTATCTGCCTTCTATATTTAATATATCTTATTTTCCTCATACTACCTGGAAAAAAATTAGAAGTCATTGTCTAGATCATTCCACATGGAAACACCATTATGGTTTCAACTGGGAAGCTACTTGCTTCTCTCTTAATTAGATATAATATATCTTAACTTGAAGGGTTTTTCCTCCTGTTCTACCCTCCCAAAAGCTGCCTAGATTTTGGCTGTGGACAAAGGGAACACAATGATGCCTTTGCATAAGAAATTGTTGAAAGGGAAATTTAAAGGTATGTCCTCAAAGGAGACAGGAAACTACAGATATACTTACTGAAATTGCCTGCAATGAAAGTTAGGTAACCTGGAAGGAAACTCTTCTGATAGTGCATTTATCTTACAGGAATTTTATAGTTACTGTATAGGAAAATACTTGTATACTACAGAAGTTTCAAATAGAAGTAGCACCATTCTGTTGAATACACTTTATGGAAAGTTCTTAAGTGAGATCCTTCTTTGTGTTAATTATGAGTATAAACATAATGTCTCTCAGAGCAAAAAGAATTGAAAGGTCTTAGGTTGTCAGACACACATCTGCCTCACACATACGAGATCCTCATAACCTCTTCCTCTTTGGCTAAATTGTAGTGATTCAAAGGGCAGTGGGGTAGGGGTGGGGAGAGGTTGGTGATTAGTGTCATAACTGAAAAAAACATAATGAAATCTGCTGAGTTTTAAGAACAACAAAATTATCATAAACTTATTGTTTCCAGTTATTGCTATTTTTAATAGAAAATAAATTTATAAATTTTTAATCTCTTCTAAGAATTCAAGATCTTGTTCAGTCTTCTTCCCTCAGTGCATGCTTATCAGAAACACCTGAGAAGCTGTTTAAATGTCCCATGTTCTCCCCATCTTCCTTACTCTGTCAATGTCATTAAGTGATGCGGAAATAGAGCCTGAAGTATGGACAAGCTTTCAAAGAAAAACAGTTTCAAGGTGATTATGATATCACAAATAGTTAAGAATCATGTATATTCATTTCTATATAAATGTTTAATACAGTATAAAAAGTGTTGAGTGGGAGTGAAAAAGAGGGGATTTCAAGAAGACTAAGTCTTCTTAGCACCAATCAGATGCTACCTGACTCTTGCAGGATATAAATTTAGTGGGAGAAAAGCATTCAGTTTAGAGGAAATCATTTGAATCAAGGCATAGATGCAAAAACACAGCCATGTATTCTTGAAACTCAAGTGGTTCTGTTTTGTTACAGAATACATTGTGAGCGAAGGTTTGGGGAGTGTTGAGGTAGGCAGACACCACAAATCAGATCAAATGGTATTATATACTAAATAGTATAAAACTTATGCTCTATTCAATTAACAATGGAAAATCACTGATGAGTTTTGATATATGGAAACTACATTGGTTAATATATTGGTGTCACTATCAAAACTGACTTTTAAAATGCCACACACTATCCACAAGATCCCAATTCTGGTAATATCAACTGGTCCTCTGGTGGACTGGGAATGAAAGTGTGAAATTTAGATAGGAGTTTGAAAATTATTTCAACCAAATTCTTAAACATAGTTGAGAATCCCAGACATACTGATATACATTCTAATAGTAACTCATAAAATAACTGAGTATGGAGACCTCATTAAGAAGTTTGCTCATGCCTGTAATCCCAGCACTTTGGGAGGCCAGGGCGGGCAGATCACTTGAGGTCAGGAGTCCAAGACCAGCCTGGCCAACATGGCAAAACCCCATCTCTACTAAAAATACAAAAAAATTTGCTGGCTGTGTGATGCGCGCCTGTAATCCCAGCTACTCGGGAGGCTGAAGCAGGAGAATCTCTTGAACCTGGGAGGTGGAGGTTGCAGTGAGCCGAGATCGTGCCATTGCACTCCAGCCTGGGAGACCGAGCGAGACACCCTCTCAAAAAAAAAAAAAAAAAAGAAGAAGTTTGCTGTTAAAGAGATTCTGACCTGTAACTTGAAATGTTTGCTCCATTTTTTCTGTTAAGAATGCTTACCAATTTATAAGACTCAGTTCCATACTTTGGTCTTTCCATCCTCTATCTAAGTATCATTTGATCATAAAATTATCACAATAGAATTCGCTTATTAATTCAGTGAAAGTGGTAACTTTCAAAACCAATACAAGTATTTTCGGTTACTTTGATAAATACAAAAGAAAATACAAAAAAGAGGACTGTGTCATTGTTTAATGTTGTAGAAACTTCATCACAGTCACTACCAGCAAAACCAAGATTCTCATTGTCACCTCAAAGACTTGTGAAGTTTAAGTTGGAGAATTGTATTCAGAGTCATTTATACACTTTAAAAAATTACCTGGGCTTGTCCCTATTGTGCTAAGTAAACCAGAAGGTTTTTTTACTTGGTAACAATGTAAATGTGGAATAGCGCATCCTCCAAAGGCTATATACCACAATGATAATTCATTCATTTAACCATTGATTCAGACATCACCTTTATTGACATAAATTCATGTATATATGTATGTGTGTACACAAACACATACATACTTGTCTTTCTTAGTCTTTCATAATGAAGAGGAAGAGGCCCATATCTTTTATGTCAGATGATGAACAGCTCTTTGAGGGGTAAAAAGTTAAGGATATTTTAGGATAGGACAGGGTAGTATAGGGTAAGGCAGACAGGATATTTTAACGCTTGTGGAAGATGAAATATAGAGGAGAAAGTTCTGAAGCCAGAAACCAGCGAGAGGGATATTTTAAAAATCTAGGCAAGACATACTGGTAGCTTGGAGAAGAATGTAGTGGTGGGAGTCACAAGAACAGGTTTAACCTGATTCCATATCTTGAAGGCATAGCTCACAGAATTTGCTGATGTTTAGTTGGAGCCTTAGAGAGAAATATACGTATAAGGTTAGCTCTAAGACATTCAATATTCAATCTGAACAATCAGAATAATGAAACTGTAATTATTAAGATGGAGAAGACTGTAAGAAAAGCAGAGGGGTGTGTGTGTGTGTGTGTGTGTGTGTGTGTATCGAAAGTTCAGTTTTGTGTACGTCAAGCTGGAGATGTGTTTTATACATTCAAGCAGAAACGTCAAATCAGTGTTGAATTTGGCAGTTTGGATTTCAGGGCAAAGAACAAGGCAACAGATAGACATTTGGGAATTGTCAGCACATAGAACAGGTATCAGTTTTCTGCTTACCTTTTATGATCTATGTGATGAATGAGATCAACTAAGATAAAGGGAGAAACAAGGTCAGAACACTGAGCCCTTGAGGCATTCCAACTTTGAGAGCAGGGGAAGGAGGAAAAGCCAGAAAAGGAGACTACAAAGGATTTACCAGAGAGCAAGGAGGAGAATGGATGGAGTCATGCCCCATGAGGCAAAGTGGGAAAAAGGAAGTGTTTCAAGAAGTTATTGATTAAGAAGTTGTGGTAATCAAATAAGAAGAAGAATGGGAATCAACCTTTGGTTTAGCAGGATTGAGGTAACTGATAGTCCACCATTCAGTAGCATGGTGGACTCTGAGAAGTATGGGAGTAGAGAAATATTATTATCAAATGTGAGCAATTATCTTGGGCATTTTGCTGTAATGGGTAGCAGACAAAATGAAAGGGAAATGTTGAGTGAAGAAAAACTAATTTTTAAAGATGAGAACTGTTTGAGACCAGCCTGGCCAATATGATGAAACCCCGTCTCTACTAAGAAAAAAAAAATACAAAAATTAGCCAGGTGTGGTGGCACGCGCCTGTAGTCCCAGATACTCCAGGGCTGAGGCAGAAGAATCGCTTAAGCCCGGGAGGCAAAGGTTACAGTGAGCCGAGATCACACCATTACACTCCAGCCTGGGCAACAGAGCGAGACTCCGTCTCAAAAAAAAAGAGATGAAAACCATACCTCATAGAATCAATCTAGGATGATGTGAAAACTGTTGATATGAGAGAAATACAGAAAGATTTCTGGAGCAAGATTCCTGAGTGGAAAGGAGATAATGGAATCCAGTGAACATGTGAATAGGTTGGCTTTGAATGGGACTGCTGAATGCCATCCATAGCAGTGAAAGCAAGGAATTAAAATGCAGATGAGTTGAAAGGGACTGTGGGGAAGCAAATATATTTTTATGTAATTGCTTATATTAGTCAATAAAATAGTAAGCATGAACATTGAGGATTGTAGGGAGGGAGAGGTGTTAGAGATTTGAGGAGAAATGTGAAGACATGTGTAGTATGTTATAGAGTAAATAGATGAAGAAAATGTCATAAACATTAAAACATCTCAAGACAGAAATAAATTCAGAGTCCAAATCAGAAAATATAACTTTATTTATTTTTTCTTCTGATTTCCAGTTCAACAGATGTCTTTTTAATAAAAGTACTTTGGTTTCTTATCCAAGGAGTAAAATAGAAACCACATCCACACTCAAGCGAATTCAGGATAGTTTCCTGTCATAAAAACATAAATGGAAAAACATAAACATGAGAATTCAGGAAGATATAGAAAAAAATGACGATAAAATGGATTTCAGGCTGTGGTAAGGAAACAAGACAGAATACAGATTTTAAAAACTAGAGATGAACAAAAATGCAGAAGTAAACAACAGAGCAAGATGTCTCACGCTACTTTTGAAATTTCACATGAAGCATTAAAGAACTAAAGAAGTCGCATAAAAGCAGAGAGAGCAAATCAAAGTTGGTGTATGTCTTAAAATAGTGTTTGAAACAGAAATTTAGAAATGTAGCCTATAAAGAAAATAGAAATAATTTTAGAGTAGAACATTTTAGTGTATATGAAGACAGTGGTCTATAGTAAAGGAGGTGTAGGATTTTTTTAATGTCTGCATATTTAGGGAAAACACAGATCCATATTTTTCTATATTGTGAATAATTGAGGAATAAAGATCATCATTATGCATTTATATAGGTTCCCTTATTCACATGCAATAACAAAGGATGGATTATATATATATATATATATCCACATATTTATGTGTGTGTGTATATATATATATATATCCACATATATATGTGGAGATACACACACATACACACACACATAAACACTCATATAGGCATTTAAGCTGTGGTGATGTTTCAACGGTAGTGTTTGGAGAAAATTTTAATTCCAACAACCTGCCAATTTCCCTGTGTCTATATATTTCTTTCTCTTCAATGATAGTTACTTGATTCGTGCCTATATTTAATTATTAAAAGCAGTTTATTTCTATCTACATCTACCTCTGAGTATTGAGAGCATATAGATTGCTTCTCAATAAGAATGAAGTTTAAATTCTTTAATACCAAACTAAATCTTTAATTGTTCGATATACTGCTTCTGCAGAAGTTCACCTGAGAAAATTGATATTTGATAAGAATATTCAGAGGGAAATGTGAATCTAACTTATAAGCAAGATTCTTCCAGGTTTATACTTTTACTAGACCGGATTAATATAAAGCCATATTCCTGGTCCATAACACTTAGGCCTTGGAAGAGTTGCTTTTATGAACTACAAATTAATACTCATCCCTTAACTTTTCTCAGGTGTGATATACGAAACATACATGATTGGCACATCTGTAGTTTTAAAAGCTGTCTGATGTTGCTGTCAAGGCTATCTCATTACTCTGTTCATCATTTGAGAATGTCTTTCTGGAGCTACAGTAGAGGGATATTTCTAGGCCTAGGTCAGAAGGTCAGTTACTAAGAAGGCAGTCTAAAAATATCATGCCCAGGGGGACACAAATTGTAAAGCAAAGAATAAACAGAGTTCAAGAACTAGAAATTTAGGTCAACAGAAAATGCCAAACCTGGAAGATCTATAGCAGAACTTAGTCTGACTGATAAATTGAGAGGGCAGCCTAGAACAAAGATGATGGATTGATGTGCCTGGTTCTGGATGAAAGTCATGAACACTGATTCTGTCTTCTGTCCCTTCACCTTTAAGCCATCTCACCATACCCATACTCATGACAGGGGTGAGATATTTGTACTCTGAGTGTTTTCCATGTAAGCATTTTTAACTTGAGCCTGTTCTTATTTTGATCTCCATGCTAGGTTGATATGAAAATTTGGGACTTATAATATCTTAAATCTTTAAGTGTTTGTAAATACTGAAATACTGAACAACCTTGATATTCTGATGGTTTGAGCTTGCAATCTGCTATTCACTCCTAATTTGTTTTCAGCTTCTAATATTGTATAACCATTGAGCTCTTAGGAATCCATGCCTAACACAAAATCAATGGGATGGTTAACACACACGGAGATAAATACAGATATAGATATAAATATAAATAAATATCTGACCAAATTGTTCCAGATGTCCCTCTGTTATTATCTTAGCAAGATGTATAAAGTCCTTATTATTCTCTAGACCATGGATCTTGGGAATATAAAGTCGCAAAAGATAAGCAGAGTTGGCCAGGCATGGTGGCACACGCCTGTAATCCCAGCACTTTGGAAGTCTGAGGAGGGTGGATCAAGAGGTCAGGAGATTGAGATCATCCTGGCTAACATGGTGAAACCCCGTCTCTACTAAAAATACAAAAAATTAGCCAGGTGTGGTGGCACACACCTGTAGTCCCAGCTACTCGGGAGGCTGAGGCAGGAGAATTTCTTGAACCTGGAGGCAGAGGTTGCAGTGTGCCAGGTTCTCACCACTGCACTCCAGCCTGGCGACAGAGTGAGACTCCCTCTCCAAAAATAAAAATAAAAAAAATAAAAAAAAAGGAAAAGTAGAGCCTGAGAGTAGATATCTACTTGCTTGTCTGTCCAAAAGTCAGAAACATGTTTGAATTTGCCTACCTTGAAATCTTCAGTGTATTGCTTAAAGTTGCTTCAGCATAAGTGATTTTGTCCCCTCTCTCCCTTATAAAGAAAATCAGAACATATTCATTAAAACCTTCACAATGTATCTTTTTTGCATTACTTGTATACATATCAATAGTGGTTTCTTACATAAGGAAATATTTAAATGGTAATGCTTCAAGTAACCCTACAGTCAGAGCATATTGAACAGTACAATCACATAGTTTTCTGCAAGGTTAATATTCACTATTGTTAGAATCTCATTTTAATTATTTAATATGCTCAGTCAACATATCCAAGAGTCCTATAAGCTATCTCAATAATTGGGCTTGGCGGATCCTTCATTTGGGGGTAGTAGAAGGATGGTATTATGAGGTTACCTTTATAAGGAACTGTTCCAGGCTGCAAGCATCATGGGATCATCTGATATACAGCAAAGTCTGGAGCAAATTTGAGTATCTGGCCATACCTCCTCTTGACAGTAGCATTGGGACCTTTCCAGAAAGTAAGGTAAAGAAACCATCAAGATAGTTGGCCAAATGCAATGATGCCTACCGATCTGGTAAAGTGAACATTTCCAGGCAGGAAAAGGAAGTTTGCTTACAGATTGATAAAGCACTTTTAACCAGGCATAGCTCATCTATTCAGCCACATATCTGATACCAGGAAAATTCCCCAACATGCCAATAACAAGGCTGAAACTCCCAGTTAATTTCACCAGCATTTTTGCCCACATAATCCTAATATACACAAGTAACCTGGCTCTCAAACTGTTTCTAACTGGATTTAGGAGCATCACACAGTTTTGAGGTAATAACAATGCCTCAATCCTGAGAATTCCACTAAGTTGGCACTAAGACATCTCATGAATAAATAGATGCCATGGAAAGAAAATTCTGCTTAGAAGCAATTATGATATCTTTCTCAGAGTTATGCTTTCAGGAATGTTCCAGTTATGATTTTTTTTTCACCAAATGTCTATGCTGCTCCATTTTCTGTCTCACTTGCTATTCACTGGCTATTCATTGGAATGCCCACACACTAAAGTTATATTGTCATTATCATCACCTTTACAATGTTTAAGCTTCTGTTGTAACTGAAATTATTTTTTTCTCAGGCTGCAATAAATGTTTTTTGACTAGAAAAGATGAAAATATCTCAGAGATTTGGAAAGCAGCGTAAAGGAAATTTGGCACCTAGAGTCTTTGATGCCACAAATAGCTATGTTTACCTGTCAAAAGCCGAGACTCCAAAAACACTTGGAAACCAGCTTGAAATGTGGGTTCATTGTGTCATTCTCCTCCTGTGTGGGGGCCTGTTTTCTATTAAGAAACAATATCTTAATGGTTTTAATATCTGGTAGAGTACATTCCTCCTTAATAATCATTTTTTTCAAAAATGCTTTTATTATTCTTGTCTATGGATTCTTGAAAATGAAGAACCTTTGTATACTGACACACACTCCAAAAAATATATTTGGAATTGTGGTTTTCCATTGAATTTGAGTTTCTAGACCAATTTACAAAAGAAAGATGTCTTTAAAATCTCTTATGCAAAACTTTCTGGACCAGATGTGTTTCAAAACTCAGAAATTTTTATACTTTGAGAAGTTAATATGGGATCAATACTACATGAAGTTTGTACAAGGCCTATAGTAAAGATTTGTAATCAAATACGCTATTTTGGCCCTAAGAGGGGAGAAAAAAAAATCTATAAGTAGGTCACAAATAGGTCACAAAAGTCCACGTAAGGGTTTTTTACAAAACAACTTTCTAAAAAGATTGGTATGTTTTAAAGATTGGTATATTAGGAAAAGACTGGTATTTTGTATGCCAGATGTGGGTTTTGCGGACCAGCACTTTGTTCTCCCATCCAGAATCATAAAACATCTCTCCATTTATTCAAAGGGGTGAAAGTCAATTTTAAAAAGACATTAATAAAGATTACAGTGTTAACATAAGTTTCATGCATATATTATTAGATTTGCTCTATTTGTTTATCAATTTAGCAACAATAGTGAATAATATGAAGCTTCTAAAAATTTATAAGCAAATTATTAAGGACTACTATATAATATTTTTGTATAATTACTCTGCATTAACTCATATTACTTGAATTCTTATTAGTTCTAATAACATTTCAGTTGATTATTTAGGTAAATAAAAATGTTCTGTTTTTGAATATTTGTGTTTCATATTAATTCTCCAATTTTTATTGCAATAATATAAACATCTCAAACACTATTAAGAAATACTAAAGGCTTAAGCCTATATTTTCTTTATCTTCAGTCAGAATACACATAAATATAAATGTATTCAGTCAAAATATATAGCTATAAATGTGTTCACATATGCATATGTATGTATGTACTTATATATAATATATATTCATGTATTCATATACCATATATAGTAAGTAAACTTGGCAGTATGTGCGTGTATATGTACAGCTTCAAGCTAATAAAGCTAATCTCTGTAGAGGAGGCAATAAGAATTCCCTTTATTAAGAATTATTGTCTAAACAGGGTTGACATTTTGACATATATTGAAATGTTCTAATAGTTCCTTTCTTTGACCTCACCAAGTGATGAAATATATCATGTTATTTTACAATGTTAAATCACCCTTTTTTTAAAATAAGCATTTGGTCATGGTCTATTTTCTTTTACATATTTGCTATATTTCATCCATTAATCTTTTTATACTCATAATTGGATTGGTTTTTGGCTGTTATTTGTCATACTTTTGTTTCAAGTTCACACTAGCTTCATATAATGTAAATACGTCCTTCTCTTTTGTTTTCTTGAGCATTTCATATAATAAAGGTACTCTTCTTATGTTTAAAATAACACAACAATGCTAACATGTGATTTACGGGGGTTAATTCTTTATTCAGTGTACTGACTTTATCCCTGATTTGTGTATATTTAAGTTTTCTATTTTCTTGAGTACATTTGTAGCATCAATATTTCCCCAATACATAAAACATAACTATAACTTTAAATTGTTTCTGTGGTGATTTTATAATTAAATACTTCTAATAAACTTTGAATATGATAAATGCATCAAAATACTCATTTTATAATATTTATGCTTGTGAAATTATATTTTATGTAAACATTTAAATACATTATTTTATATTGTTTAGTTATAAAATTCTATACTTAAATACAACCATATTATAAATACTATATGTACATAAAATTATAAAACCAAAAAATTTTGAAATAGCATTCTGTGTGATATTGTACACTCAGATCTTTCTTAATAGTTTGGGCTTACCTGTAAAACAAAAAATTATTTATTCAATACTAGTGTAGACTTTTCTTAAAGCATATTTGTCACACAGATATCTGAGGCAAAATACAAGTTTTCTGACCTTTACATTACCAAATAATTTTTTCCGAGCGATGATTCTATCATCTCCTAGGAATTCTTAAACTGTCAGATGGGTAATGAATATTCAAAGGCTTAATCCATTCACTACACATGATCTCTCCAATGATAGATATTTTAACCAATAGGACAATATTTTGTTAAACTGACTTATTATCACAACTTTGTAATGTTAAATGGCAGCACCAGTAATAAGTTTAGGAAGATTCACAAATCAATATCTAATCGGTAAGCCAACATAGTGGTTTCATATAAGCACCAGTTAATAATTACCAAGCATTACTTAAGAATCATGCCTCTAATATAATGAATCTGTGTATTAAGAACAATCATTTTAATAAGTCACAGTCGACTATATTCTGCCAGAAGAATTGTTTATCACCAGCAATCATGCAATTAATTTTATCTGAATTTGAGGTCCTCAACAAAAAAAAACTTTTAAAAAATATTTTTTAAATATTAACATCTTTATGCTGACTTTATGATACTACTCGTATTTCCAAATAGCTGCCTACTTGAATATTTATGTAGTACCATCTGGACCTAATGAATGGATAGTAAGCATAACAAAATAAAAGACAGAGGAGAGAGGAGATGTTAATTGTAAGAGAAGACTAGTGAAGCTCAAGTTTTGAATGGATAATTTGTCATCATAAGGTTTCTACATTTCTTAAATCTATGGACTTTTTGATAGTTGGAAGTCATATCTTCTTCAATAGAAGGTTGATATAACAATGAATTGAATAGTTTAAGTATATTCATTGAAATCTACTAGTATGCACAAAACATAGACATTTTTTATTCTATGTAATGTTATTTTTATCAGTTTCATACCTATTAAATCATCATAAATTCCATTATTAAACATGTGAGTTGGCCCCAAATTCACAGATTAAACAAGGGTATAGGTGAAAAATGCTATACTGGGAACCAAATAACTCAATATATTACTGTTTAATTAGTTGTAGGTCCTTTTTCAAGGTAGTTAAAGTATGTTGTTCTCAGTCTTCTCATTAGTAAATAAATTTGTATAATAAGGAATCATTAAGAAAAAATGAAGAAAGAAAACTACAGGCCAATCTTCCTGATGAACATAGACACAAAATTCCTCAACAAAATACTGGCAAACCAAATCCAGCAGTACCTGAAGAAGTTAATTTGCCACAGTCAAGTAGGCTTCATTGCTGGGATGCAAGGTTGGTTCAACATATGCAAATCAATAAATGTGATTTACCACATACACAGCATTAAAAATAAAAACCACTAGTTAATCTCAATAGAAGCAGAAAAAGCTTTCAATAAAATCCAACATCTTTTAATGATAAAAACTCTCATGCGTTTTTAGGCATTGAAGGAATACACCTCAAAATAATAGGAGCCATCTATGACAAACCCACAGCCAACATCATACTGAATGGGCAAAGGCTGGAAACATTCTTTTTGAGGACTAGAACATGACAAGGGTGCCCACTCTCAACACTTCTATTCAACATATAATAGTACTAGAAGTCCTAGCCAGAGCAAGCAAGCAAGAGAAAGAAATAAAAGACATTCAAATAGGAAAATAAGAAGTCACACTATCTCTCTTTCCTAACAATATAATTTCATACTGAGAAGACACTGAAGATTTCACCAAATAGTGCTTGGAATTGACAAACAACATCAGTAAAATTTCACAACACAAAATCAATGTACAAAAATCAGCAGTATTTCTATATACAAATAATGTTCAAGCTGAGAGCCAAATCAAGAATGCAATATCATTTACAATAGCCACACACACAAAAAAATTACCTAGGAATACTTCTAAACAAGAAAGTGAAAGATCTCTACAAGAAGAACAATAACATACTGCTGAAAGAAATCAGAGATGACATAAAAAAATGGAATAACATTCCATGTTCATGGATTGGAAGAATCAATATCATTAAAATGATCATATGGCCCAAAGCAATTTATAGATTCAGTGCTATTCCTTTCAAACTACCAACAACATTTTCCACAGAAATTAAAAAAAACTATTCTAAAATTCATATGGCACCAAAAAGATCCCAAATAGCCAAAGCAATCAGAACCAAAAAGAACAAAGCTGGAGGCATCACATTACCTGACTTCAAACTATGCTACCAGGCTATAGAAACCCAAACAGCATGGTACTGGTACAAAAACAGACACATAGATCAAATGAACAGAATAGAGAACCCAGAAATAAACCTGCACACCTACAGCCATCTAATCTAATTAAACTAAAGAGCTGCACAGAAAAAGAAACTAACAACAGAATAAACAGACAATCTGCAGAAGGGGAGAAAATATTTGCAAACTATGCATCTGACAAAGTTCTAATATCCATAATCTGTAAGGAACTTAAATAATTCAACAACCAAAAAAAAAGTGGGCAAAGGACATGAACAGACCCTTCTCAAAATAAGACATAAAAGCGTCCAATGAACATATGAAAAAATGCTCAACTTCATTATTCATAACAGAAATGTAAATCAAAATCACAATGAGATATCATCTTACATCAATAAGAATGGCTATTATTAAAAAGTCAAAAAATAACAGATGCTGACAAGGCAGCAGAGAAAATGGAATGCTTACACACTGTTGGTGAAGAATATAAATTAGTTCAGCTGCTGTGGAAAGCATTTTGAAGATTTCTCAGAGAATTTAAAAATAGGACTTCCATTCATCAGAACAATCCCATTATTGCTCTGGGATATATAAACAAATGAGTATAAGTCGTTCTACCGTAAATACGCATGCACTATTCATAATATCAAAGGCATGGAATCAACCTAGATGCCCATCAGCAGTGGACTGCATAAAGAAAATGTGGTACGTGTTACTGGAAGGAAGGCCTTGAATGTGAGTTGTCCAGGTCCTTGGTGTTTTGGACAAAGAATTGACAAAACGCACAAAGTAACAACAAAACGAAGGAATGAAGCGGCAAAAGCAGAGATGTATTAAAGCAAGAAGGCACTTCGCAGGGTGACAGTGGGCCCCAGCAAGTGGCTCAAGGGCCCAGTTACAGAGATTTCTGGGGTCCCTATTGGCTACCCCTTATCTGGATGAAGGATTTGGCCCGTGGCTAATTAACAACTGAGGTGAATTGGCCCCGGGGTCAATAGGGCCAGAGTGAGAGAGTGTCCTATGCAGACGAAGGGATGGCCCTTGCTTGGCCCAGGGCACTTTTCCTTTCCATCTGAAACTTGTTGGAAGCAGGAGGATTGTAGGGAGAGAAGCCTTTGATCCTTTGTTACTTGGGCCTGGGGAGATGAGGCTTTTCCTTTTTGTCCAGTTTTAGGAAGTTGGTGTTAATTGGCCTTAAGTTCCCTGCCTTCAGACCCAAGTGTCTCCCTTTTGATCCAGCTTCAGGAAATTATCATGATTTGGCCTTAGATGCCCTGCCTGCATACCTTGGTGTTTTCCTTTTAATTCAACTTAAAGAAGTCAGCACAAATTAGCCTGAAGTTTCTCTGCCTCCAAACCCTGTTCTCCTGCCTCAGTACCTTTGCACCGTGGAATACTACACAGCCATATAAAGGAATGAAATAATGTCCTTTGCAGCAACACGAATGCAACTGGAGGCCATTATCCTAAGCAAATTGACACAGAAACAGAAAACCAAACATTGCCTGTTCTCAATTATAATTATGTCAGAGCTAAACACTGGGTACTCAGGGACATAAAGATGGCAACAGTAGACACTGGGGACCACTAGAAGGGGGAGAAAGGAAGAGAGCAAGGTTTGAAAAGCTAACTATTGGGAACTATGCTCAGTATCTAGATGAGAAGATCAATCATACCCCAAACCTCATCAGTACACAATATACACATGTAACACTCCTGCACATGTACCTGCTGAATCTAAAAGTTGAAATTACATATATATAAATTAAATTAATATAAATTACATATAAATTATATAAATATAAATTATATATAAATTATATAAATATAAATTATATCAATATAAACTATATATAAATTATATAAATATAAATTATATATAAATTATATATAAATTATATAAATATAAATTATATAAATATAAACTATATATAAATTATATAAATATAAATTATATATAAATTATATAAATATAAATTATATATAAATTATATAAATATAAATTATATATAAATTATATATAATTATATAAATATAAATTATATATAAATTATATATAAATTATATAAATATAAATTATATAAAAATTATATATAATTATATAAATATAAATTATATAAATATAAATTATATAAAAATTATATAAATATAAATTATATATAAGTTATATAAATATAAATTATATATAAATTATATAAATATATATAAATTATATACATATAAATTATATATAAATTATATATAAATTATATACATATAAATTATATATAAATTATATATAAATTATATAAAGATAAATTATATATAAATTATATAAAGATAAATTATATATAAATTATATAAATATAAATTATATATAAAAATTATATAAATATGAATTATATATATGAATTATATAAATTATATAAATATAAATTATATATAAATTATATAAATATAAATTATATATAAATTATATAAATATAAATTAAATATAAATTATATATAAATATAAATTATAAATATATATTATATAAATATAAACTATATAACTAAATTATATAAATATAAATTATATATAAAAACTATATAAATATAAATTGTATATACATATAAATTATATATATATATATATGAGAACTATTCCTTTCAAATTCTTAATGGTGAATAGTCTTTGGACTATTAATCTTATTTGACATCTTCATAAGTAAAATGACTCCCACTAGTTTTCATAGATTTTGTTTCTTGCAGAGGGAATGAGTGGTTGTTAAGAAGTGAAAAATAATCCATGACCATAAACCAAAGGAGAATGAGTATGTTTTTTACTAAAATGAACTAAAACAGTTTGTTTTATTTCTGGAAATCATAAAAACAATTTAGAAACTAATCACTCAACTCAAGTTGAAAGGAATTCCAAATGGAATAAAAAACTTAAGTAAAAACATATAGGCATAAAATTATTAGAAAACAAAAACAACAACTATAAGAAGAAACATGTATTTAGCATGTACTTTGTGGTAGGTGAGAACTGAGTGAAAAAATTTCAGAATTTGATGAGCTGCTAAATATCATGCTAGTGGCTTAACATGGGTTTCATATGGACATTGTGCAGTTTTTTATAGTACTTTACACTATAAAAGTTGTCAAATGCATATGTCAGAGTTTTCTTATTTCTCCAGAGCTGGTTGTTAAACATTTACTAGCATACTACTATCTGCATGTAACTGTTTATCATAAGCCTAATAACTAATCAGCTAAATGTCACAGATGAGAAGACAAGTGGAAAAACTAGAATTGATATCAAGAAAATTATTTTTAAAACTTAAATGCAGACGTAAAATCACAAATGGAGTATTGATATCTTGCATTAAATAAATAACCTGACAAATATAATTTATTTTTTATATGGTAAAGAATTTATACAAATCATAAGATTAGCACTCTGATAAAAATCAAAGTACAGGGAATAAGCGAGCTGAAGAAAAGCATTATGCAAAATTAATATAAAGGAAACAAAATATTCTCTAAACATGTAAGACCCTACTTTTTTCATAAATCAGCAACAAAATATAAAATCTTAATATTATAGATGACAATTGGTTTATCGAGAAAAAACAAACACACATACGTATTCATCCCATTGGTCAAGTTTTGAATGACATATACAGTAAACAAATTTTATGTAAAAACAAATCATCAAATAATATGTATTCATATGCATATACCCACCACATTAATTTTTTGGAAGGATATATAAGAAACTATTGGCAGTGGCAGTCTACTCTCCGTGGATATTATAGGTGTCAGTGAAGATAGGAAGCAGTAGTAAGAGGGAGAATATTCACTTTATATAATTTTATAGCTCGACTTTTAAACCATATGAATGTTTTTATTACAAAAATTAATTCAAGATGGATTAAAGACTTACATGTTAGACCTAAAACCATAAAAACCCTAGAAGAAAACCTAGGCAATACCATTCGGGACATAGGCATGGGCAAGGACTTCATGTCTAAAACACCAAAAGCAATGGCAACAAAAGCCAAAATTGACAAATGGGATCTAATTAAACTAAAGAGCTTCTGCACTGCAAAAGAAACCACCATCAGAGTGAACAGGCAACCTACAGAATGGGAGAAAATTTTTGCAACCTACTTATCTGACAAAGGGCTAATATCCAGAATCTACAATGAACTCAAACAAATTTACAAGAAAAAAATAACCCCATCAAAAAGTAGGCAAAGGATATGAACAGACACTTCTCAAAAGAAGACATTTATGCAGCCAAAAAACACATGGAAAAATGCTCATCATCACTGGCCATCAGAGAAATGCAAATCAAAACCACAATGAGATACCATCTCACACCAGTTAGAATGGCGATCATTAAAAAGTCAGGAAACGACAGGTGCTGGAGAGGATGTGGAGAAATAGGAACACTTTTACACTGTTGGGGGGACTGTAAACTAGTTCAACCATTGTGGAAGTCGGTGTGGCAATTCCTCAGGGATCTAGAACTAGAAATACCATTTGACCCAGCCATCCCATTACTGGGTATATACCCAAAGGATTATAAATCATGCTGCTACAAAGACACATGCACACGTATGTTTATTGTGGCACTATTCACAATAGCAAAGACTTGGAACCAACCCAAATGTCCAACAATGATAGACTGGATTAAGAAAATGTGGCACATATACACCATGGAATACTATGCAGCCATAAAAAATGATGAGTTCACGTACTTTGTAGGGACATAGATGAAGCTGGAAACCATCATTCTCAGCAAACTGTTGCAAGGACAAAAAACCAAACACCACATGTTCTCACTCATAGGTGGGAATTGAACAATGAGAACACATGGACACAGGAAGGGAAACATCACACACCAGGGCCTGTTGTGGGGTGGGGGAAGGGGGAAGGATAGCATTAGGAGATATACCTAATGCTAAATGAGGAGTTAATGGGTGCAGCACACCAACATGGCACATGTATACATATGTAACAAACCTGCATGTTGTGCACATGTACCCTAAAACTTAAAGTATAATAATTAAAAATAAATAAATAAATAAAAATAAAAATATCAAGTAATAAATTTAGAATTTTAAGAAAAAATAAATGTATGATGTAAATTGTATTGTAAATGCTATATAGATATGAATACATAGAATACATAGAGTCAAAAGAGAAGCACATATGTTCAGCATTTATTTTGGTCTCTTTCAGTTTCATATTTACTTTGCTTTACTATCCAAATATTCTGAAGGATAAAATTTAATAATCAGAATAAAATATATATTATGGAATTAGGATATACACTGGGGGCGGTCCTAAACTCCTTTGACAGATGTAGTTAGGAGAATACCATATTTTTAATATTTCATAAAGGTCAATCAAGGGGAAAAAATAAAACATAGCAGGTGGAAAATTTTTCCTCAAGGAAA
This sequence comes from Homo sapiens, assembly GCF_000001405.40. NCBI lineage: Eukaryota > Metazoa > Chordata > Mammalia > Primates > Hominidae > Homo > Homo sapiens. The sequence goes on along the minus strand of NC_000018.10, from coordinate 29,508,620 downwards.
TTGATGCATGAGATTTCTTGGCTTTGAAAATGTTGGGAAAAGTAGCCTTAATACTGAAAATATATGTTGTTCACAGGCAGTTTTTGCATGTACAAAGAATCATTTGAGGATCTTAATAAGATACAGATTTCTGACCTCTACTTCCTGCAGACATTCCTTCAACTGTATGGGGCTTAAGACTGGGTGTGATATCCAGATCATATTTTCACCCTAGTTTGGAACTATTTTCCCTGAAAGCTCACTTGTTAATAATGTATTCAAGCATTATCAAGATTGCAATGGGTAATAGGAGGATGTTTGTGTTCATCTTCAAATAGCAAGTGGTTCAAATTCCTCATTTTACAAATTATAATATTTTCCCATTTAAAATGGGGTATCAGATGCTCTGTGACTGAGGCAAACATTTAGTTAAATGAGAAAAAAAAAAACTAATGAAAAAATGTTTTCAAAAGTGAAGTATTTTAGGCCAGGCGTGATGGCTTACACCTGTAATCCCAGCATTTTGGGAGGCCAAGGCAGGTGGATCTTTTGAAGCCAGGAGTTTGAGACCAGCCTGGTCAACATGGAGAAACTCCGTCTCGAATAAAAATACAGAAATTTGCTAGATGTGGTTGTGCACGCCTGTAGTCCCAACTACTCGGGAGGCTGAAGCAAGAGAATCCCTTGAACCCGGGAGGCAGAGGTTTTAGTGAGCCGAGATTGCGCCGCTTGCACTGCAGCCTGGGGGCAGAGTGAGACTCTGTCAAAAAAAAAAAAAAAAAAAAAAAGAAGTATTTTCTAGAGCCTGCAAGGTTCTGGACATAAGAATGAAACAAAAGATATGTGTACACTATTCACTGGTACTTGTGAAAATGAATCATGACCCTTCCATGATTTCTCTTGAATTGTATAGATTATGAAAGTGATAAATTTTGATGCTATATATATATATAATATTAAAATTCTGAGCCATAAATGTGTGTGTAGAAGTATAGTTTAAATTAGATCTCTCATGAAGCAAATAAAAATCTATCATGAATTCAGAATGGTCATGAGACCCACCTTCTGCTTAAAAAAAATCACAGCCTACATAAGCATTGTATTCAGGGTAAAAACATTATAATGCCTGGAGGGATATTTTTCTTTCATAACTTTATTTCATAAAGACAGTAAGCTGAAAGGATCAGAAAGGAAGAGTGTGTGGTGAAGCTTCAGAAAAAAGTTAAGAAATTCACAACACTTTAAAAAATACTCTGGAGAGAAACAATGTGGCCGGGGAGCCAATTATAAACCGGAATACAAAGGACTTGTTCCACACAGGAGCCACTAAGAAAGCTATCACCCAGAAACAGAAATGCAGGAAACAGAGTATCCATGAGGTGATAACATAAAGCTTCATAACTGAATGAAATATCTCTGAAAGACACAGAAAAAAAGAAAAACAAGGAAAGGCAGCAGGAGAGACTGACCATAAATGCTGATCCATTAAAAAATAAATTTAAAGTGCTGTTAATATGATGCAACATAAACAAGAAAACTATCAAGAAGATAGGAAGGTCATATGATTACCACTGTTTTTGAAAGGATAAAAAAAGGAACACTAACTATTGCATTTTCATTGCATAATTATCATTTATGTGACTATGCAAATGTATAAATATGATAGTCATCAACTCAGGGCCAATTCTTTTTGTTATATCACTCTTTCACTAACCCTCCCCACCATCAATGTATTATTTTGAATTTTGAAACAAATTTCAAATATTGTATCATCTCATTTGTGTGTGTGCCTGTATAATTAAGACAGTTTATTCTATTTTGTGTAGATTTGTAGACCTTGATTCTGGAAAAATTTTATACAATTTGTTTTATATTGTTTAAAAGATTTTTATGTTACCAAGTCAAATCTAAACAATATGCTATATTCAGGGAAACCCAGATTCTCACTCTACCCAGGAGTATTCTGCTTAACAATTTGGTTCTGAGTTTCTGGATTGAGGATTGATGGATATGTGACCCTTTAATATCTGTACTGTCTGATGTAGAAAGTTGAAAATTACAACATAAACTCTGTATCTCAAATACACTTTTCTCTAAATCTCAGATTTATAATAAATGATAGCAAAGTTCTTTCCAGTACTTGTTATATATGCCATTGCACGTACATTATTATTTAATTTTCATAAGAGCCTGGTAGTATAAGAATTATTTGTGTGTAGATGAACAAGAATTCTGAGACAAAGAGATCTTAATTATCTAACACACTCATATATATCAAAATTGGAAATTGATAGTGCTATATAAGAAGGAAACTGAATAAATAAATTACCTACTCTGTGATTGGCTGCATGGAAAACAACAGGTGCAGCACAAAGGAAAAGCTATATTGATAAGCAATATATTTAACTAGGGAATAAGGAGCACAAGGGAATTTCTATCATCAAATTATTACAACAGAATTGAGTCATAATTTGAAGTAACATCAATGAGATGATGTGTTAATCATCTACGTAGCAGTAGCCAAAAAATACAGGGAATTTGGAAAGGAAATAAAATCACAGTGAGACAATGTACAAGTAGTGGTACAAGAGCAAAGACATAAGGTTTCAGAAAATGTGTGTGTGGCCGGGTGCGGTGGCTCACACCTGTAATCCCAGCACTTTGAGATGCCAAGGCAGACGGATCATGAGGTCAGGAGATCGAGACCATCCTGGCTAACATGGTGAAACCATGTCTTTACCAAAAATACAAAAATTAGCTGGGTGTGATGGCACATGCCTGTAATCCCAGCTACTCAGGTGCTTAGGCATGAGAATAGTTTGAACCCAGGAGGCAGAGGTTGAAGTGAGATCGCGCCACTGCACACTCCAGCCTGGCAACACAGCAAGACTCCATCTCAAAAAAAAAAAAAAAAAAAAAAAAAAGAAAGAAAAGAAAAAAGAAAGAAAGAAAAGAAAATGTGCTCTTGTTATTTTTTGTCACATCACTGAAAAGTAAAGGGAAACTGTTGTTACAAAATATTGCATTTGGCACAGGTTAAAAGAAACTGTTCACTTTAAATATATAATAACAAAAATATTTTAATTAATATTATTTTGCCTTATTTTCTCTTATTTAGTTACTTCTCTCATTTAGATATTTGGCCACCTTAGCCCTCTATAACTATTAGCTTTAATTTAATCATTCAAAACTCTTGGCCTTTTTTCATATCTTGGGCTTCCCTTTCTTGCATATGCCTTTTATATGCATGATTGCATTTTTTAAGCCTTCAGAATGTTTAAAGTTTTTTTGAGGAATAACTGACATACAATGAATTGTACATATTTGATGTCTATATTAGATGAATTTGGGCATATGCAAACACTCATGATGCCATCACCACCATGAAGGTAACAGACACAACAACACCTCCTAAACTTTCCTTGTATCCCTTTGATTTTGTTTGTGATAAGAATGCCTACCATGATATCTATTCTCTTAACAAATTTTGAAAAGCACTATACCATATTGTTAACCAGTCACTATGTTATAGATGAGGTCTCTAGGACTTATTTATTTAGCAAAATTAAAACTATAAAGTTTCACTGGACAACATTTGGTTGAAGCCACTGAGTAACAGCTCCACATTTCTCCCACCTCCTGCAACGTCCCTGACAACCCCTGCTGTATTTTCTGCTTCTATAACTTTGACTATTTTAGATACTGCATATAAGTGGGATCATATGGTATTTGTTCTGTGACTGACTTATTTCACTTAACAAAATGTCTGCAAGTTTCATCCATGTTGACACAAATGGTAGGATTTTCTTCCTGTTTAAGGCTGAGTGATATTCCACTGTCTGTATAGAACATGTTTTCTTTGTGCATTTATGGGTCTATGGACACATAAGCTTTTTCCGTATCTTAGCTATTGTGAATAATATTTGCCATGAATATGAGAGTGGAAATATCGCTTCAAGACATCAATTCAAGACTGATATCAATTCTTTTGAATGTATAGCCATAAAAATGATAAATAGACAAGATGGTGGTTCTAATTTTCATTTTCTGAGGAACCCCATACTGTTTTCCTAAGCTGCTGCACTGTTTATATTTTCAATAGTGTACAAAAATTCTAATTTCCCCCACATCTTTGTCAATATATTTTGTGCTTTTTTGTTTATCAGCCATACTAAGAGTTGGGAAGTGATAATCTCATTGTACTTTTGATTTGCATTTCCTTGACAATGATACTGAGCATCCTTTAACATACCTGTTTGCCATTTCTATGTGTTCTTTTTACAGTATTTATTATTATTCTTTCTGGTACTTAAAATATTTTATTTTTTATTCCATTTTTGAGGATTTGTCAGATCCTTCTTAGTTTCCTCTTATCTTACATTTTTAAAATATTTCATTTATCAGAATACGAGTTTCTTTGCATTCACAACGTGTGTATGTGTACATATATAGCGACACATATGTATGTGTTTGTCTGTATATACAATTGCCCTTTCTCATTAAAAAATAAGTTGAGTGTCTATATATTGGCCTTACACTGGTTCATTTCTAATAATCATTGTCTCCTTTTTAAGGTTCATTTTATACACTGACCATTTAATAAGAAATAAAAAGTGGAGGTGTTTAGACATTGGACAAAAGAAGTAAGAACTTGGATTTAGATATAGTATCCTAGGATAGTTGCTCCCAGGTGACTTAGTGTTCACATTGTGCTCTCAGCCATCTGGAGTTTTTACTCCCAAGTGATCAGGAGACTTTGCATGAAGCCATGTGGACTATAAACTGTTCATGTTATGATAATATCCATATCTCTTCCCTGACCTGGATCAGTACCCACTTAATGTAACTGTCACCCTCAGGATCTCCATCTCGCCACCATACTGTTTTCCTGAGCTGCTACACCATTTTACATCCTATTTTAGATGCCAGAGATTGCTTTATCAAAAAGAGGATGATGCACCTGGGGGATCACATTCATCACCATCTTCTCTAACTCTCCACCATTTTTTATCAAACGCAGAGTTAATATGTTTCTTTCTTGTTTTATTTATTTATTTTTACTTATTTACTTAACTAACATGGTCACAAATTTGATAAAGTTTTTATTAGATATTTATATTTTCTCTTTCCTGTGGTGATCATTAGTTTTCTTGACTTTTTATTTTAATAATATATATTTATTTGTAAACTTCTGTGCACATCCATATGTCACAAACATTATACATATTTCCCAATTTATCATTTGCCTTTTAATTTTCATAGTTTTCTTTTTGCTATATTTGTATTAGAAGTTTTTGAAATCAAGTGACAAGTGCTAACATAATAGTTTTCTGTTGTCTTTATGCTTAGGAATGGACTTTTTCATGCTGAGATGGAAAAATTATTTATTATATTAACTTTCACTTCTTTAAAATTTACTTTTTTGCACATAGATTTGGCTTGGATGTTGTTTAAAACCTGTGACAAAGTGTGGTCGCCATTGTCACATTCTCCATATTTTTTCATGTGTCACTGCATTTGAGAGCAATTTTGCAAAAATTATTGCTTGAAATTTGGTTTGTTTCCAAGTATATGGTAAATAGAGTTTTCTTTTAGTATCTTACTACATTTTATTTGTAGTAAGATTACAGAGAAGATAGAATATAGAGTTTTAACTATATTTACCCAGATGTCTATAAGATTAAACATTTTAAATTACTGGTTGGACCTACATAAAATGAACTTGGAAGAAATTAATTTGGAATTAAGCTTTGAGAAGTTTTCGTCTTCAGTCTATGTTGTCAAGACAGGAAACTCTATCTACTTTATATTCAGATTGCACCCTCAGAAAAGGTGGTCTATGTGCAGAATGACTGATTAGAGAGACAGAGCATTCAGCATGCACAGCATGATTGCTTTATTTTGTTGTGATTTTCTACGACTGTGAAAGGCATGACCCCAAAACTAAGTGACTTGTTATTTTTTAAGATTCTGTGTTCCACAATATAGGCAGTTCTTTGCTAATCTTTCTCGTGTCACTTATATGGCTGCATTCTTCCACCAGGACTGAGGGATTCAGCGTGGCCTCAGGCACTTTGCTTCCAGTTGGTGTAAGATGTCAGCTGAGCACCTTGGTTCTGTTCCTGGTGGCTTCTCACCTCCAGTAAGCTAGAGTGGGCTTTCACAACATGGTGTTCTCAGAGGGTGGGAGAGGAAATTATATGGCTTCTTCAATCTTAGATTGTAGACTTTGTATATCATTTTACTCCATTCTATTTATCAAAGCAAGTTATGGGTAAAGCATAGAGTCAAGGGAGGATAATAAATAAACTTCACTTTTTGATGAGAACAATGACAAAGTCAAGATGCAAAAGGGCATGGAACTAGGGAGGCATGATTCATGGGAGGTCATTAACATAACATAAGGCAAAGCCAGACATTTTACTAACAGGCTTAGTCATCATTACATGTAATGATGACGTTCATATTATATCATATTAGTTTTCCTGGATTAAGAAATCTTCTTGCTCTGACAAAGAAGGCTGAGTTTGTGGTTTTAACTTTTGAAATACTTCAGAGATGAAATCATCTTATATTATCAACCAGAAAGTGTCTAAGGGTGATCAGTAAATCAGTCCATGTCACGCCCAAGTCAGTATTATGACAAAATTAGATTAATACTGCAACCGTGTATTCAATGATTACTTAGTGCCAGGTTCTCACTCAGGTAAGCACTTAAAATAATTATCTCTTTAAAATTCACAACATCCCTGTGAGGCCTATATTATTATCCTCCTTTGAGTCTGAAAAATATCAAACCTGGAAAACACTATACAGTCTACTTCTGATTATTCCATACTTAGTAACCAGAGGAACTATACTTTAAGCCTAGGTCTCTTTGATTGTAATGATTGTGCTCTTAAAAACTATGCTATAGTCAACAAATATTTTAAGGGTTTTATTGAAATTTCAAATTCGTACAAGGGTTTTATTTATTCATACATCTTTTTTGGAATGGTAACTTAGTCTGCATTTCACCTGAGAACAACTCATGAAAAAATTACAAAGATTTTTTATAAAAAAAATTCAGTAAACCTGACTCCATAAATTATACAATGCAGTAAAATACTACAGTCCTAAAATGGATTTAGCCCTCTTACAAAGGTAGGCAGATTGCTCAGGGGTATAAAAAGAAAGCCCACAAGTAGATTGTCCCAAATGTAAGAAATTCATATATAATTAACATTGGTTTTAGATGAGTGGAGGAAGAAAGAATTATCCTATAATGTTGAATAATTTGTCCAAGCACAATTTTAAGTGTCTTTTCAAAAAATATAAGCCATATTTTTACATGATAAGACATATCAAAATTAGGCTGGGCATGGTAGGTCGAGCCTGTAATCCCAGCAATTTAGGAGGCCAAGGTGGGAGGGTCGCTGGAGCTCAGGAGTTTGAAACCAGCCTGGGTAACATAGTGAGACCTCATCTCTATTAATTAAAAAATAAAATAATAAAAAAGAACATATCAAAATTAATTTTAAATAAATTAATATTTTAAATAAGCAGAAGTTATAGAAAAATATATTTTAGGTTTTGCTATGGGAAACATCTTTGTAAGCATAAAACCAATTGAGATTCATTCTACTTAAAATGAAAACATTATTAACTTTTGCACATACCGTTATGTTAGAAAATATGTGCCCTGGTTAGCAATCAAAGGAATACAAAAGAAAATTAGGCCCAACTTTAGGCTTGAACTTTGCAGAATTATAGAAGACATTTAAATTTCTATGACTAGCAAGAGAGGGAGAAACAGCAATATAAGAAAAAAGTTGGTGGGAAATTTAAATGATGTACTTTTCTTCACAGTAATTTGACACCGCATGCCAACATTCCCGTTTTTTTTTTTTTTTTTTTTTTTTTTTTTTTGCTTTGGGTAAAAAAGAAAGTTTTTCTAAAAAATTACGGAGATTTTCATGCCTCAAAGATAAGTTTAGATAAATAAATGATTATATTTTCAGAAAGATAACTTACTATTCATCCACTAAATATCCCACTGAAGAATATTTACAATTATAGAAAATGGTGGTCATAAATGATAAAATAAAAATTAGGTATATATCTTAGTAACACAGTTGACTCTTGAACAACACTGTTTTGAACTGTGATAGTCCACTTATACACAGACTTTTAAATATAAAAGTCACACTGGGTGTGCCTGTCTCTCCTGCTCCCCCTTCCATTTCCTCTACCTCTTTTGCCTCTTTCTCCCGGGAAACAGTAAAATCAAACCCTCCTTTTCCTCCTTCTCCTCAGCCCACTCAATGATAAGACAACAAAGATAAAAACCTTTATGAGTATCTGCTTCCACTTAATGAATAGTAAATATATATTATCTCCCTTATGGTTTTTGTAATAACATTTTCTTTTCTCTGACTTACTTTATTATAAGAATACAGTACATAATACATATAACATGCAAAATATGTATTAATCGACTGTTTATGTTATTGGTAAGGCTTTGGTCAACTGTAGTCTATTAGCAGTCAAGTTTTGGGGAAGTCAAAAATCATGTGCAGATTTTCAACTGTGAAACCCCCACATTGTTCAAGGGTCAATTGTAATTTAGTCTTTATTTTGCAAGCAAATAGATACTAATGTTAGAAGAATATACACATGTTATTGTTAATGAATCTATTTTGGTAAAAGTAATTTTTATTTTCTAGTTTTGGTTTGTTGCACTATTCTATATTTTTCAAGTACTATCATGTGTTTATGAATGGGAAATATTGAAAATATTTAACAAACAAAGTGGCACTGGGACAGACTAATAAAATAAAACACCTGAGGCCAGGAGTTTGAAACCAGCCTGGCCAACATGACGAAACCCCATCAATAGCATCACCAATCAGAGTGGGCATTGCTATAAACCAATATTATTAGTGCTATAATGTGACTACTGACTGCAAATCAGCAAGGTGTGTACATTATAATTTTCACTATCCAAAGAAAAAAGCAACTAAAGGTATAAAGTGAAACAGTGCATGGGAAGATACACATAGGATTGGGATCCATGAAGCAGCGAAAGGTGTTTAATCTGCTTAGAATAATGACAAAACACAAAATTTTGATAGCGATAAAATGGAGATAGAGATAAAAATAGAATATTAAAAAACAAAGGGTCTATTGTTAGAAATCCAATATCTAACTAAAATGAGCTTTGGGGAGAGAACGTCAGAAAATGGCGAAAATTATTATAAAATAAATGATAGGTGAAATTTTATTAGAAAGTGAAGAACAATGAGAAGATTGAACATATATCTGAAAAAAATACAAAACCAAATAAACAAAAGAAAAAACCAAGGTAGCATCAATCTTTTCATTGGCAACAAAAGATAAAGGATTCAATAAGTCAATGCCTTCATATCTGAAGGAAAACTTATTTTGAAAAAGAATTCTACACATACTTAAATTATAAGAAAATAAGAAGATTTCCATTGTACTATAATTAAGAAAGCGTGAATCTCCAGACTCTTTCTGAGAAAATTACCTGATGCTCTATTTTAATAAAGAAGTAAATGAAGGCCTGATGCAGTGGCTCATGCCTGTAATTCCAGTACTTTGGGAGACTGAGGTGGGTGGATCGCCTCAGCTCAGAAGTTCAAGCCTAGCCTGGGCAACTTAGTGAAATCCTGTCTCTACCAAACATACAAAAAAAAAATAGCCAGGCTAATTTTTTTTGGTGGTGACGGGCACCTGTAATCCCATCTAGTCAGGAGGCTGAGGCAGGAGGATTGCTTCAGCCTGGGAGGTGGAGGTTGCAGTGAGCCGAGATTGCACCCCTGCACTCCAGCCTGGGCAACAGAGTGAGACCCCACCTCAAAAAAAAAAAAAGTATATGGAAAGCAACAAACAGGAAGATGTAGGATATAAGAAGTGGTAGAAGTAAACCAGGAGGTCAATGAAAAGAAATATTAATGAGGCATCAATTGATCCCAGTGTGACCAGACAATCAGCTCCAAAAACTTCTGCATGAACAAAAAAATGGAGGGATTTTACTGCAACACGTAGAAATAGCTAAAAATTGGCAGTATATTAAGAATATAGTAAAGAAGACATACATTTATTTTTTCAGTGACCACAAGAAGAAAAGAAAAGAAAAAGGAAAGAAGAAAGGAAGAAAGGAAGGGAGAAATAATTTAAAATTCAAAATTTTCAAAGTTCAAAACAAAACAACGTTTAATAATGCCATGATTAAAATATGAAGTTAATGGGAGGCCAAGGCTGGCAGATCACAAGGTCAGGAGATCCAGACCACCCTGGCTAACACAGTGAAACCCTGTCTCTACTAAAAATACAAAAAATTAGCCAGGCGTGGTGGCGGACGCCTGTAGTCCCAGCTACTTGGGAGGCTGAGGCAGGAGAACGGCATGAACCCGGGAGGCAGAGCTTGCAGTGAGCTGAGATCGCGCCACTGCACTCCAGCCTGGGCGACAGAGTGAGACTCCGTCTCAAAAAAAAAAAAAAAAAAAAAAAAATGAAATTAACTAAAAACTAAAAGGTAACATACATACATGCCATTTAAAAAATGTAAATCCGTAGGTTCAAAGGAACCCTGAAATAGAATAGAAATCTTAATATTTGACCTGTAAGGAAAATGTTCTATAAAACTAGGTGCCTTTATTTAAAGAGTAGTTTATATGTTCATAAAAATACAATGATGTTCATTGGTTTCAACTTTTAGACTCAAACTACGGGTAGAGCATATGCAATTTAACATAGTGAGCACAGTGCAAATGCAACCAGCCTTTGAAACATAGACAAAGGTAGAGCTGAAAAAACCGGGAGGTGGCAGAACAGAATCCAAGTAAAGGTTTTAGACATTAAAATGTTCACTTTATGTGTGGGTATCAAAACTGATGGAAAATGGTGATTTAAAAATATTATCTAAAGTTACAGCCATGTGCGGTGGCTCATGCCTGTAATCCCAGCACTTTAGGAGGCCAAGGCAGGCGGATCACCTGAGGTCAAGAGTTATAAACCAGCCCGGCCAACATCGCGAAACCCCATCTCTACTAAAAATAACAAAAAAAAAAAAAAGAAAAAAATTTTTGCCCGGAGTGGTGGCGGTCACCTGTGATCCCAGCTACTCAGGAAGCTGAGGCACGAGAATCTTAAACCCTGGTGTGGGAGGTTGCATTGAGCCGTGATGGCGCCAGTGCACTCCAGTCTGGGCAACAGTGTGAATCCGTGTCAATAAAAAAAATGAAATACAAAAAATAAAAAGTTACATATAAAAATAGTAGAAGAATTAAAATCAATTATACGAACAAATATTTCAGAAGGGATTGAGTGGAAGTAGAAGTTGAAGAATGGGAATTAAACCTTTACCTTTCCAAACTGAACATCCATATAGGAATTTGGAAAAGTAATTATATAATAAGCTTTCTTTTATAATTAAAAGGGTAACTGTCAATGGAACTAAAATGAGAATGAACTAAAATGTTCATCTCTAAGAAGTGTGACTGAAAATGAGATGAGTGAAGTTAAGAGCTCCTTCAGTATAAGACCCTAAAATTTAATGTTTTGTCACATATAGACATTAAATTGATAAAGGTTTAAAAATAAATTTTAGATTGGAAGCACATGAAGGCACTTGATATCTTGATTTGATGCTTGGTTTCAGAGTTTCAAGTACTTATACAAATAATAATTGGTCTCTTACATTAAAGCAAATGATCTTATTTTAAAATTAAAACCATTTATCCTGCCCTATGCTATTTTGTTACTTTTCACTATAGTTGACAATGTCAAATGTCTTTACTCTGATCTACTTTAACAAACAGGAGAAGGTACAATACATATTGAGGAGCTCTTGGAGTAAAACAGAATTCCTTAAAAAAAATACAGTTGCATTGACATCCCTTTATTTCCCATATTATCTTTGCACAACATAAAGACAAGTTAAAATTTACTCACCCATTTTTGAAAAAAAAAAACATTCAGTCTATGAAGAAACAGGTGATTTACAATTAATGTACAACAATGGTGTATATGAAGTTATATGCATTCATACACAACGTGTATTTCTCCTGGAAAGCAAAAGTCTGTACAAAATAAAAATAGAGCATAATCAAATAGGTCTCTCCAAAAATGTAATTGTGCAATGGTTTGAAAGTACTTGCCAATAATAGTTCTCATTCTGGACATTTATTTCAACATCCAACTGTATGTCTTCACCCTTCTCAATAGACTTAATAGGCACTTTTTTTCCACACACCGTTCTGCAATTAAATTACAACCATAAATTGTCAGTATAGGGCAAAATTTCCCAAGGGCATCAATAAGTGCATAATTGAATTTCAGTGTAATGGCCAAAATGGCCAAATATAAAAATAATTAGCCAAATAAAGGAGCAATTAAATTCCATGCCTGTAAAAATGCAGGTGCAAAATATTATGCTGCATCTAAAACTCATGAAAAATTTGGCTCTTTGTATCAAATTAAATTGATAGTCAGTGATTTAGTATAGCACTGAAGAGTATTATAGGAGAAATATAAACATGAAATATAAATTTCTTCCCAATAGAGACAAACCTAGAGTATGTTCATCACAACCACATTTGAAGAATTCTATACTAAGTCTCAAAATAATTATGTCAATTGAAATACTTCCTCATAAAGATATGGTTTAAAAAATTGCCTGCTTAGGAGAGATGGCAGAAGCAATTATGCACCTAAAATTGGAAATCTGATACAAATAATCTTTTATTATATTATCATAAAATCTGAAGTCTGCATTATATAAACACAGATTATTATCCCATTAGCCAGACCTTCCTGGATTGGTGAACATGACACAGGAATTGTTAATGCTGATTGTAACAAAGACTTGCACATATTTTATAGAACTAAGACTATTTTTAATTCAGTAAAATAGCTGCCTTCAAATGTTATTTACAAAATAGAAGCTGAAGTACTTATTTACAAATTTCAGACATTTAGGAAATATTGTCTGAGATTTTCTGGGCACAATTGAGTATGCAAATGCTCTTCCAAATAATTAGTGAAATGTACAATACATACTAATCTTAGGCCATGGCTTTTGTTGTCTTAAATAATGATAGACCTAAATAATACAACTATTTTCATTTGCAATTGAGATAACATTAAAAAATGCAAATTACCTAAATAAAGATTTTACAATTTGACCTAGAATTATCTAGGTTCTTAGAACTGTTTTGGGATCTGCTGTTTGCTTATTATACAACTGTTTATCATATTAAACACACTAAAATCTCTCAATAAATAATGGATAATCTTACTGCAGATAATCCTGGTCCATATTGTTTTATATATCAACAAATAAAATTAAATTGCTAAATAATCAGCTCAATAACTGCTGTGAGCTGAGAACTCCTGTTCTCAAAATCAGCACAAGCTAGTCTATTTATCTGACAAAAGGAGAGTTCTTGACCATACAGGAATACATAGACTCTATTTTTGTTTGTGGAAGAGAAAAGAACATTAGGATACTAGTTAGTAGTTTCTTTTTCTAGCAAGGCCAATAGTGTGAAATAAGAATATTCTATTATATTTAGTAAACACCATTGACAGATTATATGTCATAAAATATAAATCATAAAACTTTCCATGAAAAACATCAATATACTCTATATATCAATCTATTGACAGTGAGTATAATAATGATCATTTTAAAAGTAGATAATAATAATAATTTCTAGATTTCTATAAAATGATTTACATTTTCAAATGAAGAACTGAGACATAGAGAAGTAATGACACTTGGAAATGACAAACAGTTAGTAAACGGCAAAGGTGACTGGGAAGACCAGCTCCCAATCCTGTGAAAAGCCTGAACTGGATTTCAAGCATTTTTTATGAAAAATAATAAAGGCCACTTAAAACATAATTTTTCCCTATCAGAAATGCCACAAATATTCTTAACATTTTTTAAAAGTTTTGCCTGTCATGTTACTATTTTGACTGAAGAGATTATACTGCAATTTGATGTTTTAATAAAGCTCCAATTTAACAGTTACAGGAAACTAGCAAGCACACAATAACAAACCCAGCAGGGAGCAGGTCTTTCTTCTTAATCATTATTCCTTTGAAAGTCAGTAGAAGAGAACTGAATTTAAGAAAGATATTTTTACCAAATTAAGTCATATGCTGATAAAAGTACTTTCTTTTTTATACTGAGCATTTTATATTTGGAAAATTAGTGGGATTTATCTTCCAATCTAAGATATTATACTTGTTCAGTTTCATCCCATGATTTGTGCCTCTTATTTATGTCACAGTTTGCTTTTGTGTTGCTTTTTGTATTCTTTTGATTTATGTTTTCTTACCATTCAAAAGTAATACATTCTTAGATTCTTCCATTTTGGCAATCTCAATAGTAAGAGTTTCCAGGAATTTTAAGTGTTTAATTCCTGCTTTTTCTTTTACAATAGTATTAGGTCACAAGTTTTGAATTCTCACCTTTTACATGGCCATTTTTCAAGATTAGTTAAATATATATCCTGCATCTCTGACCTTATTAATTCTTTTTTTTTTTTTTTTTGAGACTGAGTCTTACTCTGTTGCCCAGACTGGAGTGCAGTAGCACTGTCTCGGCTCACTGAGACCTCCATCTCCTGGTTTCAAGCAATTCTCCTGACTCAGCCTCCCCAGTAGCTGGAACTACAGGCACATGCCCCCACGCCTGGCTAATTTTTGTATTTTTAGTAGAGATGGGGTTTCACCATGGTGGCCTGGCTGGTCTTGAACTACTGGCCTCAAATGATCTGCACGCCTCGGACTCCAAAAGTGCTGGGATTACAGGTGTGAGCCACAGCATCGGGCCATGTGAATTCTTCCTTGTTATTAGTTGTTTGAGGAAATAAATAATCAAACAAAAGAAAAAGCCTACGTTTGGCTTATGGATGGTTTTTCATGCTATGATGGCACTCTCTGGAAATTGACTGCTATAGCGTCAAGGTCCCACTCAGGAATGTCCCTAAAAGACAAACGGTAAGATAAATCTTTCCAGTAGGCACATGTTTGCAGAGTACATTTGTTTTTCACTCTGACTGAATGGAGGTTATGAGCAAAGGTCCTGCATTAAGTTGTGGGTAGTGACCAACTCTATGGTCAGTGGTCAGGGACCTAAAAAGAACAAAATTAGAAGTTGTTGTTGTTGTTTTCCTGTTTGCATAAATAAATGGACAAGAGTAATGTAAGTTGACTTCTTGGAATGGGTACAGAATATGTAAATATTTATGCCTAACAGAAATGCTTACAAAGTGCTACAAAGAAAATTAGAAATAATCAGGAGTACACTATGACCCACCATTTGACTGTTATTCAGCTTTCTTATCTAACATGACAAGCCTTGTCCAACACAGCCATATAAAAAAAAATGGTAGTAGGTGTGGAGGTTGCATACATGTTTAATATTTAGGAGTTCCTTCTCTGGTTTGAATGCATACTCTCCAAAATAATGGTGTTGCTAATGGGATAGGATGAAGAGGTGGGACTTTCACAAGAGGTGATTAGGCCATGAGGGCAGCATCCACCTTAATGGCATTAAGCCTATTTTAAAGGGTATTTCTCGTAGTGTTCACTTACTTCACCCTCCTGCCTTCTGCTATGTAAAGATGCAGCAGGAAGGCCTCAGCAGACCAAATGTGTGAGTGCATTGATCTTGGACTTCCCAGCCTCTAGAATTATGAAAAATAAATTTCTGTTTTTTATAAATTACCCAGTCTCAGGTATTTTGTTATGACAGCACAAATGGACTAAGGTATTCCCTATCATGAGATGACCACCACTTCAATGTGTATCTATTTTCCCAAGAGCAGAGATTAAGTCTATGCTATGGCACAGTTTACCACAGACACCAGTAAGTTACCTAGAGGCAGATTGCTTATATTTGACCTTTTGAATCACAGACAGTGTTTTTTCCCAAATGGAAAAGATACTCATTCTGAACATCTTGCTTCCTGGAATTGTATGTCAGTCACCATCTATGGACTTCTACCATGTATTTACCATTATGATATCATAGAAAGTATTGCTTCTGTCCAAGAAAATTAGTTTTCATTAAAATACTGTACTGGTGGCTTCAAACATATAAAATTTATTGCCTTTAAGATATACTTTATTATCTAAAAGCTGTTGGCCTTCATAAAATGTTGCAATTGCCTATTGAATACTCAGTTTAGGTTCTAGCTAGGAGACTAGCCTGTGGGTTTGGAATACTCTTCTGTAAGATGATGTATGGGCTCTGAAACATTGACTACATTTTGATTCTGGTTTTTTGTTGTTGTTGTTGTTGTTGCCAGAATACATAGGTCTTGGAATCAAGTGGTGGATATATAAGAAAAATATCACTGCTGTTCATCAAGAATTTGGGCACATGGTCAGATTGTGCATTCTATCTCTTTTGATCTTTGGAAGAACCACGTTGCATTCACAATGAAATAAAAATTGAAATGATATGTTTTAGTTCCAAGCTGACATTGAGGAGCCAGGTTGTCATAGCACTCTTTCGGTTCTGTGTTATCATCAGCAGTAATTGAGATGATGCCTGCCCCCTTAGTCTGTTTCCCAGAGTGATGATGAGAGAACAGAGCTTCAGCCAATCTGTGACAGACATGTAAAAGGAGTAAAAAGGAAACCTTTGTTGTTTTAAACCACTGAGCAACTGAGATTTACAGGTTGGTACCACATTATTACCTGGATTATCTGAGAGATTAAAATACATTGTAGCGATGAGTAGGCACTGAGAGAAAGAGAGAGAGAGAAAGAGAGAACATGTGGTATAATTTTATATATATATATATAATCACCAATTATATATGTGTTTATATTATATGTACATATTTATATGTTTATGTGTTCTGTATAACTATATATGTTTATATATGTATATGCACATACACACACATATATACACACATACATACATACATACAATTTCCAACACTATCATGATTGTTTGTTACGCAGCAAGTAAACAATTTTCTGTGACTGAAAGGATGGTGTCCCTTTTAATGCAGCTGTGAATCATTTGAAAATATTGCTTCTGATAATTTTGAATTCAATTATGTACAAAATGAGGTTATACTCTAAGGCAAAAAGTCATATAACAGAATGGTATTACTGTGTGTTGACTGCTTTTACCTGAACTTGAAAATGTAGTATAAAAGAGAGATGAACTCAGAAATTTCGGGTAGTGTACAAGCAGGAATAAATTGGAATAGAGAAAGTTCATAAATTTTGAAACCCGTAGTTCTAGAAGAGAATTCTTTTTTCAGTGTCAACTGCTAAAATATAAATCTAAGAAAGTCTTCAGTTTCAAAGGCAAGTTGAAACTAAACCTCATGACAAGGTTCAAATCAAGAGGATGTGAGTATGTGATGTATTAATGTGTCCTAGATAAAAGCCCTAACTAAGAGTAAACCACTAATTAAATTCATTAAATTGGCCAAAATGTCTTTAAAAAGGGATTAAAGATGTCATTCTCTCACCAAAACCTGAAAGGATAAATGTGTCTGGAAATAAATCAAGAAAAAGAAACAAAAATTAAATTAATTAATTAAATAGCAAGAGTAAGAAATTTAACTGGAAAAGAATGTGACCATAGTTATTGGTACATGGAGATGACTACAATAAAATATATGAGGCTAATAAAATTTTTGACTGCCAAACCCCTACCATCCTAGATCACAAGACACAGCAACACTTGAGACTTGGCGCAAGCCATGGGCTGACAACCTTCTCAGGCAGGAAGAGAAATGAGATGTCAGCTCAACACCAGAAAAAGGCATGGCGTAGAGAAAGTGAAATTTATGAGTTTATATCACATCTTGACTTAGGTCATACCAAGAAATTAAAATACATTGTAATAACAAGTAGATATTGACCCCAAAAGGATTTTATTTATTGATTTATTCATTTTTTAGAGTCAGGGTCTTCTGCTGTTGCCCAAGCCGGAGAGCAGTGGCCTGACCATAGCTCACTGTAGCCTTGAACTCCTGAGCTCCAGCAATCCTCCTGCCTCAGCCTCTCAAGTACCTAAGATTACAAGTGTGTGACACGATGCCAAGCTAATTTTTACAATTCTTCTTCTTTTTTTTTTTTTGTAGAGACAGGGTCTTTCTATGTTTCCTGGGCTTGTCTCGGTCTCCTAGCCTCAAGTGATTCTCCTGCTTCGGCCTCCCAAAGTGCTGGCATTGCAGATGTGAGCCACTGGCACCTAGCCCAGACATAATACTTTTATAAATGTAAATGTAAGTAGATGTAAATAAATAAATACAGACACACACACGAACAATATGTCAGACCTTCTTCAGTGCTCCTCATGGGAGTCCATATCCTAGTTATCCATAGAGGCCGTGTGTGGGAAAGTAACTTGTCTTTTTAGTTCTCTGAATCCCAAAGGTAATCTGATAAAAATCTGGGTCAGAGATGTTTTTGCAACTATTCCTGATGGAAAGACTATTCAAAATTGTTCAAAAATGCCAGCTCTTGAGACTGATACTGTGAACAAATAAGAATTTGTGGTAGGATTATTTGAGGAAGTAGTGAGTGTATTTTGCATGTGGAAGGAACAAGCAATCCAATATTTGGTTATCAGGGGGGCAGACTGTGATAGTCCTGATTAATCCCATATTTCTAGTTCATCTCTTATTTACACGGTAGGATTATACTTTCCTGACTCCTTAGGAATAATATATGATTTTCTTTCATCTCTAAAATGTGAACAAAAGTTACATATTGTCACTTCCAGGCAGAAGATTTAAGAATCCGTCTTAGCATAGCGTTATCTTCTTTCCCTTAGCCACTGCATGTATTAATATAACAGGGAGTAACTGCTCTGCCAGCCTGGATACCAGAAGGAGGTCTGCATGGAGGAGAACCCCAAGCCACTTTATGATGGTTATTGAAAATAAGAAAGAAATGAGCATGTGTTGTTTTAAAACACTTATATTTGGGGTTCCATTGTTTCCCCGGTATCCTAGCTACTTAACTGAAACAAAGTGGCAATGCCTTACTTGTTACACCTTATAAGCCACTCATAAAATATTTGATTCACAGCACTTTAACCCTGGTCTGATGGTTCAGAGGTCTTCTATCCCACTGCTTCCTGTAGGAGCACAACAACAGTTTCCTTGGGATGGAAGCTAAAGCGGCCAACTGGTTATATTAGGCTCCATACAATTGTGGACAAACACAGAAAAGGTTCACTGTACTGGCTGAGGACCTTAATCCTAAAGCTGTGAAAAAATCAGTTTCCTTCATCACAGTGGAGACAAAAAGATCTACGCCTGAAACTTTAAGAATTTTCTGGAAATTCTCTTACGGTTTCCATGTTCAGTGAAAAGTGGTTGAAAGACGACGTCAAACTAAAAAATCAAGACCACTAAAAATTTATATTTTTCAAAGTGCAGATTTAGATCACCTCAAGAGATCAAAAACTATGACCAACTTTAGATACCCCCTTAGCATAAAGGGAACATGGAAAGAGAGGTATTGTTGCAAACAGCTGTAAGAATTAACTTGCTTACTAGTTTCTAGTTACAGAAATGAGGACTGTGGAAGGCATGTATTTTGGCTTTCTTCCTTTTTCACATTTATTTGTATATAATAATCATTTTTTTACTTTCTACTTTTCTACTACTTTATAAAATAAGTGTTGGTTATGGTTAACAGTTTATTTTTTAGGGCCCAGAATATTTAGGTTACTGGATAAGAAAAGAACCAACATCACTCAAAGATAGATGCAGTGACTGATGTACCCTTAGTTAATCTAATTTGGTGGAAGAATTAGAGCATTTTAATGCATGACGAATAATTGCATCATGCTAGACAAACGCAAAATATCTCTAGTGTTATTGTAAGCAAATATAAGTGGCATCATGCATAAGATTGCTTAGTAGCCCAAAATGTGGAATGTGCCAGTGATTTGCCTGTTGGCTTTCAGTCTCAAGTTTTTTTCTACCCTCTCCTTTCTATTGCTAAGGACAAGAAGACTAATAATATTACTTCTTGGATTTGTGCTCAGATGTCAAGTGGCAGTTCTAAAAGCAAAAGCTGCAGCAATTTATGTAACACAACTTTATTCTTTTTATTCCTCATACCCTAAAGCAATTACAGATATTTGAACAACATCATGTTTTTCATTTTACTCCTTCCACATTTCAGCACTTTCATAACCAATCCTTTAAACTGAAGCTTCTTCATTTAAACTCCGAGTAACTAAATACTTGTTTTCCTCCTGGAACATTAAACAATACACAATATAGATCATATTTTCACTCTAAATCAGGAATGAGGCAAGGACTATCCAGTATCACTACTTCTTGTCAACACTAACTAGAAGTTTTTACTAACGGAGTAAGACAAAAAGTTAAAAAAGAGAAATAAATGAAACTGTCATTTTTCAAAAATAATATGATTATTTATGTGTATTATATACACAGAAGCTAAGGAGGATATAGGAAATATTATTAATAAGGTATTTTAACAAATCTGAATATTAGATCAATTTACAAAATCAATTACAAGGCTATAATCAGAAAGAGAAAGCCTACCTTTCTATAAACTGCATAGAAATAAATCTGAGATAGTTATCTGAACTTTGAAGAGAAAGTTATAAAACTTTATTTTAAAAATGTAGGGATATTTAATTAATTGGTATATTAGTATCCTATTGCTGCTGTAACCAATTACCACAAACTTAGCGGCCTATGAAACAAATTTATTCTCTTGCAGCTCAGAAGACGAGTCTATAAAAGGAGTTTCATCAGGCTCAAATCAAGGTGTGCACAGGATGGTGTTGCTTCTGGGGTATCTGGGGGAAGAATTCCTTCCACGCCCTTTCTAGGTTACAAAGGCTGCTTGTATTCCTTGTATCACAGTCCCTAATCAGAAATTCCATCACTGTGATTTCTGTTTCAGTCATCACCTCTCTTTCTCTCATGCCCCTGCCTCTTTTTGTCAATTATAACTTGTGATTACTTTGGGCTCATTCTGATAATTCTGGATGCTATAGTTTGAATGGGTACTGCAAACTTCATGTGTTGAAAACAATTTTCAATGCAACAATGTTGGGAAGTGGTATGTTTAATGGCATCATAAAGAGGGTTTGCAGGACACGGTTCTTCTCTTCCACTCTTCTGCCAGGTGAGGACGTAGTGTTCCTCGCCTCTGGAGGATGCGGCATTCAAGGCATCATTTTGGAAGCAGAGACTGAAACCTAAGCTGCCAGCACCTTGACCTTGGACTTTTCAGCTTCCAGAACTGTGAGAAACAAATTTCTACTCTTTATAAATGACCCAGTCTGTGGTACTATAATACAACAGCACAAATGGACTAAGACACAGGGTAATCTCCCCAACTTGAGAAACTTAACCTATTCACACCAGCAGGTGTCTTTTGCCATATAATATATTCACAGTTTCCAGAAGTTAAGATTTGGATACCTTCTAGTGGTCTGCTATACATGGAGGATGCCTATGTTCAAAAATAAAAGGAGTAAAGATGGTAAACATGCTATGTCTCTCTACCTAATAATAATGACAATAACAATTATACGTTCCAATCAAATTCTCATTAAAATTTTACTAGAAACAGGACAAGCTATTTTAACTTAAATGTAAAGGAGCAAAACACTATCAATAGCAAAGATAAGTGATGAATATTATAATGGGTAGAAAAACTTACTTGTTATGAAGTGAGACTTTTTTTTTTTGAGAACAGTAGCATTTAAGAGAGTGTGGCATTAGACCTGTGCAAAAATTACTGCACCAGTTAGTTTTAAAATACAGAAAAAATAAAACTAAATCCTAATATATCATACAAAATTCAATTATAGAAAATTAAAGGCATCCCTTTAAAGCTTTGAGAAGAAAATATATCTTAAACAATAATTTCTCAAGCAAGAAATAAAAAACACGAACTATTAAGGAAAATATTGATTTTGCCACAATGAAAGTTGTAACTTCTGTACATCCGCCATTATCTTAAATGCTTTAAGGGAGTAAAGACAAGCCAGAGATTATAAGAAGATATTGGCATAGGTAGATCTAAAAAAATCCATAGCAACAAGATTATATAAAACTCCTCTATATCGAAAAGAAAACAAACAATGAAAAATGAGTCAAGCACCTTAATGTATATTGAGAGACAAATTAACCTGAAAAACCAAAAATATATTTGTAGTCTTCCTTATAAATAGTAACATGCAAATTAAACACAAAATGAAGTATAATCTGCCACCTATTAGTGAAGCAAAATATTAAAAAATCTGACAAAAGTTGAAAATGTTGTAGAGCAATAGGGACAATTGTTTTCTATAATTAGGAGAATTAATTAAAACAATCACTTTCAGTAACAATTTGACTTACTGAGTAAATGCAAAACATACATTCCATAAGATACAACAATTTCCTCTGAGATATATATTCTTGAGGAATGCACTTATACACAAGGAGACATGTAAAATAATGTTAAATACAATATTGCTTGTAAAACCTTTAAACATGGAAGCAAACTGTATGACTTCAGGAGAATGGGTAAACATATTATGCTATATTTTGGCCCGAGCACATGTAGTATTGTAAGGGGTTGTATCATTCTATTTTTTGTTTCATATTATGCTTGCCAACACCATAAATAACAAGTCTTGTAAATTTTAAATAATTGTTAAACTACATGTTTTGAATGGCTCACCAGAACAACAATAGAATATAATAAGTGATTTCAACAGAAACCCAGACTCTCAATTTTTATTATTTAAGCCCAAAGACAATGGGCTTAAAAGTATTTTTTAAGATAGGAAACATGGAAACAAAATTCAGAATTTCTGATATTTAAAAAATCTAAAAATAAGAGAATAATTCAATTTAATTGAAGAAAATGTACCACAACTGAAGAATGTAGGCACCGTCATTGGAAAAAAAAACATATCACATGAGAATAGAATGACCAGAAAAAATAAGCACACCTTACTCAGAAGCAATGTGTGGACAAAGGGAAAAGCTAAAATTTCTAGTCTAGAAAACACGAGATAATATCTCTAATACTTGTGATAGAAGTTTCATATTTTCTTTCTGAGCAGCAACAGAGTAAACAAGGATGAAGAAGGGTTTTCAATGCTTTAAGAAAGGAAAAGAGAAATGAAGCTTTGTCAGAACATTTATCATCTTGAAACAGTAATATGAAGTCAAATTGTGAAATGTACATTGAAAAAGCAAAACTGAAATCTACAAGGACATGTGATTTAAGAAGCAGTTGTGAACAATCACACACACCCCACACACCAGAAGCTTATATGAGCTGAGCAACAGAATGTCTTTATACAAAATAACAGAATTAGGAACAGAAAATTAGTACTAAAGCCTTCGGAAAAGAGTGTTAATGAATAGGTTCTAAAGCTTAAGCTTCACTAGCTTCATGAAAATAAAAACTTCTGGGCAAGAAACTTAGAACAATGATTGCACAGTGAGTAAAGCATTAGAAGCAATACCTTCAAAGTCAAAAACATAAATAGGATATCTATTAACCACAGTCGCATTCAGAATGGTACTGACTGTTTCAGCCAATGAAGAGGAAAACACAAATTGAAAACAAAATTTTCATGCGTATACAAAACAGGAGAGTAACTATCATTAACCTTAGATGATGCGTTTGTGTATGTGATCAAATATATAGAAAACTCATTAGAATCAAGGGGCAAATTATTAGATATAAGAAGAACAATCAACAAGATGGTCAGGTACAAGATAAATAATTAAAATCAGTAATTTTCCTGCTCACTAGCAATAACTGTGTAGAAAATAGGAGAAAAATGACATTCAGAATGATATGAAATGGTTTATAGTAAACCCAAAAATAACTGAGCAACATATGTTTGTAAAACTTTTCTGAAGGAGACACCAGAAATTAAGTAACTATATATGTTATCCTATGTTGCTATTTAGAAACTTTCAATGTTACAATTAATCTACACCTTTCAAACTATGAATATAATGTGATAATGAAAATCTCAATAGGATTTTTAATGTAAATCAATACAGAAAATGGGATATAAATCTGGAAAAGATGATATAGATATTTTGGCATTGGAAGCTTTTTTTTTTAAAGTACCCGAAATTCACAAAGGAGAAAAATAAAGAAAAAAAGTGAACAATTTGTTAAGATGTGCTTCATTACAATGTGTGCCATCACTACCTCTGTCTAGTGTCAAAACACTTTCATCACTCTAAAATAAAAACCCATACATAGTAAATTGTTATCCCCTGTTCTTTTCTTCCCATCCCCCGAGGAACTACCAATCTGCTTTCTGCCTCTATGGATTTACCTATTCTAAATATCTCATATAAACAGGATCTGACCTTCTGTGTCTAGTTTCTTTCACTTAGCATGTTTCAAGGTTTATCCACATTGTAAAATATATCATTACTTAGTTCCTTTTTATGCCTGAAGAGTGTCCCATTGTGCATATACATATATATATGTGTGTGTGTGTGTGTGTATGTGTGTGTATATATATGACATTTTGCTTATCTATTCATATAGTGATGGATGTTTGAGTTGTTTCTACTTTTTAGTTGGAATATGAATATTTGGAATATGAACATGCGCCCACATGTATTTCAATCTGTTTTAAAATCTTCGGGGTATATACCTGGCATTAGAAGTTTTTAAAGAATGTCAGAGGTTTCTCCACTAGATGATAAAATGTATTGTAAAACTATGGCACTGGGGCAGTGATAAATAAACAAACTGATGAAAATAGAGACAACTAGATCAGAACCACATCTATGTTTGGTTATAATATATGTAGATGATATTTAATTTTGTGAAATAATAAAGAAACTTTTAATATAATAACAAAAATGGGAAAACGGAGAAAATAAACCTAATTTAAATGCCTATTCATTAGAAAAATTACAAACAAAAAACCCAAATATTTCAAATAAATAACTGCAAAAGCCAAATTATAAAGTATAGAAAGAGAATGTATGATTATTCACTTAAAATGTTGAGGTAGAATAAGATATATTTATAATAACATTAAATATGTATATATGGAGAGAGAAAGAGAGCTTTTAGAAAGTAAAGGTCTTTTAAAACAAAAACTAGTATACTAAAACAAAAAATTAAACATTAATAGATTTAATCATATTATTTTAAAAATCACATATATGATAAAATATACCAGGCAGAGTGCAAATATTAGGTTGGTGCAAAAGTAATCGCAGGTTTTGCCATTAGTTTCAATGGCAAAAGCCGCGATTACTTTTGCACCAACCTAATATAAATGATGACTTGGGAGAAAACATCTGTGATATATCTGGATTAATATCTACAAAACATGGAGAACTCCAATGAATCACTAGGATCAATGACAATAGAAAATTAAGGAAAGTTTATTTACAGTATTTGCACTCTTTGTGAAAATATATAAGGATACAAAATACCAGAGGTCATTTTTGTAGTATTTATTTACATGTAAAGTGAAGTAGAGTTTCCATTCAGCAATTAATTTTTAGTAAACTAACCATGAAGACTTTCCCATGTCCATATGTTGCAGAGAAGCAACATTTTTGACAGATAATTTTCCACGTAAACGTGTAAGTTGCTTTTCACTAAATTATATTGTGTAAAACACAGGCAGCAAAAATTAGATTTTATATATTTGGCTAGAGATATTTTATTTAAATATATACTTGCATATATAAATACATATGTATATTTGTACAGATATATTTGTACAAACATATATATTTGTACAGATGCTCCTTGAACTACCACAAGGTTATGTCCTGAGAGACTTACATTAAATTGAAAATATCACAAGTCTAAAGTGCATTTTCCATTTACAACATTTAAAAATTACAATGGTTTTATTCTAAGGTAACCTTGCTATGAGTCGAGGAGCTTTAGAAATGCATACCACCTTTTCACTACCCTAAAATCCAAAACTCATTAAGTAGAATGGTTAAATCATGTCTGTCTATATATATGAGACTGAAGATCTATTCCAAATGGTCAAACACCTCCTTTTAATAAGAAAATAGCACTGTTTGTATTTTTAAAATTATAAATAATTCATTCATTTTTATAAAGAGCTTAATTTGTTTGTCCTTAATCATATTTTTACATTTATACCCTTCACATGTATAGATTTTTAAAATAAAGTGTTTTTAAATTATGCTATTTCCAAATCAGTGCTCGGTCCAAATTTCTGAAAGAAAAATAAAATGTGAAACAAGTGTGTTAACTCTTTTCTATTCCTCATTAAATCTTTTTGATAAGTCCTATATCCGTGAATTTGAATTCAAGGAGTTCCCAAGAAATCTTTCTCTGAGATTTGCAATAAGATGTTGAGAAAAGGGAGACGAACAGGGATTTGGCTCCTATGTGTGTTTTGACCATCTAAGTTCCATTTTTATATTTTTATGTAGTCTTAAAAATAAACTTGCCAGGCACAGTGTCTCACACCTATAATCTCAGCACTTTTGGAGACTGAGGCAGGAGGATCACCTGAACTCAGAAGTTCGGGACCAGCCTGGGCAACATAGAGAGACCTTATCTCCACAGATAATTCAAAAATTAGCCAGGTGTGGTGGCATGCACCTGTGGTCCCAGCTACTTGGTAGGCTGTGGCAGAGGATTCCTTGACCATGAGCCCCGACCATGCCAATGCACTACAGCCGGGCAACAGAGCAAGATGCTGTCACAAAAATAAATAAATAAAATCTTGCATTTGAACAAAGGGTGTCAAGTTGAAAGAAAATGAGAGAGGAAGGACAATGAAGAAAGAGAGAGGAAGGGGAGAGAGAAAAGAGATAGAGAAATACTTCTCTTGAATGAATTCATAAATGGAGAGATTTACTTCTCATTGCTCTGATAATTGAAGAATTAATATTAATGTGATATGTATCTGTGAGACTGGAGTTAATGAATATGATGGATGTAAGAAATCTTTAGACACATTTTCCAATTTAAGTGATTATAACTGAATTTATCTGTCAGAACACTGATGATTTAATTTAGTGGCTGATTCTATCATTTGAAGAAAGCAGTATACAGATAAGAACATGAGTACAAACAATAGTTTGGAATTTGTGCTGAAAAATTCACAGAAAAGAAAAAATACTGACAAGAAAACACCTTACATTACTGTTCCTAAATAAAATTGTGGTACAGTATTTGTTCATCTATAGGCCTATTGCATGTTGAGCTCATACCTTCTGTTTTTCACACAGAACTCAATAACTTCCTTTATTTTATAAAAAAAAAAATATATGGGTTCACAGTAACATTTTGTGTACTAGAGTTGATTTTGGGTATATGTGAAGTATAAAATAAGAATTTTAATTTGCTCCACTCTAATAAATATCTTGCTATATCACAATTCTATTATAGGTTGAAGTAAAAGAAGTACAATTAGAAAAGAAGTTATCACAGGTTTTAGAGACTTCTGAATTTAAATCATATGAGGCCAATTCATAAGGTCCATAAATGGCAGAGAATAAAATGCTTATAAATTATAGACCCAGTACACAAGAATGTACTTAGGTCAAACCAGTCTGACAAACACACAACAGATACCTTTTTTTAGATACTTTCCTTAGTTGCAAACTAGATTTAATGAATGAAAGACATAAAAATTGCAGTCACTATGAAAGATTCCTCTTTCATTTTAAATCAGTTTGGATTTCACGCAAGGGCTTCATTATAGCTTTAAAAACCTAAAACAACTTTCTCATGAAGCAACTGCAAAATTAAATAACAGCATCTATTTAATTTAAAATTTGAGTTATGAATATACTCAAAAATTACTTAATTTATGGATGGCATTTCTTCACCTAACTTACTGAGAACATAAAACTACCCACACATCCCTCCTCTTCCATTCACCAAAGAAATAACCACCTTTTTTAAGGCAACATAACCCACCAATTACTCTTGACAAATCATTTATATGGAAAACCTGAACACCTGTGCTAAGACATTCAGTAACAAGTGATTATTCAAAGGTTACGATTTTTAAAAATCTAAATAAATACACCCTTCTGTTAAAATAGTGCTCTTTAATTGAAGAGATTTTTTCCCCCTTAAAGTTGTGAAATACATTTGTGGCAAAGCACTCTCAGTTTGTTTGTTTTTTTTCCAATCCTGAATAATTGCCATGTTCATTGCCAACACGATAACCATTTTGGAAGGGGGGTGCCAGAGGGGTTGGGTTCTGAAGTACTCATACTTAAATAGCACTAAAGAACAAATAGTCTTGCTAAACTTATTTTTGCAATCAAGACTGATAGAAAAATATTGGGTTTTCCATATTCTTCCTATGTGATTTTCCTGTCATAAAACTAATGTACCTCTTGCATTCTCACACTTGAAAACAAGTTTATAAATGGATTATGTTCAAGAAAAAAATGACATATCAGTATCTATCATGGAAAACAAGTTGGGAGTATAATCAAAACTAACTTACAGCTTAGATGTTGCAAAAGAAAACTACTTCCCCATTATTAAGTCAACTGCAATTCCTTGCAAATCTTTTTTGTTTTTAAACTTATTTATCACCTTTTAAATTTTGCATGGCTATTTCCCATCCACTGTCACTGTTTTCTTTAAGGTGTTAAAATGTCACCAGTGGAAAACTTTGAAGAATTTGAAAAATAACTAAGAGGGAATATAAAAGTATCTCCGAATAGCCCCTTTTGTAATAATTTTCACCAATGTGTTTGTAAACACACATACATAAGACATACAATATGAAATAATGAATGATCTTTTAAATCTTCAGTCTCAACACACTGTGGAAATACCTCTATTTTCATAACTAGGAATGAACATTATCCATTCAAATTACTGTAATTTATTTTACTATTAGATTGTAATTTAAATAAATAGTTCTATGATTATAATGACAATAATGACAGTATCCCACACCTATTTACTGCTTATTATGTGCCAGATCATTTTCTAAGGGCTTTTCCAGTATTCACTCATTTGAATTATAAATATTTTCACTGTTTATCATCTATGAAAATCAAGTAGAGGGTAATATTCTTCAATAGGCTGAGTATTTTTCTGATTATGATTATACATACATTTATAAGAAGTAAAATGTTATTTCTGACTTCCACAGTAGTTCTACAAACTTATATTCCTACCCAAATAAATGATAAGCATATCAGAGAATTCAAAATTCACTACTCATCCATCTTTATTGCTAGTAAAATTCAGTGTCTTTTATACAAGCTCTTATCTATTTCTTGTTTTTCTCTAGATTATATTCTTTTCTCATTATTCTTTTGGGTGATTCTTTTCTCATTACTCATTGTAAGAGGTTTTTTTTTTTAGTTGCAAGAATTTTGCGGTATGAAAATTATATATTTTATTTTCTTAGCACAGTAATGCTTGTATAAGGTTTTAAATGTGATCTGATACTACCAGCTCTCTTCTCAATCATTCTAAAGAACTGTTTTCCACTCTCCCAAGGCAACCATTCTCCTAAAACTGGTTGGTTCTTGTTCCTTTTTATCAACATATTAAAATCTAAAGTTAGTGTGTGCAATTAATGGTTTTTCTGTTTTAGGTCTCATCTACCCTCCACACAAAATACATCACCTGCCTGGAATTTATATATATATATATATATATATATATTTTTTTTGGTAGTTGGTATCTTTACTGTATTCTGTATCTTTCCTATATTTTATTTAATATTGTTTAAATACCTTTCTCATTTTCATGCAACACTTGCTTCCATAGCCTCCAAAACCAATTGATGGGAAGTGACATTTTTGTGAACATACATAAGATAAAATTACTTATTCAACCTTCACACTTGATCGATACTTTGACCACATCTGAGATTCTCTTTGGAACTGTTTTTTCTTCAGATCATTGCTCCATTCTCTTCTAAATTCTAGTGTTTCTTTTAAGAAGTGTGAGCCGGGCGCGGTGGCTCACGCCTGTAATCCCAGCACTTTGGGAGGCCGAGGCGGGCGGATCACGAGGTCAGGAGATTGAGACCATCCTGGCTAACACGGTGAAACCCCGTCTCTACTAAAAATACGAAAAAAAAAAAAAAATTCGCCGGGCGCGGCTGCGGGCGCCTGTGGTCCCAGCTACTCCGGAGGCTGAGGCAGGAGAATGGCGGGAACCTGGGAGGCGGAACTTGGAGTGAGCCGAGATCACACACCATTGCACTCCAGCCTGGGCGACAGAGCGAGACTCCGCCTCAGAAAAAAAAAAGAAGTGTGATAACATTCTAATTTCCAACAATTTTTAGGTGACATGTTTAATGCTTATTTAACTTTTTTTCTGGAAGTATTTAGGTTTCACTCATTATCTTAGGTATAATGAAATATCACAAAGACATGGATTTATTGGTTCTCATTTTTATTTATTTTCTGGAATGATTATTGAATATTTACGTCCAGTCTTCCATTTCATTTCTAACGTAATTATTATTAAACATTGAAGGATATTTTTACAAATTTAACTTCAGTCACTTAACTAATTGTAAATTGTCCTTGCCTGTCTCTGAATGCTCATTTGGTTATGGAATGCCATTCTTCTCCTACATGCAAAAACCTGTCTTGATAAATATCTCAATTAACCTGATTATTTATATACTGGCAACAACACTGTTTTTAATTAGTCCTCCTTAAGTTTGCTTTGCAAATATAGAGCCACACAGTTTTGAACAAATACTAAGGCTATAAAATCAACTTCTCTCTGGAAGCTTTCCTGAAGCATTTTGGTTGAACTTTTAGAGTCCTCTATTATTTGAGATTCCAAGTCTAGAAAATTGAGACCAAAACCTCTTTCCTTAAAACGTTACCAGCAGCACCTATAAGTATGGGTGAATTCATCCTCCTTTTGAGGTTCTAAAAATTTGCTAAGGTTTCTTATCCTCAAAAATTTATTTTTCTCCCCATTTACAGACATAGCACCTATAAGCCAGGTACCAGGCTAATATTCTTGGGAGGATTTTCTAGATATTAGGTCCCTATATAAAGTCAATCCTTGCTACTTAATAGTAATTTGTCACACCTGATTAAAGAATAATCATTATCAAATGCAATACTCCAGGTATGGCTTTTTTGCAAACTGAATTTTTCCAAGTATGTCCTAGTAAAAGAGAGAACAGTTTCTTATTGAACCTACTTAACAGTGTTGCCACAAGAAGTAATGAGACTCAGCAAGAAGTTTAAAGTATTTCACTTTCTTTATAAATCTTGTGTCTAATACATTTAGGTTATATATATATACGCACACACAAATAAACAGATTATTAAAATAATATCAACATATTTTAAAGCATAGTAAAATTTCTCTTATTTTAATGTCATCCTATGTAATTATTTCTTGTCCCAATGGCTCATATGTCCACAGCCTGCTTTCATGAAGTCATTTATTTCCACCTTAAAACAGTTCTGAAAAGTCTCATTCTGTTCACTAATATGGACTAAAATTGGTCTGCATGATGTCATTCATAACGGCATAATTCTCTGAAATATTAACAATTCAAAGTACCCGTTATAGACCTTTCCATGATATTCTGAGACTGTTCTACTTTGTAGATACCAACTATGGACTGTACCATAATAGCAGACTCTGCAGGCAAGCATCAGAATAAAATAAAAACAACTTTAAGATAACAAAAGTAGTTGATAGTGTACAACTTATTACACTAAGAGTAATATAAAATGGAGAAGAATAAGATAGCTATTACATACAAGTTTGATCAGCTTTTCCCTGAAGGTAAAAACATGTTATGGACATCTAGGAAATTGTAAAAATCCAGGGTATTCTCACAAAGTGTCTTCCTTCTGAAATACTTACATTAATATCATTTTACATAGACAAACTTAACTTACAGAGAACTGAGTTTCTATACTGATTTTAAAAGTCTATCCACATATCTCTGACAATCATGAGGAACCAATTTAAAAAAACAGGAAGCATAGCAAACGTTTAATTATTTCTCATCTCTTTTTAGATGGTGAAATAACAAACAGTTGTAATTTTTCAGTGGTCTTACTTTAACTATAAAAGATATCTTGAAATGTTATTTTAGTTTTTCTAAATTTAAGATATAATTTTGCAAACTGTTTTTTAAATTTAAGATATGTTTTTAATAAAACAATTTTGTCCAAAGAGGTGTACATAATTAAGATATTATTATGAGTGCCTGAGAAATAATACTTATTTAATCAGTGACAATAAGATATTTTAAAATAAACATAGAAACATAAGGAATTCTACTAAAGCAGTTTCGATCTTTTATACGTAAAGCTTTATCCCTTGCATTTTGTAATAATCAAGAACATGATAAAGTTAATATAAATTCAGAAAATTATTCTGGTAATATATAGAATTGCTGCTTTCTAGACAGTTTACATACAAGGCAGAGAATTTAATCAGGAAGCTCACCCAATCTGAAAAACTTTGACAAGATTTTAACACATTCCACTGCTTATTTTATGACTTTCTATGACTTAGTATTATAAACTATGGAAATTAAAATTCATTGTTCTCATGTTTTGTGCTTTTTGCCATGCTCTGTCATGTTCTGAAAAAAATTGAGACTTTACTTTTGGATGAAACTAGTCCTTCTTTCCTTAATTTTTTTTAAAAAACCACACAGTTATAATCCACTGTCACTATGGCTCCTAGTATAGTCTTTATCAAACATATTAATTATATTTTTTACCTAAAATAACTAACTTCTATTTCATAGACAAAATCAGAAAACAGATCAATGAGAACTCTGTTATACAAAAGTATTTTTGCAGACTCACAGAGGTCATAAATACAAATGTCACAACTTCTTTATTGATGTGCAATTGATATACAAAACTGAACATATTAATTGCATACAATTTGATGAGTTCAGACATCTGCATACACCTGTGAAGTCATCACCATAATCAATGTAACAGACAGCCATTACATCCAAAAATTTTCTTGAGTCTTTTTTTTATTTGTGCGTGCTAAAAACACAATATGAGAATCACTCTTTTAATAACATTTTAGGTGCACATGAATGTATTGTTAACTATAGTCATTATGTCATGTAGCAAATCTTTAGAGCTTTATCTTGCATTATTATACCTTATACAAATTGAAATATTTTTTCTTACAGGCATGAACATTCCTGTTACACCTCTTAAAATGGCCAAAAAAATGAAAACATTCATTAGCATGAACTAAAATGAAGGCCACTTCTCTATATCATATAAAAATAAAAATAAAACGTAGAAAGAATTATAATTATGCTTAGTAATCAGCTTTAGCAATACAGATTACTTAGATTTTATCTAGGCATTCAATGATTTTCCACCAGTTAAGTCCATTATATATTAATTCAGGGTTTAAAGTTATCCAAGTATTTTTCTGTTGACATAAAAAAAAGTTGATCTGAAAAATAAATCAATTTTGTTTAACCCACTATATTTCTTATAATCTTAAACATCACATAAAAGTATGTTAGCTTATTTCATCAGTAAACCTGCATTGCTTAGGAATTTCAGAAAACTAGTCTTGTTAAGTCTTAAAAAGGAAATGTATGTTTACATTATGTTTATCATTGACAACTTAGATAAAAAATCAACTAAAATGTTTTAAACCAAAATTATTAAATTAATCTGATTTTTCAAATATTTAACTTTATTATGATAATTTGTGTTTTTAACATATTTTTGAGTTTCTGAATAATTCTTTTTTTTTCTTTATTTCTTCTAAAAAAGAATGGGATACCTGTGCAGAACGTGCAGGTTTGGTACGTAGGTATACGTGTGCCATGAAAGTTTGCTGCAGCTATTGACCCGTCCTCTAATTTCCCTCCCCTCATCCCTCACCCGCAAAAGGCCCTGGTGTGTGTTTTTCCCCTCTCTGTGTTAATGTTTTTTCAATGTTCGACTCCCACTTATGACTGAGAACACATGGTATTTGGTGTTCTGTTACTGTGTTAGTTTGATGAGGATGATGGCTTCCAGCTTCATCCATGTCCCTGCAAAGGACATGATCTCATTCCTTTTTATGGCTGCATAGTATTCCATGTTGTATATGTACCACATTTTCTTTATCCAGTCTATTGTTGATGGACATTTGGGTTGATTCCATGTCTTTGCTATTTTAAATAGTTCTGCAGTAAATATATCTGCACATGTGTCTTTATAGTAGAATGATTTATATTCCTTTGGGTATTTACCCAGCAATGGGATTGCTGGGTCAAATGGTATTTCTGGTTCCAGATCCTTGAGGAATCACCATACTGTCTTCCACAATGGTTGAACTAATTTGCAGTCCCACCAACAGTGTAAAAGCGTTCCTATTTCTCCACAGCCTCCCCAGCATCTATTGTTTCCTGACCTTTAAATAATCGCCATTCTGACTATTGTGAGATGGTATCTCATTTTGGTTTTGATTTGCATTTCTCTGATGATCAGTGATGTTGAGCTCTTTTTCATGTGTTTTTTTTTTTTTGGCCACATAAATATCTTCTTTTGAGAAGTGTCCATTCTTATCCTTTGCCCACTTTTTGATGAGGTTGTTTGTCTCTTTCTTGTAAATATTTTTCAGTTCCTGGTAAATTCTGGATGTTAGACAATTG
The DNA here is from genome assembly GCF_000001405.40 of Homo sapiens. Lineage (NCBI taxonomy): Eukaryota > Metazoa > Chordata > Mammalia > Primates > Hominidae > Homo > Homo sapiens. Next base: position 29,473,999 of record NC_000018.10, on the reverse strand, counting down.
GCAAGCAGTGAGCCAAATCAAATCATGAATGAACTTCAATTCACAATTGCTACAAAGAGAATAAAATACCTAGGAATACAGTTAAAAGGGATGTGAGGGACCTCTTCAAGGAGAACTACAAACCACTGCTCAAGGAAATAAGAGAGGACTCAAACAAATGGAAAAACATTCCACCCTCATGGATAGGAAGAATCAATATCTTGAAAATGGCCACACTGCCCAAAGTAATTTATAGATTCAATGCTATTCCCATAAAACTACCATTGATATTCTTCACAGAATTAGAAAAAACTATTTTAAATTTCATGTGGAATCAAAGAAGACTCTGTATAGCCAAGACAATCCTAAGCAAAAAGAACAAAGCTAGAGACATCACGCTACCTGACTTCAAACTATACTACAAGGCTACAATAACCGAAACAGCATGGTACTGGTACCAAAACAGACATACACACCAATGGAGCAGAACAGAGACCTCAGAAATAACACCACACATCTACAACCATCTGATCTTTGACACACCTGGCAAAAACAAGCAATGGGGAAAGGATCTCCTATTCAGTAAATAGCTGGGAAAATTGGCTAGCCATATGCAGAAAACTGAAACTAGGCCCCTTCCTTACACTTTGTACAAAAATTAACTCAAGATGCATTAAAGACTTAAATGTAAAACCCCAAAGCATAAATACCCTAGAAGAAAACTTAGGCAATGGGCAAAGACTTCATGACAAAAGCACCAAAAGTAATTGCAACAAAAGCCAAAATTGCCAAATGGGTTCTAATTAAACTAAAGAGCCCCTGCATAGCAAAAGAAACTATCATCAGAGTGAACAGGCAACCTACAGAATGGGAAAAAATTTAGTAATCTACCCATCTGAAAAAGAATAATTTTTCTTAAAGCCAAAGACATTTAGATTATTAGAGTCTGGATTTCTTTATAGTCTGAGTTTGGACAATATTATATTAATAGAAGTACATCTTTCAATTTTTAAACCTGTTAGAACAGAGATTGTTTAATTTAAAAGATGATATCATCTAATGTATTAATACTTCTTGGAGGTAGAAAAATTATTCATACTCACGTCATGAGAGTTTAAGCCATTTTCAATTAGAGACACACAGACAGAAAGAAACTCTGAAACAAAGACAACTTAGACTTTCAATTCGACCATTTTAGTCAAATGTCAAGTTAAATACAGAAGCATAAAGTCTTCCCATTTGATATTTCCACTTCTGGGAAGATAAAGTAGTCACACTATTCCAGATCCCTACCACTAAGTACAGCTAAAAGCCTAGAACATTTTATATAAACAAACATATGAATACTCTGAATGGTGAAGAGGAGAAATGAGACCTACTAGAGCCCTTAAGACCCAAGGAACAAGGAACACAGCAATGAATTCCGTGGGTTTTCTTTCCCCCTCACATATCCCAGATATAGAGGTGAGGAAGCTGGAAACTGGGGATCACTGATGAGTGCAGACAAAATGAATAAATAAACCCAACAAAAACCTGCGCTTCCTATCCAAAGAATCGGGCATGGAGCAGATTAGCAAGACTTGAAATTTTAAATAGTAACTCTTCTACTCCTGGTAAAAACCTATGGCCCTATTCCCAACTGTGCCAAAACAGGCTTGGTGGAAGCCTACATTTTTGCCTTTTCCAGGCTGTAATGATACCCATACTACTGATGGAATGAGTCAGAGAAGAAACACTAGGAAGGCCCCACATTATATAGTCAGTGGAGACCATATGGGGAGTATGGATTGATTGTCTTTTCTTTTTTTTTTTTAAACTCCCACCAGCAGTAATGAAAAGTCCTCTCCTTCCCCACTAGGGTAGAATAGAGAACATTCAGTGGAATGCAAGACTTTCACCACAGTCCAGCTGAAACATGGCATCCACAAGGTTTTATCTTGACTTTCTCTGCTGAAGTTCTAGAAGAAGAAGCCAGTGTTAAATCGAGTTAAGCCTAAAGCTGCCTCCTTACATATTTTAAGTTCAGCCTAAAGGTTTCTCTGTACAACGTGAACTATAACCTAAATGGAGTTGTATACAGACTGTAGCCTACACTTGTGCCAATCACCGAGTTTTGGCCAATCAAATGGAACCACTGTTTGAACTGTGTTCAAATAAGGCAAATGCTGAGCTGTATCCGATCCAGCTGTTTTTGTACCTCACTTCCGTTTTCTGTAGGCCAGTTTCCTTTTTCTGTCCATAAATCTTCTACCACGTGTGCTGTGCTCCCAACCTACTCTGGCTGGGAACAGCTGCCCAATTCACAAATCATTCAGCGCTCAAATTCCTTTAAATTTAATTTGGTTCAAGTTTTTGCTTTATCACCAATAAAACTGAAGGTTTAAATAAGATCTAAAAGTCTTATAACAATATCCAAAATGTTCCAGTTTCAATATAAAACTATCTCATCATAACAAGAATGAAGAAGATCTTAAAATGAATTTAAGACCAATAAATAGATGATAGCAATACAGTAACAGAGATGTTAGAATTATCTGGAAAATATTTAAGGCAGAATCATTAAAATGTTGCAATGAGGAATTACATAAATATTAGAAGGAAATGAAACAACTAGAAATTCCTGATAAAGAAAACAAGTCTCAGAAAAACAGTTAAGATAAAAAGAAGAACCAAACAGAAATCGAGAACTTAAAAATACAATGACAAAATTTTAAATAATAATGGGGCCAGGCGTGGTGGCTCACACCTGTAATCCCAGCACTTAGGGAGGCCGAGGCAGGTGGATCATGAAGTCAGGAGTTCAAGACCAGCCTGGCCAAGATGGTGAAACCCTGTCTCTACAAAAAATACAAAAAAAAAAAAAAAGTTAGCCTTGCTTGGTGGTAGGTGCCTGCAATCGCAGCTACTCGGGAGGCTGAGGCAGGAGAATCGCTTGAACCTGGGAGGCAGAGGTTGCAGTGAGCCAAGATTGCACCATTGCACTGGGCAACCTGGGCAAAAAGAGCGAAACTCCATCTCAAAAATAAATAAATAAATACATAAATACATAAATACATAAAATAATAATTGCCATGCTCAACACCTGAATGGAAGGGACAAAGGGAAGAGTCAGATGATTATAAGTTAGAAAAATAGAAATTCCTCAATCTCAACAATAACGAGATAGCAGGTTGAAAAAACCAACAGAGCTGTAACTATCTATTGAAATACAGCAAAAGATCTAACAGTCACATCAGCAGATTTCTGGAAGGATAGGAGAAATAGCATGAGGATTAAAAAGTATTCAAAGGAATAAAAAAATTGAAAGCTTCCTAAATTTGGCAGAAGATTCAAGAAGCTGAGTGAACCACAAACTTGACAAACCCAAAGTAATCCTCAACAAGTCATGGCATAGCCAAACTTTGAAAGTAAAGGCAAAAACAAATCTGGAAATCAGGGACAGAGAAACAAATTATACTAAGGGAAAACAATTCAGGTGACAGAAGACTTTCAGAAATCAGAAACCATAGAGGCGACAGAGAAGTGGTATCACATTTTTCAAGTGCAGAAGAGAAAGAACTATCATTGAAGAGTCTATATCCAGTATAAATATCTTTCAAGAATGAAGAAAAAAATGAAGACATTCTCAGATGAAAGAAAACTGAGAGAATGTATTACTAGCAGACCTAAAAGAATGCCTAAAGGAAGATCTCTACACAGAAACAAACAAAAAAACAGATAAAAGAAGAAACCTTGGAGCATCAGGTTGCAGGATACAAGATCAGCATACCAAAAATTATATTCCTATATACTAGTCATAAACATATAGATTTGAAATAAAAATACAATATAATTTAGAATCACTAAAAATAAATATATTTACATGAAAACCTAACAAATCATGTGCAGAATGTGTATGTTAAAGACAACCAAATCCTGAATAAAGAAATTAAAATGATCTAAATATATGGAAAGGAATAACATGTTTGTGGAATGGAAGACTTGTCTTGGTAAAAATGTCAATTATTTCCAAACAGATATGCCAAATTTATGCAATTCTTATTAAAATCCCAGTAGGTTTTTGTAAATATATCTAAGGTTATTCTAAAATCTGTATTGGAGAGCAAAGGAACTAGAATAGCCCAGCAAATTTTAGAAATAGAATAATGTAGAAAACTTCAGTCTAACCAATTTTAAGATTTATTACATAGCTCTAGTAAACAAAACTGTTTGATATTGGTGAAAAGATAAACATATAGATAAGTAATACAGAATATAAAATTCAGGAAAAGATCCACAAGATACTTTCAAGAAAGGCCCCAAAGCAATTCAATGGAGGAAATATAACCTTTCAACAAATATTGCTGGAGTTTCTTTGGTGAAAAATAAATAAATAAAGCTCAACTGAAACCCTCCATGTTATACAAAACTGAACTCAAAATGGATCACAGATTTACCTGTAAAATATAAGAGCATAAAACTTTTGGGAAAATGTAGGAGAAAATCTTTGTGAACTAAGGCTAATCCAAGTGTTCTTAAACTTGATACCAAAAGAAAGATGGATGAAAGGAAAAATTGATAAATTGGACTTCAACAATATTGAAAATGTAAACTCTGTAAAAGATCCAATAAGAAGATGAAAATACAAGCTGAACACTGGGAGAGAACATTTGAAAACCACATATTTGACAAAAAATAGCATCCAGAATTTTTTTTAAATTCTCAAATCTCAATATTTAAAAAATAGTCTGATTGAGAAAATGGGCAAAATACATAAAGAGATATTTCATGGAAGAAGATATACATATGGTTAAAACCCATAAAAACTTGTTCATCATTAGTGATTGCGGAAATCCATATTAAAAGTAAAATGAGATACCACTACAGACTTATCAGGATGGCTTAAAGAAATAAACAAACAAAAACAATACCACATGCTGGCAAACGTGGGGAAACTGGATATTCACACATTGCTGGTAGGAATATAAAATGATACAGCCTCTCCACAAAACATTTTGGCCACTTCTTCAAAACACTAAACATTCAGCTGTTGTACAACATAACAGTTATACTCCTAAGGAATTATTCCCCAATAATGAAATTATATATTCATACAGAAACCTACAGGCAAATATTTACAGAAGCTTCATGCTTAATGGCTCCAAATGAAGCAATGCAGATGTCATTGAACCTGTGAATGGGTAAACGATTTGTAGTACATCCATACCTTGTAGTTCATCTATACCATGCAATCAGTAGTAAAAGGAATGGCATATTGATACCAGCAACCACCTGGTTCAATCTCCAGAAAATTATACTGCATGGATAAAGCTATTTCTAAAAGATTACATACTCTATGATTCCATTTATGTAGCATTTTTGAACTGACAAAAGCTAGAAATGGAGAAGAGAATCTTGGTTGTGGAGGTTAAGGAAGGGGTGGGGAAAGTTAGAAGCGGGTGTGACGTGTGGAAGAAAGGGAGCCCTACCACATGGTTGGTGAAAATGTAGAGTGACGCAAGCATTATCAAAAACAATATAAAGTTTTCTAAAGAAATTGAAAATAGAACTACCATGTAACCCAGCAATCCCTCTTCTGGGTAGACACCAAAGGAAGATAAAATCGTCATTGCATAAAGGCATCTGCATTTCCACGTTCATTGCAGCATTATTCACAATAGCCAAAATATGGAAACAACCTAAGTGCTCATCCATGGATAAATGAGTAAAGAAAATGTAGTGCCTATACACAAATGGAATACCTTTCAGTACGGAAAAAAAAAAAAGGGAGGCCCTGCCATTTGCCATGACATTGATGGAGCCGGAGAACATTATGCAAAATGAAATAAACTAGACACAGAAAAAAAAAACCCTGCATGCCGCAATGGAAGCATGTAGTTTTTGCATGGTGTACTTTATAGGTATAATCTGGAAAAAAAAAAAGGGTCAAATATACGGATATGGAGAATGAAACAATGGTTGCCAGGGTTGAAGAGGTAGGACATAGGAAATGTAGGTCAAAGGATACAAAGTAGCAGATACATAGACTGAAATAAGTCTAGAGATCTAATGTAGAACTTAAGGACTATAGTAAATAAAATTGCATTGTCTTAGGGATATTAACTGCTCTTGTCACCCAAGAAAGTAACTACGTGAGATAATAGATATGTTAATTTGTTTCATGATAGTAACCATTTTACTATTTATATGCATTCTATAGCATCATGTTGTGAACCTCACATATACACTACAATATTTATTTTTTTAAGTGGGTGTGGCCACAGAAGGGGAAGATAAGGGATTTTGGGGAGGATTGAAGTGTTCCATAGTTTGATTGTATCAATGTCAGTATCCTGGACATCCAAAACTGCCTGCTTATAATTTACAAACAGAAAAAATTATGACCTTCATGCAAATATAATTTATTCATGTCAAAGATTTTCATCCATTATTCAATAAAGGAATCAATAAGATGTTGCAACCCATTCAAATGAAAATTAAGACACATATACATGCATACAAACATGCAATCAAGAATGCTGAAATGAACTTTGTAATGGGTGCACAACTGGTTAATATCCAATAATATTAAAATACCAAATACATATATAATACTTATAGTCATTTTTTATAATGTTTATAGTCAATATTTCTAAAGGTAGAAAACCAATTGTATCTTTACAAAATAGTAATTTGCATTTGTACGGGCAAGAATCACTTGTCTTATTATTGACAGGAAATACTTTTCTACAACTTAAGTTCTATCTCTACAGATTTATATGAAATAGCGTAGACAGTCAATAACAATCAAAGGCATGCTACAATACTAGCAGGTAGTTTTCAGAAATTTTAGCAGACAATGCTTTGGACTGCATTTTAGAACACATTTAATATCTTTTTTGTGTTTCTATAATTGTAATATTTTTTCTTGAAACAAATTGGATACTTTCTCAAGGAAAATTTTTGGGATTTCGCTTGATTGGAATTTCATCATATTGAAATGTAAGTGCAATTAAGATCATTGTATTCAGGCACCAAGTATGTTTTCTATTACATGTCATTTATTTCCCTAGGTAGAGTTAGAGATTTTCTTGTAACTTTTACATATATGTGTGTGTGTGTAAATATGAAGATATATTTTATTTATTTATTTATTTATTTATTTATTTTGAGATGGAGTCTCGTTCTGTCACCTAGGCTGGAGTGCAGTAGCAGGAGCTCAGCTCACCACAACCTCTGCCTCCTGGGTGCAAGTGATTCTCCTGCCTCAGCCTCACCGAGTAGCTGGGACTACAGGTGCACACCACCATGCACAGCGAATTTTTGTATTTTTAGTAGAGACCGGGTTTCACCATGCTGGCCAGGCTGGTTTCAAACTCCTGACCTCGTGATCCTCCCACCTCAGCCTCCCAAAATGCTGGGATTACAGGCATGAGCCACGGTGCCTGAAAATATATGAAGATATATAATTAAATATTTTATTCACTCAAAAATGTATTTTTATATTAGTAGAAATGTTCCATTTTCCCATTATAAATTATATCTTTTTATTACTATTAAAGGGGATCAGGTACATTTGTATATATGTGAATAACAGTAATCTTCTCTGCTTACAGGACTTGATGTTTGCATTCAGGATAATATTATTATAGATATTAAAAACTTAATATTATAAAAATGAATACTATTGGTTTGGGTTCAAATTTCCAAAGGTAGTGACATTTATAGATTTTAAAACTAGAAGAGCTCAAAGACTGCAGTAAAGGTGACATGTTCTAGACAACTGTGTTAGAGTCAACACACAGCTCTAACAGTAAAGACAAAAATTCAAATAAAATTGTGTCTTGAATTTGACATATTTTCACATACACATACATAATATATGAAGGTGCAGGTGTATGTGATTTTAAATATGTATTTGTATTCCAATTAGATTAAATACTACAAATAGATTATTGGCTATAAATTTATTTTAAAAGCTCTTAAAGTTCATTGGCTGAAATATTACTTTTTCTTCCCTTTGGGACAAGGAGGGGTTCCATAAATGTATTTGCTCTATATGAGACATAGAGGGCATATCATTTAAAGAATAATAAATTGCCTAATGCTTTCTAATATCTTCAAGATACTATTTATGTAGTACATCAATAATAACTTCATAAATTTTCTCAAGCTTAAAATTTTTAATTCCTTAAAGTATGCCTTTTTCTCTAATATAGTCTTCATGAATAGGAATTACTTTGAAGTGAGAGTTGTAAGTTGGGGTACCATGATTGTAGTAATTACTAAGAACCATCTGTCAAGGCAGATTTCCAGGAGGGTAGATCACTGGGTAAGCAGCCTCACTTCACAGTAAAATCCAATTAAAGGCATTAAAGTTGCAAGCAAACTATCTCAAAATGCTGCAACTCCTAAGATAATTTCTATCAGTAACCTCCATTATGGGTCTCTTTGCTATCTGATTATTTGCCAACTGATTTAGAAAAATGGTTTCCATAGTCAAAGCAATTTGTAAGCTTTTCATAGATTCTAGAAACTCTTAATTTTACAATTATATAATACAAAACCTGTTAAAAAATACCCTGGGCTCATGTTAAAGATAATTTAGATACAAGAATTGAGATGAAGTGAATAAAATTGACACATTGGTCTTTTTTGTAGATAAACATTCACTGCTTTCAATTTTGTGGGGTGATTTTTTGGGGGAGGCACTACATATTTTTTTTCTGTTTTAAATACTTTTATTGTCCTTAAAGAAGTTGCAGATTCAAGACAATCAGTGTACAATGAATGAACGTGGGTGCCTGTTGGCAGACACTCCCCACAACCACCATTGCCTCCAAGCCTTTTCCTTCAATCTTAAGGAGACAAGGAGAGAACTTAGTAGGTGGCATTAATTGTAATATGAGACTAAATCAGACTCCCCTTTTTTTAACTTTTATATTAGTGTCCAGGTAAAATATTTTATCTCTAAGAAATAAAACACACTAAAGAGTTGATCCAACTGTATCCAATTTAATCTTTTTGATTTTAGATAATCTCTATGTGACTTGTATTCTACATATGTAAATATTGTTTCATTTACACTTTCACTTTTCTAAATGTGCCTAAGGATTACAGTAATTTAAAATGGCAATTATTGGCAGATGTATTATATATGCCAACAAATTGTATATAGAGAGATAAACACACTAAAGGAATTTTCATTTTAGAAACTTTGGAAATTTAGAACAGTTATCTCAAAAGAATCCCTTGGAAAAAGAGTGACTGATTATCTAACTCTAGTTTATTGTATATTAGAAATCTACTCTGAGAATATTATAATTCTATTTTTTATTTTATTTTTTAATTGACAAAAATTATGCATAGTTATGGTGTGCAAAATTATGTTTTAATGTATGTATGCATTGTTGATTGGTTATAACAACCTATTAACATATACATTTCCCCACATACTGATCTTTTTAATGTGAGAACACTTAAAATCTTTTTTATCAGCAATTTTCAATTATGCAATATGTTGTTATTAATTATAATTATCATGATGTGTAATAGCTCTCTTGAACTTATTTCTCCTATCTAATTGAAATTTGTGTCCTTTCATATACATCTCCCCAGATCCCCAGGTGGGTTTTTCTAATGCTGCTGTTTCGTTGTCAAGTTTTAGAGAATAGCTAATTACATACCACTAATTTTGTTTTTCTTTATTGAAACAGATTGAAAAAATATGTTTTTTTCAATCTATTTATAATCTACCTAATTTTTGTAAACTCATATGATAGTGCTTTGCTTATTTCAGCAGTATGCGGCATCTTATCAATTCTATGCAAAATAATATATTGGAAATTTAAAAGTGATAAATACGACATAAATTTGGAATTCTAACAGAGATCCAATATTTTTCTATATGAAATAAAATTTGGGGTAAGTTTAGAACAATTGATCAACATGTTGTAGACAATAAATAAACAAGACAGACATTAATATTTCACTTTAAATGGCAAACATCAGGCCAGGTGCAGTGGCTCACACTTGTAATCCCAGCACTTTGGGAGGCGGAGGCGGAGGCGGAGGCGGAGGCGGGCGGATCACGAGGTCAGCAGATGGAGACCATCCTGGCTAACACAGTGAAACCCCGTCTGTACTAAAAATACAAAAAAAAAAAAAATAGCTGGGCGTGGTGGCGGGCACCTGTAGTCCCAGCTACTGGGGAGGCTTAGGCAGGAGAATGGCGTGAACCCGGGAGGTGGAGCTTGCAGTGAGCCAAGATCGCACCACGGCACTCCAGCCTGGGCCACAGAGCGACATTCAGTCTCAAAAAAAAAAAAAAAAAAAAAAAAGATAAACATCAAATTGTTTTACATTTCACTGAATGATTATTTTGGTAGTATGTGATTATAATCTTGCTTCCTACTCTCTGTATTTTAATTTGATTGCTTGATTTGTCTCTATGAGGAAAGGCTTGTGCCATTTGGATATAATCAAGTCAGGATCACAGAACTATAAATATTTATAGTTTGAATATACTTCATTTTGTATTTATATACCCTATAGGCCTTTTGTGGGGATAGAATAATGCATTTCAAGTACTTTAAACAGTATCTGGGATATAAAAGTGCCCAATGATTTCTATACAATGATGATGATGATGATGATGATGATGATGATGATAATGGCAATAATTATCTAAGCCATATGTATCAAATGAATTATCTAAAGGATTCAAATACTTAGGTGTGGAACAAGAATGAAAAGGAGATGATATGACTCTCAGTTCAGGGATTTTCCATAAGATCACCCATTTGGTACCAAGAACAGCTCTGTCAAATAGATATTATTTGAAACCTCATTTTACAGATGAGGACATTAAGACACAAAATGTAGGTGACTTGTTGAATTTCTTTCATTGTGTGTGGTAGTCTGGTTCTAGTAATTGTGTTTTTCAGCTATATCCTTACTGGCAAATCCAAACAAGTCAAAATAAAATTGTACCTCGGGCTGACTAATGAAACACCTTCTGAACCTAGAGATGCAGAAGGTTATTCCATAGCTATGTTGCTCTGTAAGTGGATTTTGGGCCACTCGAATGACTACCAAAAAATTTGGCAAGACTGAGCCTTCTCAATGCATTTCTCCCATTCTATAAAATTTCTTAAGTTGCAGCTCCTCTTGTACCTCTTTTCCTCATCCAGATTTATATAATCATTAATATAAATTAATTGCTAAAATTCAAAATCCTTTCAATTTGACAGCCCACAAAGATTATCTTGACCATTATCATTAACAATTATGAGCAGAAACCCACTAATTAAATATATATACATACATATTTATATATGCATAATTCACCAACATCTAATTTCTTTATTTTTAGACCTTAAATATTGAATTCTGGCTTACCAACTATGTTTATCTGAAAAAGACATATTCAGGATTGGCCAAAAAGTTCACACCATTTCCCTGCCCTTGTTTATGGCAAAGATTGCTATTTAGTCATAACACTTATTTTCATGAAGTCTATATAAAACTTCTAACTGTGTCTCAACATAACATTCCCGGGAGTTCTGTCAACGACTAAGAATTGGTACAGGAATTTAAATTCTCTTGCTCTGACTACTTATTCTGTTCTTCTCAATGGCAAGACCTTGGTGCCACCTCCACTGGAAAGGTGCAAATAAATCTTATTAGCAACTCCTATAATACCTTTAGAATCTGCATGTGGCAAGGCAGTTCCTTACGATGCTGAGTCATTGGCAGCAGCGATTCCAGGCTTTAGATCTTAACTGCTACTAATGAAAATTCTCTTACGGCTTTCGGTGACCTCTGCCTAGGTCTTTGAACATCTCTCATCTCTTAGTGTTTATTTCTAAATAGCGTCTTTTTGAGAAGGAAGATGGGAACAGAATACCTAATAACTCACTCTAGAGAGTGAGTCTTTGCCTTACAGTTTCATGGTATCGGCACTAAATTTACTTTCTGGTGTTTGCGAGTAAGTACTTACCAATTTTAAACTTAAATGTGTGCATTATTTATTTCTAAAAACAGAGGGGATTCCATTTCATCATCATGTACATTTGAATTTGCTCCTTTTTGTGGGCGAGCAAAGGTTGAAATTAAAGCTAGGAGTTTGAAGAATTACATACAACCTTACCTATGACCAGACCTGTCTATATCATTCATCATATTTGGTAAAACATAATTTGAGAGTTACTATTTTCAGGTTAACTATGGTTTATGAAACTCTTTTAGTAGATTAAGAACTTTTTGTTTGCTTTATTTTGTACTTAGGACAATTTTTGTTAGTTTTATTTTTAAGATAAATGTTTATTTATTTTAATAATTGATCCAGGGGAACTTTGGTCATTTTAAAGCTAAAGCACTTTACCCTTGAATTTTTTCTTTTCTCTAGGGAAAATATAAAAATAATACATTATAATCGTTAACCACTGTTATGAAGTAATAGTTATTAATTTAAGTAAGTCTTGAAATTTATGTGCACCTTTCTCAAAAAATTTTTATACTAAGGCAATACATAAAATATAAAATGCTTGTAAATATATTATTAGAAATTGTGCCAGCTTGCTGTTTAATATTGCTTAAATTAACTCATGGCATTATGACTGGCATCATTGTTGCCAATCATATTGACTCTAGAAAAACTTACAAAAAGGCGCAGGACATTTTTCTCTTTGAAGGAATATACCTGGTTATGGTAAAAATCATTCGGGACTTCGTATGATAATAGGAAGTGTCCAGTTGGGTTCAGACATATGAGAAAGGAATTGATCTACAAGCACAATCACAGGAAATGTGTATTCTAGTTTGGAGAAAATTAATAGTTAACTCTTAAAAATTTAAATATTAAGTTAAATGTTAATTTAATATTTAATTCTTGCTGTGTTTGTGATTGTGGGAACTGCCTAATATATGAATATTTTTAAAACTCTCTTGCACTTCTTTAGGGAACAAGCTTCATGTTACCAGGTAGTGGCCTCCTCCTATGCTTGAAGGCCAGGAACAATCTATTGTCTTCCAAAGTCCAATCCTTCCTTACTAGTCATGCTTCCTGAAAGCTGTGGTGAAGATATCACCCATCCCTCTGAATGGTAGTCAAAATAAAATAACTACAAGGAAACTAGTAAAATAAACACATATTACTCTTCATATACCTATCCCTTTTATGTCATACAGAGACTTTTATGCAGTTAAATTTTTATTAAATATCCGAGGAATTATCAATGATTACTTATTTTGAATAAATTTAATTTATAAACATTATTATCGCTAAATATTTGTTTCTTGTGTTTAAATATATACTCCAGTGGTCTTGAGAAGATTAAACAAGAAAACATTTTATATGCACAAAATAAAAGAAGAGATGTGTACTCTAGTTTGGAGAAAATATTATTAGCTTTTAATATTTCTCAATTTACATTTCCTAAAAGCAGTGTGTATATATGTTTATTTAGCAAATATTACAGAATAAATTATGTCTAACTCACACTGTGATCTCAGCACTGGTCCAAGAAGAACTATAACTTACATTAAAGACAGTTTGCTGGACATTGAAAGAGGGTTTTATTATCTAATTTATATCTGGTTTTCTGGGGAAAAAAATATGCTTTCAAATGTAGTTTGCCTTCTTTCTTGTAGTTCCGTCATATAATTATCTGTCAATTTAAAAACTGCATACCATGGAATTAATTATGGAAATTTTAAAAGCTGATTATAGACAGATTAAAAAACAAGATTATTTTCTAGTAAGATTATTTTATAAGTAAGATAGAGATTCCTAATTGCTGGACAGCTGTCACCATTAGGATTTATTCAAACAGCTCAGCAGCAGAAGCCAGAAAGCAAAAACAACAGCTGCAAACTATACCTCTCCTCCACCCTTCCAACACACACACACTCTCACTCAAACATATTTATAATAGATTATTCCAAATTATTCAAGAATGCTATTTCTCAAACCAGCCACACATTAGAATCCACAAAAGGAAATTTTACAATAAATCAGTGTGTGAAGTCCACTCCATACCAACTAAATCCAATTATTTAAAGATGGTCCCAGGAATCAGTTTTTATTCAAAGCTCTCTAAGGTGTTTCCAATATGATGTCAGAGTAGAGAATTTAGATCTATTGTGAGTGGGTGAGCAATGGTTGAAATTAAAGCAGGGAGTTCACAGAATTACTCTTACTCAAAGCAGGTTCCACTAACCATCAGTGTCAGCATTACCTGGCTATTTACTTATTTATATTAGGGGTGTGTGTGTAGTTATAAATAATTAAAATATGAACTATTACTGCTTTAATCCTATCCTTTAAGAAACTGGACTTGCCATTATCCTTTTTATTTGTTCAGGTTAACTATGTTTTATGAAACTCTTTTAGTAGATTAAGAACATTAGGAATTATTCAAACAGCTGAGCAGCCCAAGCCAAAAAGCAAAAACAATAGCTGCAAACTACAACTCTCCCCACTGCCACACACACACACACACACACACACACACACACTCGAACATATTTATAATAGATTATTCCAAATTATTCAAGAATGCTATTTCTCAAACCAGCCACACATTAGAATCCACAAAAGAAACTTTTTCAATAAATCAATGTGTGAAGTCCACTCCATACCAACTAAATCCAATATTTGTAGATGGTCCCAGGAGTCAGTTTTTATTCAAAGCTCTCTAAGGTGTATTCCCTATATGCTCTCTCCACTTTGTACTCAGTAATCAACAAATAACTTCTGTTTTGCAATGAATAATAAACCTATTATTTTCTTTGGTGAAGTTTTCTGAACAGATTTGTTTATTTCTAAAAGTTTTCTGATTTTTTAATAAAATAAAGCCAATATTTCCATGTATTACATTTCCTTATTATTGATTTGATTGTTGAATATTATTACTAACTCATCTGATGAAAAATATATTAGAACCTCAGTTAAAACTCAGGTAGAGTTATTTCACAATTGTGTAAAGGTTTTATTTACCAATACATATTTTCAGGAAAATCAAATAACATCAGAAAAAGAATGCATTTCAATCACAGAACACTGGCCTATTTCATTATTTAAGATCACAGAAGGACAAATGTGCTATGTTAAATATCTCACTTAAGAAGGAAATTGGCAGATTATACCAAGGAATATAACAAATTAACTAAAAATTTAATGTCTACTTACATCAAATTTCTGTTGCACAGATGACAATATTTTTGAATTTTACATTTCCAAGATTATTTTATTCAAAGTTTTTTCAAGATGTATTTTAATCAATGTTGTAGTGTCAT
Source organism: Homo sapiens (assembly GCF_000001405.40). Taxonomy (NCBI): domain Eukaryota; kingdom Metazoa; phylum Chordata; class Mammalia; order Primates; family Hominidae; genus Homo; species Homo sapiens. The sequence continues at coordinate 29,458,741 of NC_000018.10, read as the reverse complement.
GAAAATAATTGGCGGCCTTATTTTCTGAAACATTGTACCTCAAAAGCCTGCTGCTTCTTGTTCAATTTTCTTGAATTAGTAAATCTTTTTAAGTCTATAAAATTTATCTCATGAGACCAGGCACAGTGGCTCACACCTGTAATCCCAGCACTTTAGGAGGCCAAGGCAGGTGGATCACTTGAGGTCAGGAGTTTGAGATTAGCCTGGCCAACATGGTGAAACCCTGTTTCAACTAAAAATACAAAAATTATCAGGGCATGGTGGTGGGCGCCTGTAGTCCCAGCTATGCAGAAGACTGAGGCAGGAGAATCTCGAACCTAGGAGGCAGAGGTTGCAGTGAGCAGAGATTGTGCCACTGCACTCCAGCCTGGGCAACAGAGCGAGACTCAGTCTCAAAAAACACACAAACAAGCAAAAAAACCAAAAAACTCTTAAGATAATGTTTGATATATTTGGGTATCTGTCATCAAATGGCCTAGTGACTTGTTAAAATTAAGAGCGACATAGGAAAAGGTAAGCGAAGAAAAGCATGACCAAGACTGGGGGCTGATGCAGGTAATCAGGATGGCGCAGCCTGTGCTGTCCCTGTGCCTTTACAAATTCTCCCTAGATAACAGGTGTTCAGAAGGTGAGGGCGAAAGAGTTATTTTCTAGTCTGGTTCCTTTTTTGTTTGTTTCCAAAACAAGACTGTAACAGTCCCCTTATGTAATTGTAATAAATTACCTATGTCTACAATTTTAATGAATTTCTGTTAAGGTTTACAAGCTTTTTTTTCTTTTTTCGCAATAACCAATGACAAACGCCCACACTGGTCTTTTGCAAAGAACAAGAATTTCACATCTTCAATTAAGCAGGCAGCCATTATGAAAGTTACCATATTAGTCTACAACTACATCAAAATCAACATTTGCATTGTGTATTAATTAGTGTATCAATTAAGTTACTGCAACAAAAAGACCCACAGCTTTAATAGCTCAAATAAAATAGAACCTTATCTTCCTCTCCCACACAACTATCCAGAGGAAAAGGGGAGGTGTTGGTGGTTAGGCTGCTCTGAACCACAAGGTAACCAAGTCTTCAGTTCCTTTCATCTGATTTCTGACATCTTCTAGGGGTATTTCATAGGAACTAAACTGGTTCCTATGCACTAAATTGCAATTCAGTCTCCAGTAGGAACAGTCAATCTCCCAATAAGGGCGTGGTGCAGCAGTTGCTCACAATTCACCTTTGACTTGCGAGAGCTTAGTCACAGGTATATCAGGAACATCTAAAACTTTCCACCGTGATTTTCAAAAGAGGCTGAGTAAATGTAGTCTCCTAACTGACTGTTGCGTACCTTGTTAAAATGTGTGGGTGTTTCATTATAAAATGAAGAAGAACAATATGGATACTGAGTGACAATTACCATTCCTTCACATGCATATATACTCAGTATGAAACTACTACATGGCATAAATCATTGGTTCATTTCAGATGTGTTTCTTTCTAAATTTTCACTCCTAAGCTAGTCAAGGTAGTTTCCTCATTGCTAGCCAGTGAGAACTCTAGAGCATTTCTTTGTAGCATGTTAGTCCTAAAAACCTTTCTGAGTTGAAATTAAAATTAAACTGCCCAGGAACCTAATGATACTTACTCTTTGCTTCCCTTCTGTATTGAATAGCTAGTTATGTTTGGCAATTTTTGTCTTACGTTTTTTAGAATTCCCTTTACTTAAATGGCTTCTTTGCACATCTTAGTTGTCATTTGGTTTTCATTTCTGTTTTCAAATGTTTTTTAATCCCTTTGTCTTTTTTCCCACAACTTTACTGATTATAAACTTTAAAACAGAAAATGGTTCAACCAGATTATTGGTTCACTCTAGACTCAAGCAGAAATATTTTTAAAATAAATTTGTTGTTTCCTTTAATGCCAAAAGACAACTATACTAGGTAATTGGTTTTAAACACACACCAAAATGTAAATACAAATTGTTATGTCAACAAAACAACTTAGAATATAGTAACACCTTCAAAGTTCATTAAAACAATAAAACTCTTTGGGCCTTTTATCAGTCACCACTAGATGACAGGGTACTAAAATTATCTGTGTCATTTCTTCTTTGATAATGAACTTTTTATTATTTTTTCTCTTGTATATCCTTTGTCTTGTGTAATCCAATAGAAAATATGTATACACTTTTGTGGAAAAGATATCATTTCTGATTATTTGCCTTTAACAATTTACTTATTATGTAATTTATAACTTCTCATAATATCAGAAACACCTTCTAAAACTTTTCACTGTAATTTTCATTCAAGGAAACAGAACATTAATTGAGCAGCTACCGTGTGTTAAGAGAACCTATCCTCGGGAATTCATAATTGAAAGAAGAACATGAGGTAAAAATAATATCAATTAAAAAGGTAAAATTGTGCTATGAGCAGGTTGTAAAAGCAGTGCAGAAGATGGAAACATAATCATTTGATATGATACAATGAGAACGCACTTTACCTCTGTGGTTTTTCTCTTTCCCCCCAATAAAAATATAACCCCTGTTTAATCATGATTAAAACATCAGATAAATCCCAAATGAGAGCTATTTTACAAAATACATGACTAGCATTTCTCAAAACTGCCAAGATGATCAAACACAATGAATGTCTGAGCAACTGTCACAGCCCAGTTGATATAAGAATGCAACATAGGAGTAGCAGAAAAGAAGAATCTGAGATAATCTTTGGGTTGACTTTTTAAAGAAAAATAGAAGCTATGCAGACTAACAAACAGGAAAGGAATAAAAGGTATTTCAGGCTAAGGCAAAAGAATTAGCAATGCTCTAGATATATGGAAAAACACAGCATGTTCATGGGACTTAAAACAGTTTCCCATGGCTAAAGAAAAGGTCCCATATGGCTATGATAAAATATAATGCTGGAATGTTATACAGGGGCCAGATGATAGAAAGCCGTCTGTGTTGGGCTATGAGATATCAATTATTTTTCTGAGTTCCATGGAGAAATTTAACTTGGAAACCCCAGGGGACCCACATATACAGATTTGATTTATTTCTATGAAGAATGCATCAGGTATGTGGAGGAGATTAAAGACAAAGTGACCAATAGGGAGGCTATTGATATAATTCAGGTAAAAGAAAATGTGACCTCAATTCTGTCAATGGCTTGAGGTAAGGGGGAGATAGGCAGATATTTGAGAGAATCAGTAGCAGTATTTTTTGAGCAGCTGGTTTTAAAAGAAAATAAGAGGATAATCTTGGGCATTTTTCAGGCAAAACTGACTGGGTTGAGGAAGCTGCTATTAACTGAAATAAGGAATGAAGGAGAAACTAAAAGTTTGGCGACAATAAACTGATATATTCTATTTTAGAATGTAGTATGGAGTCATCAAACTAGTGACAAGTTTGAAGGTAACCATATGTGACTTCTGGTTATAAAATTTACTAGTTCTGAAATCTTGGGAATGTTCTAAACTGCACATTTTGCATCTGTAAAATGGAAAGGCTATCACTACAGAGTACTCATGAGGCTAAGAAATAACACATGCTTAATGTCAACTCAGTGTTTTCCATATCAGAAGCAAGCAATAAATAGTAGTGGTATAGTTTGACTGTGTCCCCACCCAAATCTCATCTTGAATTGTAGCTCCCATAATCCCCACGTGTCATAGGAGGGACCCAGTGGGAGGTAATTGAACCATGGTGGTGTGTTATTCCCATGCTGTTCTCATCATAGTGAATACATCTCATGACATCTGATGGTTTTATTAATATAAAGCACAGTTCCCCTGCACATGCTCTCTCACCTGCTTCCATGTAAGATGTGCCTTTGCTCCTCCTTTGCCTTCCACCATGATTGTGAGGCCTCACAAGTCTGGTGGAACTGTGAATCCATTAAACCTTTTTTTTTAAATAAATTACCCACGTTGGGTATGTCTTTATTAGCAGCCTGAGAACAGACTAATACAAGTAGTAAATATCATTTTCATTTTATCATTATTCAGATATGTTAAATTAGCCATATCAGCAAGACATGTAGGTGAGTCAAAGTTCGAGAGTCAATGAACTATAAAAATTATCAGTGTGAGTCACTAAAATTAAAGCCATGGGAGTAAATGTAACTTTAGGAGATTATTCTATCTCTTAAGACCTTTTAACCCTAAGAATTCTCAGCAAACTTTAGGTAAATCCTGCCTCTAATCCTGTCTTATCTCAATTCAGGTTTTATTGCTCTCTTTTCAGTGCAATTGCCTGTATATAGTATGTGAAGAGGTAAAAGTAGTTTAGGAACTTCAAGTGAAGATTAAGGTAAACTAGTTTTCCCAGTAGCTTATCTGACATTCTCACAATTCCACTATCATTCTGCCATAATGTCTCTTTAGTGCCTGTAGCTTAATCCAGTGAGCAGCTTTTCCAGTCTTTTACTGACTTGAATTCTTAAAAGCAGTTACTACTGCTAACTAGATTCTTTTTGTAAATACTGTTGTATCTTCCCTTCTGAGACAACCAGCAGTCAGGGTTTTCCATTATCCCTTCTTCCCTCTCCTCAGTTTTCATGGCAGGATCAATACAAGCATCAAAATGTAGAATTTGTTAAGGCTTACTCCTAAACTCTCTACATATTTCATTGTATAGGAGTTTAAAATTCATATCTCGGGTAGGAACTGTCTATTCACTATCTCCATTTGGATAGCCCCATCACACGTGAAATGTGGTGAGACAGTTCATATTCTTGGCCCAAGATGGAAAACCCGAGTTATGTTTCTTCTAATCTCCATATTGTATATACCAATATTTCCTAATACTCTTTGCCTCCTATCTCTGAAATCCAAATAATTCTTCCTGAATCTACTTAATTCCCCTTAATTTAAAAAAAATGATTGAAATATATAAATTTAAGAACTTAGGAAGTTTGTATATGTTCCACATTCAGGTTATCCTATTATTAATATGTTACATTACATTGTCACAATCAATGAACCAATAATGATACATTGTCATTAACTGAAGTCTATACTTTGTTCAAATTGCCTTTTTTTGCCTAATGTCTTTTTAGTTTCAAGGTAACATATTATGTTTAGTCTCCTTAGATCCCTCTTAGCTGTTCTAGTTGCTGAAAATTTCCTTGCTTTTGACGACCTTGACAATTCTGAGGAGTACTGGTCCAGGATTTTGGAGAATATTTCTCAGTTGGGACTTGTCTGATGTTTCAATTACCTTTATACAGGGATTATGTGATGTTTCCTTTGGGCAAGGGGGATGCTCAGAGGTAAAGTATCAGTCTTATCCCATAACATCAAGGGCACATATTAATAACAAAACTTATCAGTGTTTATGTCAACCATGGTCACCTGGTTAAATTAGTGTTTGTTTCATTTTTCCACTGTAGAATTATTCTTTTTCTTTCTCCTTTTTCATATTGTGTTCTTTGGAAGGAAGTTGCCATGTGCAGCCTACACATAAAGAGTGAACAGTAATGCTCCCACTTGTTTAGGGTAGAGTCTTTATATACGTTATTTGGAATGCTGCATGTGAAATTTGTCTCTTCTTGTCCATTTTCTTATTTAATTGTTTATTAAATCACTATAGATTCAAGGGTATTTATTTTATAATTTGGCCTCTATGTACTATTATATTAATGCTATTGTTTAAATTATTCCAGCTTTGGCCACTGGAGCTCTTTCTGTTGGCTACTGTGTCCTTTCGACATAACCCATCATTGTGTTTTGTTTGAGCACTTCTTACTCTGTCATAAAAAGATGTTCCAGGCCGGGCGCGGTGGCTAACACCTGTAATCCCAGCACTTTGGGAGGCTGAGGTGGACGATCATCTGATCTCGGGAGTTTGAGATCAGCCTGGCCAACATGGTGAAACCCTGTCTCTACTAAAATTACAAAAATTAGCCAGCCATTGTGACAGGCACCTCTAATCTCAACTACTAGGGAGGCTGAGGCAGGAGAACCACTTGAACCTGGGAGGCAGAGGTTTCAGTGAGCTGAGATCGGGCCACTGCATTCCAGCCTGGGTGACAGAGTGAGACCCTGCCTCAAAAAAAAAAAAAAAAAAGAAAAAAAAATATGTTCCAGGCCTATCTTATATATTTCTTGCCACAGTTGGTTAACAATCCAAATTTCCCTGTTTCCTTTTATTGGAGAATGGTGTTAGAAATCAACATCTGGGTCTAAGGGTGTTTTTGCTACTGTAATGTCATAGGTTCTAGGCCCTCTCAGTGAACAGAGCAAGGGAATATATGTGTTTATACTAACTCGTGTGTGCACTTCTATCTGCAAATGTTTCTACATGTACCATGGCTCATTATAATCTTAGCATGAGTTCTAATTGGAGTCTCCATCTCTAATCCATTACCATGTGGATAATTCTAGCTTCCCCCTCTTTCTTACCTATAAATTCTCACTGCAATAGTGTGTAACCTGGCTCCCATCAGCTATGATCCATTTATTCAGTTGTTCAACCCCAAGATGCAGGTATAGCAGCATAAGAATTGTCAGTTCCTGCCCCTGGGATTAAACTTTATCAACTAGAGTACAGTGATTGTGTATGGTTTCCCCCCTTTAGTTTTACAGACTCACTAATTTGTAAAGTTTTAGTTTAGCACACCTCCTTCCATTCACCTCACCAGTAAGATTTTGTACATTTGTAGTAAATTTAGATTCCTTTTTTTACAGTTTGCATCCCATTCTGGGAACCCCTAACCAGTTAAATAACTTTAAGAAATTGTATACATTAAGACACTCTGTGCTATAAAGTTATATGGATTTTGAAAAAAATACATAATATCATGTATCCACCCTTACAATATTATATGGAAAATTTTACCACCCTAAAATCTCCCCTATGCTTCAACTATTCAATTCCTCTGAATCTCTGCAACCACTGTTTTATTTGCAGTCTCTGTAAGTTTGCCTTTTCCAGAATGTCATATAAATGGAAATGTAGAACACATTATCTTTTCAGACTGGCTTCTTTCACTTACCAATATATGTTTAAACTTTATCCATATCTTCACATCGCTTGATATCACATTTCTTTTTATCATTGAATAATATTTCATTATACAAATATATCACAGTTTATCCATCCACCTACTAAAGGACATCTTGGTTGCTTTTTCAAGTTGTTCTTCACCTTGTAACCCACGTATCTTTTCAGGATGAAAATCCTATGCAGTCATGACCACTCCTATATAATCCCACTATTGTGACTATAAATATCTGCTCTCTGTTCTTAGATTCCAGGCTCCAAATTATTATAGTAAACTTTTTTTAACTTAAATGTCTGTATTTCTCTGCTCTTACAAGATTATTTGCTCCTTATGAATAGTTACAATATAAATTTTATACCTTAACAATTTTTTTCTTAAATTAATCCAAATTCATTTAGAAATGTGAAGCACCATTTCTGTTTAGATCTATTAGCACAAAGTAAAAGCAAGCAAACTAAAAACACACTGAGCCCAAATATGTTTATATGGGATTATCTTTGTGAGTATTTTATGAGACTATGTTGTTCCTCCTTATAATGATGACATAACTTATTTTCTGCAGTTCTTATGTTAAAATTTTAAATATTTGACCCCCCTAAAACTGCATTTGGTGAAGAGAAAATAGGAATTGAGGAGGAGTTAAAGATGATTATTTAATCTGTAAAATTTAACATGGTATCATATTACATCCTAAAACCAAATGGAAAAATTGAATGAGAGCTGGATTTTTTTGACATCACCTCATTTTGTATCTTTAGAACATGAAAATAATAGCTTTAACTGAACTATTCTTAAATTATATTTTCCCCAGAGGATATAAACACTTTTCAGGCGGCTTATTATATTTGATGATTATAATTCCATCAGTTTGACTAATTAAATTTTAGTTAAATTGAGATAATGTTTTGGTCTTTGTGATAAAAAGAAATTTAAGTAGCAAATACTTTCTCTTGCTTCTTTTGAAAATCTAAACTTAGATCAACTACAAAGAATTATTCCAAAATTATTTTATTGCAATGTTTAGATCAAATGCTTCTGAGTAAATAAGTGGCTTTAATGCCACATTTTACAATACTTTTTAAGTATTGATAAAATAAATTTATTTCCTCATGGAGAATTCTTTGTACATGTTCATGTCAAATCACAATTTTCTATAAAGCTTACATCGCAGAAAATATTCATAGTTTCTCTGGAATATATTTTTTTCTAAATCTCTGTGACTTGTATAAAAGATTACTAAAATCAGATGAGAGACACGTGAGGATTTCAAGAATAAGCAAGGATAAAATTGTGATAATTTCATCACTAGTTAAAAATCTATCCTGGGTCATCATTATAAATTACTGTTTTCCCAAAGTGTTATTAAAGTACCATTTTGAGTGCTCTTTATAATTAGAATTCATTAGTGATTCCAAATATACATGTATTGGTCACTAACAAGTCAAATGGTTATCATGGTAGAATTAATAAAAATGAATAATATTATTTGCTATGAAACCTATTATAACGTTGTAGAGTGAAGAAAGCATTTTTAAATGGGAAACTTAAGCAGCCATAATTTTGATATTTTAAAATGTCTTGTTCAATTTCTCATAAATGGAAGTTCCAAGGAAATTGTACTACAGACAAACAACGCATGGGCAGACAAGAGAGGGTTTGGACAAATAGCTATTTCACTGAAGAGGATTCTTACAAGTGTAATGATTTAGCTAAGTGAAAAAAAATAGTGAAATTCCCAGATTTAAGGAGACTAGGAATATGTAAATATAAAACATGAATCTGGAAATAATTCCAAGGAGACCTGAAAAGATCATTCCAGAAGGTCAAATGTCATAGATAATATTTGGGGAAATATACATGAAGCCTTAAGACTTCCATACAGTGAAGTTCTTGGCCTTACCCTGCATTCATTATCATTTATGGCCATTTATTATTTCACTCTTGTAAGACGTACAGTACATGCTAGATAAAAGAGTTCAGAAATATCAGAAAATACTCTTATTTGGTAAATGAACTTGAAACAGCAAGCAAAATATAAGATACTTAGTCCAACGATGAGGAAAACTAAAAAAAATGCTATCTACGTCAAATAGAAAGTGTCATCCAGAGGTCAGACATTAAGTCAGGAAACAATAATTCAGTCAACACAAGCTGATCTGGACCACAACATAATCTTAAGTAAAGCTGGAAAATTATAGCTGTCAGCTTCTTGGCTACTTTTATACTATCCTATGGAAAGCTAGAGTAGAATCTTATACCTGAGAAGAACTGAGAACAGTTGGTTAAGTGAGGCAAGTATAGGGAGGCTGAGTGAAGATGGACCATGTTAACAGAAATGTTTCTGTATATTTAGGCTGTTACATGCAGACTTACAGACAGATATATGCCTAAAACTTACATGATTCATTGTTTGTGGAAGTAAAAACTCTATAGCACAAAACAAAATAAATTACTGAAATATATTTTCCTTTAAAAATTAATGGAGATATTTAAATTCTTTGTAGGTTTTTTATATTTCACTGTCATACACATTTCTATTAAGGGTGAAGCATGGCAAGTAAATAAACAAACAAACAAACAAACAAATAAATAAATAAATAAATGGGGGATCAGGACCTTTGTGGGAATTTTCTAAAATTGGATACATCTGGTGTGTTTTTTGTGAAGCTGATGGCAATTTTCATCTAACGAATGGATCTCTTACACATCCCGTGATCATCAAAGAAGGAGATTTTATGTGGGAATGTCTTCTGAGAACAAAGCAGAAAAAACACTGATAAGAATTACTGAACATCAAACTATGGCTCATTGCACTGATTCCAATGTAAGCAATATTTCTTTTCAGTTATTCTCATCCCTAGGGCCATAATTAGTTAGAAAGAAAAACACTTTAATGATACTATATTTAATTGTCACTGGAATACTTCCAATGATAATTTTTTTAATTTTGTAATTGATAAAATCCGCCAATAATTGTTACATGCTTTCTTATGAAATTCCTGTACATTATGTAAAAATATAGTTAAAATATATTTGAACAAACCATATTATAAAATATGGATTATAATTACAGTTAATCCTCTTCTTTTACTTTATAAATATTAAACATTTTTTACCTACTGTTAACTAAAAATAGAATCACACGCTAACTGCTAAACCAATTTGTCTTAGCCGTATGTATTTTAACTTTCGTTGAATGCATACAGAAAATTTGATAGTGAGATGAGAATTTACTGGCGTTGTCTCTGATTGCTTTAGCAATGATTATTACTTAATATTTCCCCAAAGCAAAGCAGCACATTTATATATGTTTAACTAGTAATACCATGCATTTTATACTTTATAAATAGCACAATTTTAAAAAAATTACATCATCGCTCATTAAATGAGAAAGACTATTGATTATCTTCTTTTATAACTTATTATAAGTGGGTATATTAATTACATCCTCATCATTGGATGTTACCCTTTCATAAAATATTATTACTTAATCTTTTCTAAGTATTAATTATTTTTTCCAAATGTTTTTCATAATATACCTCTAAAGGTTTTGATATGTTTACATAAATTGAAGACAGCGAAGTTGTACTATTTCTAAGAAAAAGTATGCCTGATCTCACTAATTAATTTGACGTCGAGATAAACTTTGCTAAAAACAAAGCAGACACTTTCATAAATTGAATGAATGAAATCTGAATGTCGTTGTTGTTAACTAACATATTAAAGTCAATGAAGTTGTATTTAAAATATTGTATTGCCAAAGATGTATTGAAATTAACACTGTACTTCATTTTTTCTACCTTTTTCTTAGGATATTCATTCAAAAGAGGTACCTCTAAGTGAAAAGAAAAACAGGTATAAGTAATAGACATTTGAGAAGTCTTGGTATAGCAATTTGTATGCTTTTCAGAAATTGTAAAAATAAATGCCCCTAAATGACTGAATAAAACATAGTTTGCCTGTTGGTTCAGTTGTTTTTAACCAATTTATATTAAAATTTAATAAATTGTCAAGTGACAGATTTTTTAAAATAATTTTTGCTGATAATTTCCATATGATTTTGAACATATAAGTCAGAAAGAATTTAAATAACTCTGTGACACTGATTTAGCGAAACACTCTCTTTGTGAATGACCTTTGCTCTGAGAATACCAGTCATAAAAGGATCACTGAAGCAAATGCAACAATATTCCAACAGTAGGATTCAGTAACCATCAATGAGGGCATATATATACACATTACATATATAAACTTATTTATTTTTGTAAATATATAATATTTATGTATAAATATATACATGTACATATGTGAATACTCAAAATATACTATATATAGTATAGACATATATGTAGTATATACATATGAATATGTATACACACATACACTCAGGGAGAAGGTTTTGTAAAGTAATTTTCTGTTTATCAAAAGCAATTATCAGAAGCATTTTCCTGTCATTCACGACTTAAAATGAGATTCTTAGTAGCTTCAGAATATTTAATCTTATTGATATATATATATAATTTATTAAATAATTTTTTAAGGGCAGACATTTAGATAATTCCAATTTTTGAAATATTATAACCCATATCATATTATTTCATTAAGGTAGAAATAATCATGCAGCATCAAAATATATTAATATATTTTATAAATATATCCTGAAACTTATATTCACAATAATGGTACTATATATTTATATCACTAGAATGTGTGCATTTATTTTACCTACTCTTTGCCAATTACATACATAAATTGTTTTTTATTTATCTTTCTTTGATAATTGGTGAGGTTAAATATGCTTTCCAATTCTCTGCATTTTACTTTTTTGTTGAACTGTATCTTAATTCTTTCAAAAGATTGTATTCATTAGGCTTGAGAATTGATTATTTCCATCTTTTATCAAACCAGTAATCATTTGAATTGCATGAAAAACAACTCTGGCCATAAATATACAAAATATCTAATATTATATAGGATAAAGTATATTTTCGTTGTGTATCTTTAAAGGTAGATTTTTAATGGTAAAAAAGAGACACAAATGCACATATTTAAATTTGTTTGACAACAGTTTCAAAACCCATCCTAATGAAAATTTAAATGCTTATGCATAAACATAAAAGTTCTAAGAGGTTTTTTTCCTGAGTGTTCCTATGTCACAGTGAAGAATTAGGGGGTAGATAAATAATTCATTCCTCTAGAATTGCCTAGTAATACTCCAAATGTCTAATAATCCAAAAGGCAAAGATGTGCAGGACTAAATCCATTTGTACTAATTTTAGTACAGGATTATAAATATACCTAATGAAGAGAAGGAAATAACCAGAAAATATGACAAATTAAATCTAGATGCTTAGTTTCATTTGACCTTTTTTATACTCACAAAATGTCAGGTTATATGGTATTGTTTATGTCGTTCGCTGTCTTGATGGGTCAACATCCTCTCCCTGAACTTGTCTTAAATATTAATTCTTGGATGATCATTGACCCACCAAGGATTATATTAAAATGTGTAGCCAAAAGATTACTGAAAGCTGCAATTTTTTTTCTTCCAGATTACTTTGTCTCTTTCACCGGAATCAAGCCACGAATGATGTACGTTCCCTTAAAAAACTTTCTTCTGATTTTGGTGAAATCTGTTTGTGTCTTCTCCAAAATTTGTGATGTGGCCACTCCAAAATTTGTGTTTGTGTCCCCTCCAAAATTTGTATGTTGAAGCCCTAACCCCCACTGGGATGGTATTTTAGGAGACTGAGTCTTTAGGGGTAATTAGGTTTTAGATGAGGTCATGAGGGCAGAAACCTGATAATAGAATTACTGTCCTTATAAGAAAAGAGAGACTGGAGGTCTCTCTTACCATCATGTATGGATACAGTTAGAAGCCATCAGTCTGAAAATAAAGAAGAGGGCACTTAGCAGGAATCGACCAGCACCTTGATCTTGGACTTCCTGGCCTCCATATCTCTGTGGAATAAACGTTTGTTGTTAAACCACCAAATCTCTGGTATTTTAGTATAACAGCCTGAAATGACTAAAACAACATCTTACACTTAGTCACTAGTGTTGTATGTACCTAAGTAACAGCAGGTATGGCTGGCAGGGTCTTCATGCTTTTGATTGTAACTTACATGCATATTTCATTGACAATTAAACAAGCATTATTTAGTCACTTAGGCATTCCTAAGGAATTTAAAGCACAATAAAAATAACATTTAAAATATATTAGAAATTCTTTTTAAACTGATTAATGCTTTAAATTAGTTACATTGATTCAGATTGAATTAGCATAATTTTTACATTTTTTTTGCTGCAAATATCATAGATATGAAAGTGTGGTTGAAATTCATCTATCTAAAAAGATATCAATTTTCAGGAAGTTATTTTAAAGATTTTCACATACATCAATTACAAAAATGCAAAAATCATAAGTAGAATAAAATTACGTGTTTAAAATGCAAAGTAATTCAATAAATTCTGGTAAACATTTAATGGAAATTACTAAATTGGTTAAGGTAACATGTGTAACATATATTACTAGAAATGTGCAATATGTTATTCTTGATTATAGTTATTTTTAAAAGATTGAAAATCATGACAATGATTAAGAATGTAATTGTGGAATAATATCTAGTAGCATGTGCATATCTTCAGTGTTCCATTCTTACTCTTGTCTAGTTTTCTATTTTATTTCTGATAGTTAAATCTGTGAGAAAGCTACCTATATGGAATTAATTGTGTAGTTTATGGATACCATTAAGTAAAATGACCTTTCAATAAATAAGCTAAGATTACAGATTTGGGTCAATGGTTATCCCAAATCTGCAATCTTGGCTTTCTTTACACAAAATTTTGAACAACAGACGAAACTGGTAATAGAAAAATATGAATTATGAACTGTTTTACTGAGAGACTCATATTTATGTCAGTGAATGAAATTTCCATGTTGTCTGAGGTATCTTATAAGGAAGAAAAACACTCAAGGCCAAACAGCTTCTTTGCTCTATGACAGATTATGTAATATACTGTTAAGGAAAAAAATATATACATTACTATATGTGTAATTTTATTTTATTAGTGACATTTGTGTAGTTTTACAACTAGACGTACAGAGAGTACACCAGAGAATTAGTTTCAGATTTATAGACAAAATTTATTTCACTGGTGAGTCATTGTGTTTTCAGGAGAGATGACGCTTAATGAGAACACATATGTTTATGCTAAATAACCTGTAACGCCAACTGAGGTGGCACAGTCACCTCAACATTAGGAAGATTGATTTTGCCTCAGTGTATCACTTTGCAACAGAAGTACCCTTCAGGTAAGTTGAAAAAGTTATCAAGCATGTAGTTTAAATGAGCAGTGACGATTCCAAGAGAGGCAAGAGAATTGTAGCTTGCCACTGTAAAAGCATTTCGTCTTCCAAAAAAGACAAGGAGTAATCTTTCAACATAAAGTTGACTACATATTTTGGCTACTGTTTTCACCTTTCTTAATCTTTTGCTTGTTTAATAACATTTGCAAAGAAAAATATACCTTTTTTTATTTTAAGGATAAGATACATTACCAAATAGCATTATATTCTGTTAGGTACTAATTGGAAGGAGTACTTAATTATCATTTTTAGAATAACGAGAATATATTCAAGAAATTCTGTGGGTTCTTCAGGTGCATTTGTTTCAAAACTAGCATTGTACATTATGTTAATTGCAACTTGGCTTTTCCATAGTCTCTTTTGACAAGCGTATTGATTCACAAATTTATTCATCAAACACTTCTCAACTCTTAAGCTTTATATTTTTTGAACTAGTCAATCCCTTTGTTTGATCAATTTATCTTGTGTTTCATGTCTTTGTTTAATTCTCCTCAAGTTCTATCTAAATAAATTAGATATAATATTAATATTTTCCTTTTTTCCTGAATGAATTCAGGTAATAAATCTATAGTTAGGTATTTCAGCAACTGTAATGAAATGTTTGAGAAAAAAAGAAATTACACATAAGAAAAATTTACAAGCATAACACCTTGTAAGTATTGAGGCAAATTTCTCAAAAATAGATTCTTCTTACTCCAGATATTGGATGTAGGAAATCTTTCTTTCCTCGAATTTTCCAGTAAATTTTCTTCCTAAATATATTTTTAGAGATTCAAAGCCAAATGAAAAGCAAGCACAACAGCAAGGGAGAGAGAAATATGGAGAGGAGAGAAAAGAGAAGAGGAAGATGAGAGGAGAAAACTGTATTCTTCTAATGTAGCCTCAGAAGTCACATACAGTCACTTCTACCTCATTCTATTCCAGGGAAGCAAACAACAAAGGCTGGCCCAGAATCGAATAGAGGTAAATTAAACTGCCAAACCTCATCAAAGAGAACTAGCTAAATAATTATAGTACATATACAAGCTGCAATTCTATATAGCTATTAGAAAACGAGACTTGACTACAAAAATTATTAAGTGAAAAATAAAGGAGCAGAAGAGTTTATATAATATGTTATTAAGGCAAAAAAAAAAAAAAAGAATACATACCTGAAAAAAATGTTGGAAGGAAGCTAATAACAGTGGGTGGCCTGGGCCATGTGAAGTTGTTGGGCAGATGGAGAATGACAGAAATCATTTTTTAAAAAATGATTTTGTTTACATGTTTTGCATTTTAATTTTTAATTCATTCTGTATCCAAAATTATTTTGTATAAATATATTATGCCAACCTGAGAAATAATTATATTAATCAGTTCCTTATGCATGGAAATTGTCTTGCACTCTGCCCTGCAACATTTTGAAGGTAGGGATAACACAGTAGCATATACAACATCCTTCAGAAAGTATCAGAATGTATTACAGTGTATGAATGTCAATAAGAACAAAAGATACACCTAACACTTGACAGGTAGGTTATTTCTCATATTCCTCTTTCATGATTTTGAAGCAGAAGCAGATCTATTCTTTTAAAATGTGGAGTGTGCGATAATTTAAACAGAGTAAGGTATAAATTAAGACAATCATTTTAAAACTCAAGTTTGGAAGACATTTTGTTATGACAGCCAATATACCTGAGGGGACACCATTTTTCCATTTGTGTACTGTTTAGACCATAATTATCTCACAAAGTTCATGCAAAGGTTATAGTGAACCACAAGGTTTATAGGGAATTAAAGATCTATTCCAGGTATTTTTGGAATGGAATATTTTCTATCAATAAATAATTTATGTATCAAAATTTTATTTTCATATTATTGCATTAGCCTGTCTTTGGAAATTTTATTTAGCATGATATACAAATTTCATGCATTTCTTATTTTACAGAGCAAGGGTAGCAATTTAAAATATTTCTCATATCACTAAAATGACATTTAAATTGTTAACTAAGATACAACTCAGTTGTTTTATTATAATCATGTATTAATTGGACTCTTTTTACTTTTAAAATCAAGTATCCAATCTCTCAAAATGATTTTAAGATATGCACACAATCTATCTGAATATGTAATGTGTGGTATTGTTACTCCACGTTTAATATTATTGTTTAAGATATGACGTACTCTGCAATTCTACAAGATTTCAAGGTAGGATTTGATGGTTCTTTAGTATAAATCATATTTACATTTGACACTAACCACGATGTACGATGGACAAATACAATGTTAGGGTTATACAACAGATTATACAGTGATAAAATACTATGCCAAATATTTTAAATGCAGTAAAATATATATTGGGAAAGAAGGATGAACTTGTGTCTTCTCCATTTTGTGCTGGAAGGCAAATTAGAGGTTCTGTGTGGTATAGAGAACATAATATTGGACAGCAATAAGAATATATATGGTATAGATATTTCTGCTACTGAAAGTAAATTCCACCTAGGAGAATCAAGATTACTGATCTCAGTTTCCTTGTTTCATCTACAAATGAAAGCGTTATACAAAAATGTCACCAAAGTAGCTTTTAATTTTATCTTTATATGGCTAGATAAGCATTCAAAATAAAAATGATAAATAAATTAAGACAGAATGAAATAATATGGCATCAGTGCTAATACAAATCTTATTTGTAATAAGACATCCAGTGAATGGCAGAAGTGTTTCATGTAGAGTTTACTGTTCACTGTCTTTCATTCATGATGTACTGATTTTCAATTATTAGAGATAATCCATATGTACACATGTGCTTATACATATTTCCAAAATTAACTGATATATGTACATGTCAATCAAAATATTTGAGTAACTGCGTGATATGGCTTGGCTGTGTGTCCCCACCCAAATCTCACCTTCAGTTGGAATCTCCATGTGTTGAGGGAGGGACCCTAATCCCCACGTGTTAAGGGAGAGAGGTGATTGGATCATGGGGGCAGTTTCCCCCATGTTTTTCTTAGGATAATGAGTGAGTTCTCACAAGATCTGATGGTTTCATAAGTGTTTGACAGTTCTTCCTTCACACACTGTCCCTTGCCTGCCACCATGTAAGATGTGCCTGCTTCCCTTTCACCATAATTGTATGTTTCCTGAGACCTCTTCAGCCATGTGGATGTGTGAGTCAATTAGACCTCTTTTCTTCATAAATTGCCCAGTCTCAGATATTTCTTTATAGCAGAGCAAAACAAAATAATACATAATAGATATTTCCATTGTCCTTTTAACAGCTCTTCTTTCATGTAAATGTTTCTTTAAGCAAAAATTGATGGAAAACACTATTTACTGTCTCATTAGATTCAATATAAAATATACTATACTATAGAGTATAAAAGGTTGAAGTGAAGACTTTTGAAAACAAGAGTAAATACATTATATACTATATTTTTGAAAAATTAACCAGAGAAAAAGAATCTACCCAATCCGTCTTCTATCCCCTGAAATGATACAGTGAGTGTATTAACCTGTCTGTAGATTTGTACAAGGTAATTTGAAATTTCATTTTAATTTGGGGAAAGACTTAGCAATGTAGAAAAAAGAAAGCTAGTTGAAAACAGAATTATTGATTGGGTTTGAGAATTGATTTAGGAGATAGGAAGGTTAGAGAAAAATTTTCAGTGATCAATAATAAATTAAGGGCAATTAGCAAAGGAAGAAGGCTAGAGAAAGAGGCAACATAATATCACATCAGGGAGATTTAATTACTGAGCCTAAAGCAAAACTGCTACTTAGTTAAGAATTCTTGTTAGTAATGAAACTAATTTATCCTTTTTGACCCATTTTCTAGAAAGCCTCTTGATCCAACCTGAATACTAAATCAGGCAATTAGTGTGAAACAAGATATCTAGGTTTCTTAAAGATATTCGTTTTATTTTTATAAAATTAGACAAGAAATTCTCCAACATGCCTTTCTGAGAGTTTAGGGCTCAGAAATAAAAATTAAAGGATTTGAATCAACCCAGATATAAATCAAACAAAACGAAAGGATTCCCAACCCTGTCTTTTACTCTCTACAAATGAAACAGGCTAACCATGGTATTCAACTGGGCAACATTTCCAGTATTTTATTTCATAGAATATTCTGTTCACATATTCTAATCCTTTTATCCCTCCAAAATATCCCCTTTGGATTCAGTCAACATATATGTTCATCATTGATTTGTCGCGTTTTATTATGTGATGGAGATTGTTTTAAATACTGGTGATAAAGCAATGAGTAAACATAAACAATCCCTACCTGCTGGAAGCAAATTATATTCTTGGGAGGATAACATAAATTAACAAAAGAAATCAGGAAAATGTGTGCTATTTTGCACTGTGATAAGTACTGAAGAAAAAAAAAAAAAGCAGACAAGCATAATTGCGAGCATGGCAGGTATTGCAATTTTGTATAGGGCAATCAGGGAAGTGGTGTTTAACTTTTAGGAAGTGGTGTTTAACTAAAGACCTGAGAAAGGAGCATGAGTGAGTTGTGAAGATATCTTGGGGAGACTGTTTCAGGCCAGAGAGCAGCAAGTGGCAGGAAGTTGGAGAATGTCCCACGTGCTTGAAACAGATATTTACAAAGTAATTTGAACTTAAATTTTAGGAAAGACGTAGCTGAATGGAAATGAAGTAAGCTAGATGAAAACAGAAATTATTGATTGCATTTGAGAAATTAATGTGAGACATTGGACATTTAGGGGGCATTGTGTTTTTGAAGAATAGTGAGGAGGACAGTGCGGCTGGAGCCTGTTGCCCAGTAGGGGCAGTAGCAGAAGATGAATTGGACAGCTCCTCAGCTTTATTGAGTGCCAACTGAAAAGGAACAAGAGTGGAAGCTATTGCAATAACCCACATAAGAAATGACAATGGCTTGGGGCAGAGTGGTAAACCTGGAGATAGGGAAAAGTGATTAGAGTCTGGATATATTTTTAAGGCAGAGCCAAAAGAATTTTCTGCAATATTAGGTGTAAGAAATAGGAGAAATAAGTGAGTCAAAGATGACATCAAGTTTTTAATCTAAGCATCTTACAAAGATGTCTGGCATCCACCAAGATAAGGAAAATTGCTGGGAAAGTGAGTTTTAGAAGGAAGTTGAGGAGTTTGATTTTGGGTGTATTAACTTCAGAAAGTCTATTAAATATCCAAATGGAGATTTCAAGTAGGCAATTGGGATATATGTATATGGAGTTCAGGAGAAAATGACACAGTTGGAGATAGAAATTTGGGACCATCAGTCTTTAGATTTCTAAAAATGGGTTTGGGAGTGATCACCTAGGGAGTAAAAGGAGATGAAAATTTCGTATATTTTCATTTTAATGACTGAGCCGTGGGCCACTCTGATGTGCAGAAGCCAGGAAGATGAGAAGACACCAACAAAGAAACTGCTAAAAAGGGGCTAGCAGGTCAAATCTTAGAATCTGTTTTTTTTTTTTTTTTTTAGAGGGTAACTTGTTTCTGAGTTTGAAGCTGAGTTTTTCATGTTTTTTTTTCCTCTGTGTCAATGTCATGTTGATATAAATGATATCTTCATTACTAATCCACTCTTGATTTTATATGGAGCCCACAAAAATAAGCATTCTGTTTTTTTTCCAAACTGTAAATGGTTATTTTACAGAAAAACCTGAAAAAATAACCTTAAATAAATTTCCTCAGGATGTAGGAGAGAAAGAGTTTGCACAGATAATTTATTGGTTCTGGATAATCTAGGGAAGCTCTGATTTCAAATATTGTGTTGTCCCTATATATAAGCTATAAACATTTCACCAGGGCCGGGTGCAGTGGCTCACACCTGTAATCACAGCACTTTGTGAGGTACAGGCGGGAGGATCACTTGAGCCCAGGAGTTCACGTGACAGCTCAATGTACCCTGGGCAACATAGGAAAACCCTGTCTTTACAAAAATTTAAAAATTAGCTAGGTGTGATGGTGCTCACCTGTGATTCCAGCTACTCAGGAGGCTGAGGTGGGAGGCTTGCCTGAGCCTGGAAGGTTGAGGTTGCAGTGATCTGTGATCATGCCACTGCACTCCAACCTGGGTGACAGAATGAGACCCTGTCTCAAAGCAAAGAACAAGCAAACAAAAACCACTTCACAGAAATTTCAATATGAAGGTTTCAAAAATGCATTTTCCAAATTTCCTTTCAAACCCAGAAGTGACACCAAAGTCTCTTTCAATGTTCAAGGCATTGGTAAAATATACATAAATTTGTGTTTCCATATATATGAATAATATATTATCAGAATGTATTATTTTACATGGAATAAATGTTTAAATAAATTTAACTGTTTCAGTAAGATTAAATATTGTATGTTTAGTTTACTCTCTCACTCTCTATCATACACACACACACACACACACACACACTATGCAGATTTAGTTGAGGAAAAAATTAACTTTATTGGGGAAATGAAATAGTCAAAAATGTATTTGCTTTACTTTTAAAATAAATCCCCAATCTTTTGAAAGATCTACCAGGTAGACTTTGAGTTTTTTTCTTATTTGATGATTCTGTAGAAAATAATTAACATTTTTACAACATATTTTCAAAAAAAAAAAACAGAATGTAGGAACATAAAGCATTTAATTTTCTTAAAAATCACCACCCTGCCCCATAATTACATTAATGCATTTTCCCATGGCTGCAAATTATTTACACACTACAAAACAACAAAGTAAATGTTTCTATCTTCTACATAATTGGAAATAAGTGCATTATGCACATGTCAAACTGCATGTACATGATTAATTTTAATAATAATTTAGTACTTATTATAAAAAGACCAAACACTTATAATTATCATGTTTTATAAGATGAGTAAACTAGGAAGAACTTTACAAAGCAACTAGTGTTTATATTTTCACAGTTTTACAAATGAAAAAACAGAGGCCAGCATAGATAA
The DNA here is from genome assembly GCF_000001405.40 of Homo sapiens. NCBI lineage: Eukaryota > Metazoa > Chordata > Mammalia > Primates > Hominidae > Homo > Homo sapiens. The sequence goes on along the minus strand of NC_000018.10, from coordinate 29,437,458 downwards.
AGTTTAAAGCCCAATTTGACATAATAGACACAGGTTCTAGATGTCTAGCCATTATTCACTTCATTTTATCAGTGACTTAAAATTCAATCATATGTGAATCCTTAATTATTATGTTTGCATGAAAAACAACTTTAAGTTGCCTTCCAAAATAAAAGTCTTGATTATATAAAAGATACATCTGTATTTAATACACTTTTAAAATTTTAGAGCGATTTTAGATTTTTTTTAAATTGTAACAATAGTACTGGGTTCCAGTATACCTTTCACCCAATTCTCCTCAATGTCTGTATTTTCTATTACCATGACATATTTGTCAAAACTGGTCAAATAACAGTTTATATTTTTATAAACTAAACTCCATATTGTTTGGATTTCACTTGTTTTCTGACTGTGCCAGGATCCAATCCAGAATACCACACTGCATTTAACCATTGTCTCTTCATTTTTCATGACCTGCACAGTTTTGAAGATTGCAAGTACTCTTCGCTATCACATCATTTTCAAGGGAATATATGCAACAAATAAATATGATTAATCACTCATGATGTTTAAATTGTTCACTTGGTTAAAATAGCTCCACTTTAAAATTACTTTTCTCTCCCTTTGTACACTTTATTAGTTGAAAACGTGCCACTAAGTCCTGCTCCTCCTTCTGGAGAGTAAAGCAGTAATTATTTAACGTCCTCTTATATATTTAATAATTTATTATATAAATGTGTTCTCATACATATTTATTTTACACTTTGAATTATAATCCCAAGATACTTGACTTACTTATTGGCTCTAATTGTCCCCACTGTGGCCACTAGGAGTCATTTCAGGTTGGCTCCTGTGCCTCATTGATGTGCCTCAATCCTTTCATGTTTTGAGTGCTTCCTTGCTTTCTGGTACTTCAAGATGCAACAGTGTCATTTTATATTTTCCTGTCCCAGCTATAGAATCAGACCTTTGTGCAAAAAGCCCTGATTCCCTTTATTTGAGAATGCAATTTAGAAACTCCTATCAAAGTTCAGAGTATGCTCATTGAGACTGAGGTGTCACTTGTGAACTGAGCTAGCAAATCTACATATGTATACTAACCCATGTTTACATGCACACATAGATACACATACATAGATATTATTATTCCCATATCTATGTATCTGTGTTCCTATTAAGCTATAGATGAGCTCATACTGATGTTTCTAATTCTACCAGTGCCACACAGTTCTTTCTACTGTACCCAAGTATTTGTCACTCCTAAGGTGAGTTCCGTGAGTCACTAATGTCTCTAAACCATCTCCAGTGGAATAGGGCAGCAATTCTTGTTTATTCACCATATTTTAGTGGCTATACTTTGCTCTGATTTATATGAGTAGTTAGTTTCTATGACAAAAACATTTATTAAGCATCTAAAAATACTGGTCCACCAATAGCACATTATCAAAATGTGTTACCAGCCAATTGGATGCATTATTAGAAAATTAAAATCACCTCTACTAAGAGATCAAGCTTGTATGACAGCTAATTTTACTTTCTGAAAATAATTAAGCATTAGTGTATTCATGCATGGATGTTTAGTCATGGGCAATTATCAGATGAAGTGAAGCATTTGAATGTATATCAGCCATTTTCAAAACATTTGAGAATAGTGTTTTTTCCATAGTATTTTCTCCATTTGTAATATTAGGAGAAAATTTTGCTTAAAAATTATTTTATAAGTTTCACAGAAAATGAAATTGACAATGAAAGAGAAAATATTGGCACAGTACATGGTGAATGGACAGAACATAATACATTTTTATTGCGAACTATCAATTCTAGATAATGATAACTACTATTTAATAGAAAGTACTGCACATTCTCCCTATAATTCATATGGCAGACATTTTATTTCAAATGCTACCTTGCCTCACACATATTTTATCTCATCATTAGAAGAATGTATAACTGTTATACAAAAATATAAAATTGCTTTTATTGAGATGCATATGGACCATTTTCCACTCCAAATTGATTTGCTTTTTGGCCACATAGTTTGGCATAAAGGAATAACAAAAAGTAATGTGTATATATTTTTTGGATTATGTGCTGCAGAGGATCATGGCAGGAACTTGATGATAATCATTTTATAGTTCTGAGAATAGACAAAAGAAGAAAATTGCAGACATGTCTAATTTACAGAGCCAAGTGTTATTTTGCAGGATTGTCTCATTCTGCCTATATATAGTTTCTTCGTGGGGATTCCAGCATGACATTCTTATCAATCATTTCTATAATTCTAGCCATATTAATCTTTAATAGTATCCTGATTGTACTGAAAATAAGTCAGTGTGACTGTCTGGAGAACTTACATGTTGGGAGTTGAACTTAGTTAACACATATGAAATTAAATAATATTAGTTCTTATTTATTAAGTTGAGAGTTCAATTAGATCTTCAGGCTTATGCTATGAGACCTTAAATTGAGATCATTCTGACTTTCCATATCTGTTTTTCCTTGTACGGAATCTAAGGTGGATCTGTAACAGCAAACATTACTCTATAGTAAGTGTTATTCAATTAATGTTATAGTCACTAGCTTAGACATAAGTAACATCAGGGATGATTTATAATCAGTATTGAGCTAAAATGCATTTCCTTTGCAGCTCAGTCCTTCGTCTGCATTCCACGAATTCTTTGCTTTCATAGAAATCATTCATTTTCTACTTCAAAAAACCATGGTGACATTGAAGTCATTTGAGTAAGTTTCACTATGTTTTAAATCTAGTCACTTAAAGAATATGTTTTTTATTTTCCCTGCTACGTTTATCCAGTACTCATGAATACAAATATTTGTAATGATAACCAAGATCTGATCTCATTTCCTTCTGAGGATCTTCTCATTTCATTGTGTGCAAAGATGAGACTCAAGGAATATATTTTTATCAGTAACTGTATAAGCATCCCACCCAATTTTAGGTGAAAACAGAGGTTGAAAGCTAGCCACCCATAAAATATATCTGTTTATACTAGAAATGAACTAGTATAAACAGATATATGTTTATGTCTAAATGCTCATTGCTTTGCAAAATATGTTCTTACCATTTATTTATTTTTCACAGCTGGTTGAATCTTGAACTACTCTGTAACACTGCATGCCTTCCCACTGAGGTGCCCATTATATAACCTCCTCTTTGAAACTTGAAGAATGCTCCCACCTGCTGAATAAAATGTGAATGGAGATTAAAAACTTATGATCAAAGAAGTAAATGTTTATGAATAAAAATCCTTAGGTGTATGAGAAAAAATACTATACGTGTATATTAAAACACTTTCTTTTCACTAAATGTACATTGTATTTTAACCAAAAAAGTTAGTTCTCTCACTAGCTATATGTGAATTTAAAAGGTTTCAAAGAAATATTTGTTCAACATTGTAAATATAACTGTAGGGAAGTTCAAAATTACCCTCTGAAAGTTCACTAATTGAGTCCACTTTAATTGACAATAGACAGATGAATGGGAAAAAAGGCATACAAACTTATTACTGTGCAAGCACACAGGAAAAACAAAAAGCATAAAACTCAAAGAAGGGCCAGATGGTTGAAGCTTAAATACACTCTTCAAGAGGGAAGAGCAGGATTTGACAATTCTACAAGAATAGTTAATTTGTTTTGTTTTGTTTTGTTTTGTTTTTTTGAGATGGAGTCTCACTCTGTTGCCCAGGCTGGAGTACAGTGCCGCAATCTCAGCTCACTGCAACCTCCATCTCCTGAGTTCAAGTGATTCTCCTGCCTCAGCCTCCTGAGTAGCTGGGATTACAGGCGCGCACCACCACACCCAGCTAATTTTTGTATTATTAGTAGAGATGGGGTTTCACCATTTTGGTCAGACTTGTCTCGAACTCCTGACCTCATGATCCACCTGCCTTGGCCTCCCAAAGTGCTGGGATTACAGGCATGAGCCACTGCGCCCTGCCATAGAAATGGTTTTTAGGGGAGATGGATGGGCCTGAAGAACAAACAATAGACTGGACAAGTTTGTGTGTGCTCTGGGTGTGGTGTCCACTCCAATCTTCCTTCCTATGATATACATCAATTTTCCCTGGTTGATAAGATATCTGGGGAAAGGATTTATGACAATTGCATATCTTCTGGAGAATCTGGCCTTTAGGTAGATAAGGGAACTTCAGAAAAAGCCCTCCTTGGTTTTGCTGCTCCCCAGGTGATCTCCTGGGGTTTAAAGTCCAAAATTGCATATTCTGGAGGTTGCTTCCTGAGCCCCAGCATAACAAAATCTTGTCTTATTACTGGGTCCAGCTATGACTATTAACTTCACATTCTTGCAAAGATTCAGAGGATGTGGAAAGGGAATGTTAGAAAGGTGGACACTTGACACACGAAAAACATGTAATAGAGGGAAATAGCCAAAGATATTTATTTCTTAAGGACATGTTGGTATGATTTTGGGAAAACTGGAGAAAATGGAAAGTAGTAAATGACAGGAAAATAAAACTAGGTTAAAGTTTAAAGCTAGTAGGTAAGGAAAGAGAAATCTATAAAGTATTTTGAAATGTGAGAAGAGAAAAACACCTATTATAGTGCCAAATATATTCTAGAAAGGCAGCTAATGATTTTGTGTATTATATTAAATCTCACACAAAGTAGCAACAACAGTTGATTATTAAATGAAAAGATTTTAAATGCCAAATTTTGAGACTCAAATGAGTTAATTTTCTCATTCTCTTACATAGATTTCTAAGGAAGAATATTATAAAATTAAATCCTTTGAAAACACATTTAAGAAAATTTTACTATATAGGTAATTAATGATTATAACAAATGTTTGTTGAAAAATATAAAATCTATATAATTCTACATCTATAAAATTGGAATCCATAATTCCATTTTATGTCATGTAAACATGAAATAAGTCCATTATTACATGTCAAAGATAAATTCAAGCAACTTTTTAGTTTATAGTAAAATAATTTTAAAATTAATAATAAAATATAACATGGTAACAGGGATAATACAAATGACAGAAAAAAGCTAAAATTAAAGTTTTATTATATGGGATTTGGAGTGGCAAATATTATGAGTAGTAAATTCTGGCTATACACAGTTTCATATGTTAGGATCACTTTTATAGAAAACTAATCCTCACAGTAAAAGTACACGTAATTAATTAAGCCCTCTGTATACAGCCAGACATAATATATTTTACTTCAATTAAATTTAGTAAATCAAATTTCTGAAGAAATTTTTGCATTTCATCCAATTTATAAAATTTGTTAGTGTAAAATCATTTATGACGTCCACTAGTTTTTATTGAAACCTTCAAAATGTACTTTATTCTTCACCTTTGATGACAGTTATTTGGGATCTATGTCTCTCCGTTTCTCTGTCTCTCTATCTCTCTCTTTCTCTGCCCCTTTGAATAGTTACAAAAAAAGAACTTCTATCTTTTAGATTTTCTCTACTGTTCAGTTTCATCTATTCCTGATTTTATATTTATTGTTTCTTCATTTCTTCAGTTAGAAACTTAAATCATTGGTTTAAATTCTAAGTAATTGTTATTATTCTGGTTTTCCTCTTAATGATGATGTTGTTTAGCTTAGTTCTCATCTCCTCAATTCCCTGGCAACCACCACATTACTCTCTGTTTTAATTTTATATGTCAGAATATATACTCTAAATAATTTCAGTATTTTGAAATTTGTTGAGACTGTCATCCCAAGCCCAACATGTGAGTTATTTTCATAAGACCAACATATGGTTTATTCCCATACAAACACATACATTCATTTAAGCCAAATTGGTTAATGTATTCCTCAAACCTTCTAAGAGATTGTTTATTTTTGTCTCCCTGCTTAATCAACTATTGAAAGAGACGTGCTCACTATCCCACTATGTTAGTGAGGTATACACATTTGTAATTCCAACAGGTTGATGAATCAATTTTAGCATTATGAAATATTATTTATAAATTGTGATGCTTCTTGCTTTATGTTGTCTTTGATATTTATGTAGTTTCAATGAGAAATTTTGTGGTTAGTGTTTGTAAGGTATATTTTTTCAGCGTTTTGTGTTCAATCTTTCTGTTGTTCTAATATATAAATGGTGTTCTTTAAACAGTATAAAGATGGTGTGGTTTTGAAAGCAGTTTGAAAATCTTAGACTTTTTCCTTACGAATTTTATTCTTTTTACATCAATGTAATAAAAATACAGCTGGATTTAAACATTCAGCTTTATTTCTATTTTCTTAGGTCCATCTATTTTGTTTCATTTTCACTTTCTTTTATTTTGTCTAATTTGGAATTAATCAAATTTTTATAATTACATTTTATACTAAATTATTAGATACATATTATTTTAATATATTTTAGTTTTTATGAAAGAGACAACAAAATGTATTCTTAAAGCTTATAGACTGATTTTAAATACTACTATCACTAATTACGTAATAGTACTTAAACCTTATGATCTTAGATGTTTATCTGTATTCTTCAGAAATTTTGCACCATTGTTATAAGGCATTTTAATTGAATGGATAAAAACTCCATTACTCGTTGCAGTTATTATTTTGTGATATAAAATATGTTTATTTTCACCAACCTTTCTGGTGTATCTTATTTTATCTTGAATTTTTACATTTCCATTTCAGGTCATTTTTCTTCTTTCTAAATAACCAATTGGTTGTTCTTGTTTTAGTCTAGGTATGCTGACAGATTTAGCAACCTGAAAACATTTTCATTTCATTCTTTTTTTTCTTTTTCCCCAATAGGTATAAAACTTTGGTTTGGCAATTATTTTTTCTTTTTTTTTTTTTTTTCTATAAAGACAGAGTTCCATTTTCTTCTAGTTACCATTGTTTTGGTTGAGAAATCATCTGTACTTTTTGTTGTTCTTTCTTAGAAGATGAGGTATCATGTTTCTTTATCTTATTATAACATTTCCTCTCTCTCTTGCACTCTATTTGCTTATTTATTTTTGTGTTTTCTGCTATTTTACTGTGATGTGCTTAGGTGTTTTTAATTGACAGCTATCTTACTTGGGATTTGTTGAACTTGAATTTGAGGTATCTTTTTGTCATTTTTGAAAGTTTTCCTGCATTATTTTTAATATTGCTTTTTACATATTCTCTTTTCTCTTCCCTTTCTGAGATACTGGTTATATAGAACTTTGGAGGATGCACCATATTAGTCAGCTTTGTTCTTATTTTTCTGTTTCTTTATTTTCTAAAGAGGAGTTGTTGGATTTATTTTGAATGTTTGTGTTAATATTCTATTGTTGTTAATCAAATTACCACCAATTTAGTGGCCAAAAACAACATACATTTATTATTTCAGATTTTCTATTGATTAGGGATCTTGGCACACATTGACTGAGTCCTCTGCTTGACATCTCACAATGCTGAAATCAAAGCATTTTCCAGAACTATAGTCTCATTTGAGGCTCTTTCAAGGGACTAATAATCTTAATCCAATCAAAATAAATTGATCTGAATTCTCTTTCTCTTTTGATACTGTTTTTGGTACACTTTGTCAAGTGCATGATTGAGACCTTGGCATTTTTTGCTTTTTGTTTTGTCTACCTTAGCCCGGAAGGCTACAGTAGGTTCTATTCGGTCATTCAGAGCTCTCATGTAATTCTCATTTCCTGCCCTATAGGGATTTAAAATCTAAACAATAATAATAATAATAATAATAATAATAAATAGTGAAAAACTTGTATTTGAGGAAGACTCACTCCCCTGTACATCCCTGTTTGGTAAGTGCCATATTATTTTTGCAGATTTTATTCGTCTTTTTTGTAGCTTACATTCTTTTTTCCCAGCCTACTATGGAACATGAAACTTCATCAAATTTCCCAAAGGGAAGATTAACATGTGTTTCTGACCCTCAAATTTTCCATATTGTCACGTTGGCCCCATACATTACCTAAAATGTGCTTTATTCCAGCAGAAGTTTTCTTCTTGGGCAAGACAAATACTTAGCTTATCCCTCTTTCTTTCCCATTCTTTAGTAACACTGTTTAACATTGTTTCTTCCCCTTGTTTAGTAACATTCTTTGTTTAGTAACATTATCTACTAGTAGGGAGGAGGGCCGGAATTGTCTGCCAATCTTAAATAGTTTCTCTTCTTTTGGGTACGACATTAATAATTTATTCAATTAACAGCTCTTTCATATTTCACTGTGGTTTCAGTACTTTACATTTTATTTTTATATGTTTTTTGTTCTTGGGAGCATCAAGCTACTGTGTCCTACTACATGTTATTGGGGAGAAGTTTCAGAGTAAAAACGTGAACTTGCTCTTATACACTATAAAATATTGCATAGTCACCCTACTTAGCCAGTTTTCTTTTCTTTTCTTTTTTTTGAGACCGAGTCTCACTCTGTTGCCCAGGCTGGAGTGCAGTGGCACAATCTTGGCTCACTGCAAGCTCGGCCTCCGGTGTTCACACCATTCTCCTGCCTCAGCCTCCCTAGTAGCAGGGACTATAGGCGCCCGCCACCACGCCCAGCTAATGTTTTTGTATTTTTAGTAGAGATAGGATTTCACTGTGTTAGCCAGGATGGTCTGGATCTCCTGACCTCGTGATCTGCCCACCTCAGCCTCCCAAAGTGGTGGGACTACAGGCGTGAGCCACCGCGCCCAGCCGCCACTTTTCTAATTTTAAAATTATAAGACAAACAGATGCTACTTGCATCTCAATTTTACTATTTAGAAAGGTGAAGCACAAAGAATTAAAGCAAATAGCACAAGATCATACAGTTGGTGAGTGATGGAATCAGGTTAATTGTTAAATATTCACTCTAGAGATTGTAGTCTAAATCCTATATACACTTCAAATTCTTTCTTCATATTTAACATTTTCTACAGGAAAAAAAGCTGTCTTTATTAATTTTTATTTTACTTCTATTTATTTTTGAAGTCTAAATCCACCCTATTCAAGGTGTACAGGCATAAGAATGACTTACTAGTCTTCGTTAAACCACTGGTTTTATATACGCTCCCTTCTGAAAACCTACTAAAATAATGTTACAGGAAAAAATTCAAATCCAAAGGACAAATGGAAAGAGAAATGAGAAAATAGAAAATAAAATTTTAGAAGTTAGCAGATGGACAAGTGAGAACAAATTCACAGAGTGGAGAAAATTAAAATCTAATCCTGAAGAAAGAGAAACCAACAAGAATCAAGAGAATTTGTAGAATACATATTTCAGGAATTGGAGTCACTAGGTGCATTTTAATGTAGCGTTATAGGGTAGAACTACAAACAGAGTTTTCTTTTGATCAGCATACTTTTTTTTGAGTAATTGGAGTAAGAATGCTAAATCTTCATCTTTTATGATACAAAGTCAATTTTGTAATGTGTGTACATTAAAATTCAATAAGTATTATTATAGGTATCAAATTTAGAAATTAGGCAAAGTCAAATAAAAGCCAGTAAAAAGAAGTTATGATCTGTGTTCTCTGGGCAGTAAAAATTTATATAAGGGCTTGACTTCTTTTTTTGTTGTTTTTGTTGTTATGCCTTATAGTACTATTTGCCTTTTGACACTGTTTGCATGTCTTATTGCACGAAGCATAAACATTAAAATTGTTATAAAGCAGCTAAGCACGATGCCTCATGCCTATACTATCAGAGCTTTAGGAGGCTGAGGTGGCAGGGATTGCTTAAGGTCAAGAGTTCAAGATCAACCTGGACAGCATATCAAGACCCTGTCTCTACAAAAAATTTTTAAAATGAGCCAGGTATTGTGGCATGTGCCTATAGTGCTCTCTACCCCAGAGGCTGAGGCAGGAGGATTGCTTGAGTCAAGGAGTTCAAGGTTGCTGTGACCTGTTGTGATCATGCCACTGCACTCCAGTGTGGGTGACAGAGCATGACTCCATCTCCAAGAAAAAAAAAAAAGATTTTCAATCTGACCTGATATTCCCTTTAGATTCTCCACAAATCCCCATTTAAAAGGCTTTGGTTTAGTATCAAAAATCACAGGTGCATTTATTAGATCTAGTATTTTGTCGATGCATTTTTTTAATTTCTATTTTTTTTTCCTTTAACTCTCTTTCAAAACAGTTTGTGGAAGCACTGAACAACCATCCTCCTTTCCAAAGAAACTTCAGAGAGTAATTTTTCAAGTTAAACCATTACATAGGAAATCCGGGAATCTGTAGAATCCACTAGAATTCAGCAATGTCATTTTTTCAATATAATCTTCAGGAAAATATAGAGTATAATGGTGTGTGTGTGTGTGTGTGTGTGTGTGTGTGTGTGTGTGTGTGTACAGACGAATAAAATGCTTGTTTCAGAATATTGTTGCATGTTCCCACTGGTTTTATTTGGGTACTTGTCGATTGCAGGAAAAAAAAAAGAGGAATTTGTTGAATAAACTTGGGAAAGTGATAGAAAGGGATGGAAAACAGAGCCAGTGAAAGGGAAAAAACAGAGGGAAAATACAGCAAATGCATAGAGTTTTAATCTCAAGTTTCCTATTCCCCATGAGACTTTGACCACATTCTTGACTTGCTGGTTCTCTCGGTAACCAACTCCATTGCACTGGTCCTTTTGCTGATTCTTCAAGCTTTGACTTATTTATAATTTTGGCCCACAACTCAGTAGCCCTAAAGCACAAATTCACAACATCGTTTGTTTGACTCGGCCTCTGTGTCTTAATTCAATGTTTTTAGAATAGAGAATTTAATTTGCCTAGCTGAGAACAGGAACTGACCACTGGTGCAATCGGCAGTGACCAGGTTTATTGTGATCACATGATATTGAGGGCTAAACACTTCAGATTGTTAAAAAGGAAGGTTTACTAGGTGGCTGCATATCTGTGTTTAGTGGAAAATATGAACATCAATGATACAATTTAGTATGTTTATAAAATATTTAACAAAATTTGTGTTTTATAAGTGTCAATTTGTTTTGTTATAAATACATCAAAATTCAATGTAACTTAGTGTTTAAGGGCATGAGCTATGGGTCATACTGCCTTGCCCAATCTCTTGCTGACTCTGTGATCTTGAACAAGTGGTTGTGAGCATTAAATATATAATAGTGATTTGTGTAAAACTGAAAAATATTTGGCACACAATGACAACTATGTCAGTCTTTGTGAAAAAAAGAGCTCTGGAATATTTCATCCTTAAGGTGGTCATATATATACACATAATATATATGCTAATAGACTCATGTTTACATGGACAGTATCTATGTCTATATGTGTGTATTAAGAGAGAAATTATATTAAAAATTTCTACTGCTAGTTTGTAATTTATAATAAAATAAAGAATAACATGTATTTATTTGCTATTTTAAGAAAACAAGAAACTAATCTACCAGAATTAAACTAAAAATGTTTTCCATAAAAAAGTTTTAGTTAGAGAAATTCGCTGTGTAAAGAAATTGGACATCATGTAAAAGTCCAATGTCCTCCATTTTGTTAGAAAACAAAGAGAATACAAACACCAAAAGTTTCTAAAATAAGCATACAGGATATAATTCATATTCTCTCTTTCTCCTGTACTGTTTTCATTCTATTGTATATTCTCAAATATTATATTTACTTAATTCAAATTGTCCTTAAATGTGTTCCAATTTATGACTATTAATTAAATATTTTTTAGAGATACCAATAGACAAAAAAGCATATGATAACCTATAGTACTAGAGTCCCCACATAACTATTGTTAACAATCTGATACATATCCTTTCAAAATATTTTCCTATTGAAACACCAAACTATACAAAAATGAGTCTTTCAGCAATATTGTTTCATGTTGCTACATATTCTCTTGGTACATCATTATTAGTGACTAGATAGTAACATGAAGGAAATTTGCTTAACAAATCCCTATTGCGGGTCGTTTATGTTGTTTTCTACTCTTTACTATAGACATATTGCTGTTTTTTTTTTTCATAAGTATTTTTCATCTGTATACAGGAATTTTTTTTTTTTTTGGAGACAGTTTCACTCTTGTCGCCCAGGCTGCAGTACAACAGCCCGGTCTCAGCTCACTGCAACCTCTGCATCCCAGGTACAAGTGATTTTCCTGTCTCAGCCTCCTGAGTAGCTGGGATTACAGGTGCCGACCACCATGCCCAGCTAATTTTTGTAATTTTAGTAGAGACAGGGTTTCACCATTTTGGCCAGGCTGGCCTTGAACCCCTGACCTCAGGTGATTCACCTGCCTTGGCCTCCCAGAGTGCTGGGGTAACAGGCGTGAGCCACCACACCTGGCCTATGAATAATTCTTGAGGATAAATATATTAGCGAGAAAAGCATAAAAAGGATATGTGAAAGATGTGTAACATTTTATAGTGTTATACACATACTGCCTAATACGTATGAGAAGATTTATTCCCTTCATTATCAAAGTCGTAGGGCTTTTATGTTAACCCTTGCTAACTTAGCAGGTTCAAAATAAACCTTATTGTTATTTTATTTCACACTCTTTAATTACTGTTGTTATTGGTACACTTTTCTAATGTTGTCTCTTACGTATATTGATTTATGAGCACTGTTTATATATTGAGTACATTTAACATATTGATTGTTGAATATGTTACACTATATGTCTAAATGCCTGTAAACATTTAAAGTTTTTATTTTGATATAGTTGATTATGCTTTTGAAGCAAAATTTTAATTTTACATTTGGGTAAACAATTGCCAATGCCACTTCTCAAAGCATAAATGTCTAAATCCTTTCTTTGCTAAACTTACAGTTTTATCAATAAAATATTTTTTAAAACTTTCATGTTTGCTACATGATAGGCCTCCTATTTAGTCCAAACTAGGTAAGAGAAGCCATCCAACACAATCATCTGGTATGTATCCATGACAGTTAAGAGACAGCAGAGAAACTTTCATTCCTAATCATCATCTGATAAGACTGTTTATAACCTTTCTTGGGACAGGTTGAGAGCGATATGTTTTTGAGTAGTTGCTAGTGGTATCATCTAGCGGTTTTCCAAGGATCATGAAACAAAATGACCTCTCAGGAATTGAAAACATACCAGAATTTTCATATAAGAGGATAAAGATAAACTTTTTCAAAAATTAAGATAAGGTTGGGTAAAACATTCTTTGCTATATTTACATTGAAATAGCATGGTAATTAATTTCTCCTAAGACAATGGCATGTTTTAGATTGCTTTGTATAAGGTATATATTTTCCTTATACATATTAATTAGATCTTGGCTGATAATATATCCTTATATAATAAAAAAGAATGTTTAATGTTAATAGAACCATGATAAATTGTATATTATTAACAATATTCCTGGATAGCTACAACTTTGGGAAAATTAACTAGTTACTCCCTACTGTCCTATCCAAATATTATAGCAAATTCTAAACTTACAGAAATTTTGAAGAAGAAATTGAACACTGCCTAATAAATTATGTACTAACAACAAAATCACTAAATATTTCCCAATATGATCTATCAAGTAGAACTAAAATGCATAATTAAAGCATATTCAAGGAATATGAACTGCTTTAGTTTGTATAAAACAGATCAAATGTAGGAGATTGATCAGGGTGATGGGAGAAATTATAGGGAAAGATACAAACCTTCTTGGAAGGCCGGGAGGTTTTGCAAAAGCTTTGAAATAAGATTTGGCTGAAGGCAGCCAGATTCTCTTATCCGGAGCCTGAGAGTAAAGGGTAGATAACAAGAGAATGTAAAAGAACTTATCTAGATAAATTTGTTTACTCCTGTCTCCAGAAACAAACCTTTGATCATTTGCTCACAGGACTGCTCTCTACTGGGGGGGTTGACAATGTTTATTACCCACAAATTGTGTTTATTCCAAGCCTTTGTCATTAAATCTGTACTAAATAAATGCAAGTGGGGCCAGCTTATGGAGGCAGCACTCTCTCGATAGCTGCTGGACTCTCTCATCAGCGTTGCAGAGCCGTGCGGTCCCCTAGCCACGTTTTCAGGCAAAATACCTGTGTCAGTGAACTTCTTCCATCCGTCACTTGGCAAGAGTCTCTGGGAAAGACCGGACGGGTGGTGCCCCGCATGAGGATTGCTGCAGCAGATCATGATGGAACCCTCGAAAATGAAGAAGAAGAGACTGCACAATCAGTAAGTCAATTAGTCATTGATACCCACTTGGGATTTCCAAGTTTGAGGGAATTGTTCAGGCTAGGATTTCATCATGGGACAACAGTTATCAGCTCAATAGAAACAGTATATAAAAGTATTGAAACAGCTGCTTAAAGCTAGTGGAGCCTCGGTTTTGCAGGCTCAATTAAGGGGCCTAATGTAACCTGTTGTTTCCCATAACCCATGGTTCCCAGAAGAAGGCACACTAGACATAGAGCTCTTGTAACAAGTTGGGAGAAATCTTAAATAACATAATGCACAAGGGCAACGGGTCCCAGTAACATCTCTAACATTATGGGCCTTAGTTAGGGTGGCTTTGGTCCCGTTCTACACAGAAGAGCCTAGAAAGGGAAGGGAGGAGGAACCATCACCTACATCACTGCCTCTTCCTTCTCCCTCAGCCCCACTGTTTCCAGGCAAAATTAACAGAGGAAACAGAGGTTTTGCCTGAGCTCCCTCCTCCAATAAATTGGAAAAAGACAAGGGATATGCTATAGCTATGGGACCCTGTCTTAGGCAAGCAGCATTAGGATGGGATCTCTTGGCCTGCCCAGTAGTGCAAGATTGACAAGGCAATCAGGCATGTGAACCCATTTCTTTGAATGTTTATAAAGAGAGAAGAAAAAGCATTAAAGAAAATGGAGCCACTAGCCCATTTACCAAAGAAATAATTGAAACCATGGCAGACAACTTCCATATGACCCCATGGGACTGGTCAGTGATAGCTAAAACAACTTTGAAGCCTAGCCAATACCTCCTCTGGAGGGCAGAATATGATGAGTTATGCGAACAACAAGCCAAACAGAATCAAGTGGCCGGGCAAGTCATAACAGCTGCTATGCTCCAGGGGATGGGTCCCCATGCCAATGTGCAACAACAACTAAATTTTGATCCCTAGGCCTATGCACAAGTGTCTTTGTTTGCTCTCAGAGCTTGGGACCAAATTCCCAAAAGCAGAGTTCAACAGGGATCTTTTATAAATGTTCAAAAAGGGCCACAGGAGCCATTTGTTGAATTTATCAACTGGTTAACCCAGGCAATTAAGAGACAAACTATTCACACCCAGGTTACTGATATCTTATTGTTGCAGTTGGCTTATGAAAATGCTAATGTCGACTGCCAGCAAGCAATGCAGGTAATCAGAGGAAAGGCGGCCACAGTTGGGTAACTTATATGAGCATGTCAACTGGTAGGGACTGAAACACAGAAAGCCATAATATTAGCTATGGCATTAAGGCCTCCTAAAGTGAAAAAGGAGAGAAACCCAAATTGTATTCTACGTGGAGAGCCAGGTCATATGAGGAGGGAATGCCCCAATAGTATAGACCAAAGTAACTCAGAAAAAGAACCCCTATTGGGCTCATCTCTTAGATCTGCCTTTCTTCGACCTTTTTACTTGGGCAGACACCCCCTTCCCAGCTTCTAATAGCATAATTGCTTGGCTAGGAGGGATTGACTTACCCTCAGTGCAGGCTCTCATTAATGGCACACACTTGATAAGGTGCCAGGTAACACTATATATCACTCCACTATCCTCCCACTGTTTGTAAGTTATAAAAGTTCTAACCCTTACTGTGTACCTGCTGAAACACAATTATGGCTACTTCATGGCAAAGGAAATGTCTTAACATTCTTGGTTGCAGGCAGCCTCAAACTGAGCAATGCAACGAATGCCACCTTCCCCAACATTCCTCCCTGTGCTGAAGAACAAAGTTGAAAAAGTAATGGGTTCCACTTTAGCTGGGAGGTCTGTCATGGGGGACAAGCCCGTAGCCTCCAATTAGGCAGTAAGAATATCTTAGGCTGGAGCCCCCATTGTCATTTGCAGGGTGATCACACTGATGGCCGCATCTATCATGGCATCAGTCACAGTGTCATAGCTATGTCCCATTCCCCTATGATTTGGGCTGATGGGGGGATGGGATATATGAGATCTCAAGTAAAGTCCATGCCACCCCAAGACATTTTATGGTGCCTGGGACATCTTACCACCTCCCTTAACACCCGGCATGGAACATATCATAATTCCAGTAACAATTATACTGTGACCGCTATTCATAATCACACAGATCAGTGCCTGATTTACACTACTCATCCATATGTTTTTTTATGGGAACTAATATTTTCACTACATGCCAAAACTCCACATTTGTGACCCAAGTGCAGGGACAGGCTTGGTTCACCTCATGTATCACTAATTACAATATATCTAATATAAATATTACTAGTGTCATGGTATTAAGGAGACAATCTGAGAGGCATTCCTACCAGTCAATTTGACGTGCGATTGGCAAGGTTCCTCTGTCCTTGCCACCTTAGAATATGCCCTATCCCAGGTCTGACCCAAAAGATTCATAGGCACACTTATAGCCTTAATAATCTCAGCCATAATCATCTTGGCAACTGCTAGTGTTGCTGTGGCCTCTATTACTGAATCAGTGCAAACAGCTACCTTTGTAGATAACTTGGCCAAAAATGTGTCTAATGAACTTCTCTTACAGCAGGGTGTAGATTAAAAGATTCTTGCATGCCTGAAAGCCCTCAACGCTCCTTACAATATGTAGGGGAGCGGCAAGATGCACTGGCATTCTGACAGCAATTAAACCGTGACTGGGAGCATAAGCACATTGTGCCACCTCTCTACCTTGGATCAATCAATACATAGTTGGGATGAAGTGAAACAATACCTCTGGGGAACCTGACCTGATAATTTAACAGCAGACATAAGGCAACTTAAAATTAAAATTCTAGAGTCCCTAAACACCATAGATCTACATGCCCAACAAACAACCATATGGAAGGATATGTGAGAACATCTCTCCTGGATAGACCCCCACTCCTGGGGGTCACTTTAGATTGGTAAAGAATGTTGCTAATTATGCTGATGTTTGTCTTATGTTATTTACTAATTCTAGGATGCCAAGTGGGAATACGAGCAATAACCCCTGCGCCAGACAAACCTGTTGCTGCACACATCTGTGCTCTTCAATCAACAAAACCTGATGCAAAAAAACAGAAAAGGGGGAGATGTAGGAGGTCAGTCAGGGTTGTGGGAGAAATTATAGGGAAAGATGCAAACATTCACGGAAGGCTGGGAGGTTTTGCAAAAGCTTCGAAAGAGGATTTGGCTGAAAGCAGCCAGATTCTCTTATCTAGAACCTGAGAGCAAAGGGTAGATAACAAGGGAATGTAAATGAACTTATCTAGATAAATTCGTTTACTCCTGTCTCCAGAAACCAACCTTTGATCATTTGTGCACAGAACTGTGCTGTACTCAGGGGTTGACAATGTTTATTACCCACAAATTATGTTTACTCCAAGCCTTTGTCATTAAATCTGTTCTAAATAAATGCAAGCAGGGCTGGCTTATGGGGGTGGCATTCTCTCAGTGGCTGCTGGACTCTCTCGTGGACGGTGCAGAGCCGTGCATTCCCCTAGCTGCATTGTCAGGCAAAATATCTGTGTCAGCGAACTTCTTTCATCTGTGGGACAGACTTGGCAATCAAATAGATTTTCAAATTTACTGTATATTTGTATTGTTTATTTCACTGCTGTCAAACTTGGTTTCCCTCCTCTGCTTCTATCAGCAACACACTTTTCTGCCTGTTTCTCCTTGGACAATTGCCTGGAGGGTTTCCTAAGAGGGCAAAGTACAATGAGCAAAGTCATATTTTTCTCTTATAATCTTGCATAGTAAATTAAAGAAATAGGAAACAATATAACTTTATTTAGATGAAGCTAAGAGACACTTGTTGCCATTTAAAATTCAATAATCACCATCATCATTAAGCTACGTTTCTGGAAAGGGACAAACAGGCAAATTGTCAAAGTATTATTGCTATTTATAAAGCATGACCTGCATTTTGCTATCATTTTCAAATGTATAACTTTCAATATTTTCTAAATAATTTTTGAGAATTTTCATCTCTCAAATTTTTAGCAGAGACTGCTCATTGCTTTCCAAAATCTTTCCTCCACTCCATGTTAGTAAAATAATTCATTGGTGCCCAGGTGAAAAACTTCTCTTGCTACTCCGCGTGGCCCTGTGGGTACTTCCTGGCCATTAAATTTTAAGGGCAAGAGTTTTGTGGGACATCCAGGAAGTCTCCTTGAAAAGGTCGTGGCTTTTTCTACTTCTTCCTTGTATTAATTCAGTTGCCTAGTGTATGAATGTGATGGCTGGAATCATCCAGGACAATGAAGACTCTGATTAGATCCTAGAGATGCTGAGTTGAGCAAAGATGAAGCCTGAGTCCCTCCAGAGTGGTAAAAATACTCACCCCACTTTCCATGGCCTATTTTTGCAATTATTTTGGGTGAGAGAGAAGTAGACTGATACCTTGTTCAAGCCACTATTATTTCGGATTTTTTTTTTTTACTTTATGTTACAAAATACAACCTCTCTCTGACAACAAGGGTGAAACCTATTTTCTTAACATATTTTGGACCAGATGGAAATATTAATTCATCTTCTCATTAATTACATAACGTATGGCAAACTAATTATTTAAAAGGTTAATACAAAAGAGTATAATAGTTTTTTAAAAAATTCCATTAATTCTGTTTGATCCAAGAACAACCTTCTATTTATCTACAAGTTTTCAAAAAATGTAATACATGCATTTATTTTAAAATCTACTATGACTATTTCATTCTAAAACTCTACTCCATATTTTGGTAATTAATGAGTTAAATATACCCCCAAAATTATTTTGGTGATTTCAGTGTTGCATAAGTATAAATTTAGGAGGATGTCAGTTGAAGGACAAGAGAAGCCTTGTTATTTTTTTCAATAGCAAATTATTTGTAGGTTTATGAATGAGATTTTGATTGTTTGGTATGGCAATTTCTGCTTATCTGTTGTTTCACTTTGCAAGGCTTCATTTACCTGTAGTGAACTGCAGTCCAAAAATATTACATGAAAAATTCTAGTAAGAACAATTTGTAAGTTTTAAATTGCTTGCCTTTCTGAGTAGCATGACAAACTCTCACATGGTTCCACTCTGTCCTGCTAAATATGTGAATCATCCCTTTGCTCCTCATATCCACTACCCACCCATTAGTCACTTAGTGGAGGCACTTATTAGCCTTCTTGGTTATCAGATCCACAAACCACAAGAAAAAGAAGGGTAAGTACAGTACAACAAAATATTTTGAGATACAAAGACACAGAGACCATATTCACATGACTTTTATTACTGTACATTATTATAATTTTCCTATTTTATTGTTAGTTATTGTTAATATCCTACTGTGGCTAATTTATGAATTAAACTTTATCATAAGTACAGATGTATAGGGGCAAAACATAGTATATGTAGGATTTAGTACTATCTGTGGTTTCAGACATTCACCATGGGTCTTGGAACATATCCCCTGCAGGTAAGGGGGACTACTGTATTATTAGGCTTTTCTTTCACGTTAAATGTCCCAAATAGATAGACAATGTACCCGGAGAAATCACAGACAATGTAAAACAAAGTACTTTGTACTTTTACTCTGCTAAATTCTCCTAGCACAAAGGCAAAGCATTGGATGTCTAAGAAAAAGCATATAGCTTATGCTCAAGGAATAAATAGGACTTCCCATTATTCTGGTGTTTTTTTGTTTTTTTTTTAATATATCAATTCTAGGAAAGCCAGAGTCTCCCTCAGGAAGTTAAGTCTTAAAGTAAATTCAGTACCTGCTTTAGAATTTGAAAAGAAGACCATGCACAAGAGCATTACCATTTTACATACAGCGACCCCAACCATTACCATGGGTAAATAGGGCTCAATGTTTGCAATATGACATTATTAGTATTTTCTTTTCCTTTTGGGGAAAAGAGAGGGATGGATGATCATACAAAGCCAGTAAAGGAACAAAAGCACTGTTGATGTCTGGAGAAAAGAACAGAAGCCTCTCCTCTCTTCAACACTGGCTCTCCTGGCTTTAATTTGTTTTTCTTCAACTGCTGGCTTTGACAGTTGAGCCCATAGTCAGTCATGGACAGTCCATACAATTCTAGGAGAAGTATCAATTGTCTACCAAGGAAGGCTTGTTGTAATGACATGTGGCTTTATATACTGCACATACTATTGTTTCTTTGTAGACCCTTGGAACCAGGAAACATGACACTTTAACTATCACCCGGAGCCCTCTAAACAGCACATTAATTTACCTCAAGGCCAAATATTTCTTAAATTATGCACTAATTTTATATATTATTTCCTAACAGAGGATATTTTTTTTTCCTATATTGTACCCTATTTTATTGCACACGTATGATTAAAAAATTTAGGTCAGTTGTGGTGGCTCATATCTATAATCCCAGCAGTTTGGGAGGCTGAGGCATGAAGATGGCTTGAGCCCAGGAGTTTGAGACCAGCCTGGGCAACATAGCAAGAACCTAGCTCTCCAAAAAAAAAAAAAAAAAAAAAAACTGGTTTAAATTTATCCAGGCTTGGTGGTGGGGGCCTGTAGTCCCAGCTACCCAAGCCTGAGCTGGGAGGATAGCTTGAGCTTGAGAGGTCAAGGTTGGTGTGAGCTGTAATTGCACCACTTGCAATGGAAAAAAAATATTATATATGTGAACACTGTGAATGGTTTCCCATTAGAATACACAAACTCTGAATTCTAAAAACAAACAAACAAACAAAAAACTAATCTCAATCATTGAAAAGTTTTAGCCCTAAATAAGTTAATATCCATATATCTTATCTCCAAAGAGGATCTGAATCACATTATCTTAATGGTCTGGATTCCTTGTTTGTTAGTTGTAGCTTGATCTAACAAATTAAATGGGTGCCCAGTTTTATGGCCAACCTAGCATCTCAAAAATTAAGCAAATCCAATTCTAATCTTTCATGAGACTCACTTTCCAAATTATCTCAAAGTCGAACTGTATTAGTCTGTTTTCATATTTCTGATAAAGATATACCTGAGGCTGGACAATTTACAAAAGAAAGAGGTTTAATAGTCTTACAGTGCCACGTGTCTGGGGAAGACTCACATTCATGGCACAAGTCACGTCTTCATGGATGGTAGCAGGCAAAGAGAGAGAACTTGTGCAAAGGACCTCCTCTTTATAAAACCATCATATCTCATGAGATTTATTCACTATCATGAGAGCAGCACTAGAAAGACTTGCCTCCATGATTCAATTACCTCTCACCCAGTCCCTCCCACAACACGTGGGAATTCAAGATGAGATTTGGGTGGGGACACAGCTGAACTACATCACAAACTATTATAATATAATGTACCATTGCACACAATGTAATTTAGGACTCAGGTGTTACTGTGCCCATAGGAATATTTCCTAAACCAATAGAATATTCTAATGCTATAGATGTCTAATGTGAAGCATAGTAGACTTTTACTGTTGCTGTAAATGGTAAGATAAGCTAATAGGAAAGAAAAAAAGAGTCTTAGTTTTTGGATGTTCTGGGTTCAATTCAATTTGTGATAGAGTGAAAAGGGAGAAGAGATAGCAATAAAGGATGACATCTAGTGCTTAATTGATCTAGGGTTTTTATATCAAGGTCTTGCTGCCCTGCATGAGAAAATGGTGAGGACAGAAAATAAGAGGGTAATCTGCTTTTCCCAATATGCTGGGATAAAAGTGGAAAAAGTAAAAAATAAGAAATGCATTTTGTTACACAGTGGTATTCTCCACAAACAGCTATGGTTGAATTAATGGCTCCTACAAGAGGGAGAGAGAGACTGCAAAGAGCCTGAGAGGTGGTGAAGTCAGTAAAGGAACAGGGAACATTTTTACATAAGATATGTGGAAGACCTGAGATATCTCTCACTTTTACTTACTGCAACTATTTTTTTATTAATACATACTGCAGAAGAGGAAGAGAGAACCTACAAAACCCTGTACAAGCAGAAAAAAAAGAAAGAAAGAATAAGGAAAATGTGACTACTTACTAATAGAGGCCCAAAAGAGTCACAGAAAAGCAAAAATATTAATACCTAATGAAGATCTTTGCATAAATGAAATAATAGATTGCACACTTGATGCAAATGTAGTATACAATGATTGAAAGACTGAAAAGTTGATTTTTTATTATTATCATCATAATTTGCCTTTTGCTGTTGCAGAAACACTCAATAAATTTTAGCCATTAATTTTTGCATGTTTTCATGTATTTTAAGACAGGTTCTTTATATGTTTGTGATGAGGATATAGCAAAAGGATCATAAAGCAAAAGCTTCTACATGGTACTAACTTAAGCTTTACACTTGGAGGGTAATTTCTACCTAATTATTTTCAGTGAAGAACTTTTTCAGAATTGAACTGCAAATTTTACATATACTTAGTGGGTTTGATTTTCTCATTTAAAATAAAGCCATTTTAATAGGAGCCATAATTAAGCTAAGACATTCAGAGGTTTAAGAATAGATGCCAGTTCATAGATGTTTATTAGATGAATTTATTAATTTTGTTTTAAGCCATGGAATTTGAATAATAAAAGTTATCAGATGATGTATTTGAAGAGATATTCAAACAATGAACTTTTGGTTTCATTTGCTTTTTTTTTTTTTTGCTTTCTTTTCAAAGACATTCTTCACATTTATTTAGTTGAAGCACAGTGATTGCAGATAGGCAGTCAACAGTAAATGTGACAAAATTGCCCCCATTACTTTTGCATCTCTAATTATTTTGTAATATTGAATCCAGCCAGGAACCAGAAGATAGATACTGTGTTTTTTCACACTTAATAAGGAATGACCAGATGATTTTGATATCATGTCTCATATCTCATATAATGTTTTAATTTGGCAATATGCACTTCTCTGTGTTAATATAGCAATGTTCACTATATATGTATACTTTATATATTTTCCTATTCTTTCATCTATAAAATAATACAAATTATAAGCATATAAAAATTGAAAATAAATAAAAGGATGACAAATTGACAATACAAGGTATAAAAATAAATTTTTATAGGTTTTCAATTTATTGACATCCAGGAACTATGCTAGGTAATTTATATACATTTTTTTTTCATTTAAACTTGTACAGATTCTCTCTATAGACTAAAAGCAAATTTTGTAGAGGTTAAATCACTTGTACAAAGCAATTTAGGTATGGTATACAGAAACTAGGATTGAATGTTTAACCTACAATACTACCCAATTAAATTAAATAAAACAAATCACATGGTTATAGAGACAATGGCTCAGTCATTTTAAAAGTTTTAGTTATGGAAATCCTCAGTCTGTTCTCCAAACTGCTGTGATTTTTATATATCTTGTCCGGCAAAACCTTCTTTCAGCATTATTACAAGATATAGAGAAGTTAATTGCCATTTTGTCATGCCCATCTTGTATTCCAGTGTAAATTGTTTTCTAGCTAATTTCATTTTGGCATCTTCATCTTTATGCTCACAGTTTGACAATGGCTGTCCAGGAGTGCTCTTTCCTGTGCTCATCCTTATTATGAATGGCCGAGGCTCATGCATATCTAGGTTGACGTCTTTAATCAATTTTGGAAAATTCTGACATTTATCTCTTTAAATATTTATTCTACCTATGTTCGTTCATCTTTATATCTGGGAATCTAATAATCTAATTATACGTGTGTTAGACCGTTTGATATTGTTCCAAAGATCTTGAATGCTCAGTTGTTTTATGTCATCTTTTTTTTCTATTAATGTTTCTTTTGCATATTTCATACTGATTTCATCTATTTCACCAATTTTCTTTTCTTTTCTTCTCTTTTTTTTTTTTTTGAGATGGAGTCTCACTCTGTCCCCCAGGCTGGAGTGCAGTCACACAATCCCAGCTCACTGCAAGCTCCGCCTCCCAGTTCACGCCATTCTGCTGCCTCAGCCTCCCGAGTAGCTAGGACTACAGGCACCCACCACCACACCCGGCTAATTTTTTTGTTTTTTTTTTTGTTTGTTTGTTTGTTTTTGAGATGGAGTTTCGCTCTGTCGCCCAGGCTGGAGTGCAGTGGTGCAAGCTCAGCTCACTGCAAGCTCTGCCTCCCGGGTTCACGATATTCTCCTGCCTTAGCCTCCTGAGTAGCTGGGACTACAGGAGCCCACCAGCAGCCACCATGCCCGGCTAATTTTTTGTATTTTGTTTAGTAGAGATGGGGTTTCACCGTGTTAGCCAGGATAGTCTTGATCTCCTGACCTCGTGATCACCTGCCTCGATCTCCCAAAATGCTGAGATTACAGGCGTCAGCCACCCCGACCTGCTGATTTTTTTTTGTATTTTTAGTAGAGACGGGGTTTCACCATGTTAGCCAGGATGGTCTCCATCTCCTGACCTCGTGGTCTGCCCACCTTGGCTTCCCAAAGTGCTGGGATTACAGGCGTGAGCCACTGTACCTGGCCCACCAATTTTCTTTTGTAAGCCTTTTTTTTTTAATATACTTAGACCTGGAGTTACTATAGCACTCTGCAACCATGGAGAGAAGTCATCATCAACTTCAAAAATAAAAATATTGAAAGCCAAGTGAGGAGGCTCAAGCCTGTAATCTCAGCACTTTTGGAGGCAGAGGCAAGAGAATGGATTGAAGTCAGGAGTTAGATTCCAGTCTTGGCAACGAAGTAAGACCCTGTCTCTACAAAAAAATTTAAACATTAACCAGGTATAGTATTTTGTACGTGTAGTTCTAGCTACTTAGGGGTCTGAGGTGGGAAGATTGCTTGAACCCACAAGTTTGAGGCTGCCGTGAGCTATGATGGCACTAATGCACTCCAACCTGGGTGACAGAGCCAGACTTTGCATGTAAAAAAAAAAAAGAAAGAAAGAAAGAAAAAAGAAAAAGCGGCCGGGCGCTGTGGCTCACGCCTGTAATCCGGGCACTTTGGGAGGCCGAGGCAGGCAGATCACGAGGTCAGGAGATGGAGACCATCCCGGCCAACATGGTGAAACCCGGTCTCTACTAAAACATAAAAAAATAATTAGCCAGGCATGGTGGCACGCCTGTAGTCCCAGCTACTCAGGAGGCTGAGGCAGGGAAATCGTCTGAACCCGGGAGGCGGAGCTTTCAGTGAGCCGAGATCGCGCCACTGCACTTCATACTGGTGACAGAGCAAGACTCCGTCTAAAGAAAAAAAAAAAAAGAAAGAAAGAAAAAGAAAAGACTGAAAAAACATTCTCATTCCCTAATGAAACCATACCGTTTTTGAATTAATGCATCTTTGAGCTGCCTTTAGTATCCTTGCTGTACGAAATTTAACTTCTATTTGGAAAAGACTTGTCAGTTCCCTGGTAAAGTATACTAGAAAGTTTATAGTGTCATATTATATATGTTTACCAAAAGATAAATGCACAGCCAATAAAAGTAATATTATCAATTTGGTAATTTTAAGTAGTCTCTGTGATACCTTCACCAAAGGAACCTACAGATACTTGTATAAATAGACTATAAGGAAGATATCTTCCACTGAATATTGTAGCCAAATTTATGGTGCTTAATGTGTAAAAACCATTTGTGTGTACATGTGTAATATACAACATAGGTACTATAAGATGATAATTCTGTGGATTTTTTTTTCACAAAGCAGTATTCCCCTACCCCCAATATAGAATTAATGCGATGGAAAAATTAACTCTCATGGAATATATTGGGTAAGAGTTAAAAAACCTTAACTCCCTGAAATATGTTAAAATTATATTTTTATTTCTGGAAAAACATATGATGGAAAAATTAATTCTGATAGAATATATTGAGTAACAGTTATAAAACCTTAACTCCCTAGAAATATGTTAAAATTATATTTTTATTTTTGGAAAAACATTTGATGGAAAAGTTAACTCTGATGGAATAAATTGGGTAAGAGTTAAAAAACCTTAACTCCCTAGAAATATGTTAAAATTATATTTTATTTCTGGAAAAACATTATTATATAAATCTCATTCTTATTTATAAATCCATGGGAAACTAACAATACTTTCAAAGTTACAACTAGTTTGCTTTAGGTAGATAATGTTATATTAAAACATATGAAGTGGCATATAGTAAGCAGTCAGTGCATATTTGTTCCTAATGTTGATATAAAGAAAAATACTTTAGGTAGAAATTTCTAGTTCAACAAAGGAAAAAAAAACCTGTCTGGTGACATGCATCTAAAAGAAAATATTCCTAGGGGTGATCAGCGGTATTAAAAGATTTCCAAGATAAAAGGAGACAGCATTGTTTCTCAGAATAGCTCAGATCACCCCAAAATACCTTCAAAATAGTTGAAACTTCTGGATCTCCCCCCCTCCTTTTTTTTCTGTAGTTTCTCTCTTAATGCTTTGTGCAGAGAAGAAAGACAATTTTACAACTTCTTCTCAAAACTTAAGCCTTTAGTATAAAATTGAATGAAGGATAAGAGCAGACAATTTATGAAGCAGAAGATAAAAATAGTTAAGCAACTCATGAAAAATGTCCAGTTTCAACATTTCACTAGTTTTAAAAACATTCCTTTGAATGTAATTCTTTAATTTCAACATTTAATTAAAGGCTAATATTCATTAAAACTTCATGGTAAAAGTACGAGTATTTTGTACGTTCTTTTTTAAAGATTTTTCTGAATTTTATATAAAATATATTTTATAAGTAAAATATATATAAATAACCTTTATTAAGTCTACTTTAATGGAAGCCATAAAATAGTGCATATTTTCAAATACTGCCTAGACATGCTTCTTTTAAACATATGTACATTGTATCCATAATGTAAAATACAGTATATTATATATAAATGAATAATAAACCAAAAGACAAAGACATTAAGGTTATTAAAGATTGGAAAGAAAAAATAAAAATATTCATATTTACAGATGATATGACTTTCTGCATGAAAATCCTAAAGGATCAATAAACAAACTTTTAGAAGTAATAAAAGAGTTCAGAAACGTTATAGAAGAGAAGATCAACACACAACAATCAGTCACATTTTTATACACTAACATGTAGATACATAGGTATAAACTTAATAAAACATGTAGGATGTCTATATTTTGAAAATTACAAAATGCTTATTAAAAATCAAAGACCTAAATAAGTGGAAAGATAAAGTATTCAGAATTTATAAGACTCAATATTGTACATATGTCAATTTTCCCCAACTTAATCTATCTGCTTAGTGAAATTCCTACCAAAATCCCAAGAAGGCATTTATAGATGTAGACAAACTAATTCTACAATTAATATGAAAGACCCTGGTCCTAAAATAGCTAAAACAATCTTGACAAATAAGAATTCAGCAGAAAGAATCATACCACTAGGCTTAATACGTAGCTATATTAATCAAGACTGTGTGGTTTTGACAGAAGTTTCTGTGGTCTTAGTGTGTCTGAAATTAGTGACCTTATAAAAGAGGTGCAAGGGAGGTATTGACCCCTTCTTCCACACGAAGATACAGAAGGAGCCATCTATGAGAAAGAGGCCCTCCCCAGAAATCAAATCTACTAGCACCTTGATCTTGAACTTTCCAACCTTCGGGAATGTAGGAAATAAATTTTGTTGTCTATAAATTAACTCAGTTTAAAGTATTTTGTTATAGAAGCCTGAATATACTTTTGACAAGGAATAAAAACATAGATCAATGAAGCAGAATAAAGAACTCAGAAGTAAACAGACACATAAATATTTCCAACTTATTTTTGACAAAAGCAAAAAACAATTCAGTTGGAGAATGAAAAAACTAATGTTGGTTCCAGTTGACATGCGTTAGCAAAATAATAAACCTTAAGCCAAATTTCACACCTTACACAAATATTAACTCCAATTGGATTATATATTTAAATGTGAAATATAAAACTGCAAATTTTCAAGAAAATCACAGGAGACAATTTTAAGAGCTAGATCTAGGCAAAGAGTTCATAGACTTAAAAACAAGAGCATGATGCATGAAAAGATAAAAGTAGTAAACTGAATATCTTCAAGATTTAAAAGTTTTGTTCTTCAAAAAACCAACCAAAGAGAAAAAAAAGATATGTGAAAGAATGAGATAAAATATTTATAAATTATATATGCTAAATGGCTAATATCAATACTGTATAAACACTCTCAAAACTCATTATTTTTAAAAATGAAAACAATCAATCCAATTAGAAAATAAGAAAAAACATGAAGAGACCATTCAGTGAAGGGGATATATAAATGGCAAATTAACATACAAAAGGATGCTCTAGGGACATGCAAATTAAAGCCACAATGATATATCACAAAACGCCTATCAGAATGGCTGAGATTAAAAAAGATAAAACTGCAACAACAGCAAATGTTGGTGAGAATGCAAAAAAACTGGATAACTCAAACATTGCTGGTAGAATATGAAATTGTACAGCCACTCTGGCAAACAGATAGGCAGCTTTTTATAAATTACCATACACAGTTACTATATTCAATTGCCGTAAGTCCCAGCAATTGCATTCTTTGCCATTTATCCCACAGAAATGAAAACTTATGTTTAATGAAAAATCTCCATTAATGGTTCTAGCAGTTTTATTTGTAATTGCCAAAAACTGGGAAGGGTCCAGATGTCCTTCAAATGGTGAATGGCAGAGCAAACCATAATACATCTTATCCCAGGGAATGTGACTTAACAATAGAAAGAAAAGACTGATGAGAACACAACAACTTGATAAATCTCCAGGGAATTTTACTGAGTGAAACCAGCTAATCTAAAAAGCTTACATACTGTATGATTCCATTTATATAACATTTTTGAAATAAAAACATTTAAAAATGGAGAACAGATTAGTGGTTGCCAGGGTCTGTTAGATAGGAATGGGGAAGCCGTGGTGGTTGGGAGTGGAGTGGAGGTGGGATGAAGCCACTCTGTGTCTTGACTACAGCAGTGAATACACAAACCTATACATGTGATAAAATTGTATTGAGCTAAATACACATGCATATCAGCACATTTGAGTACAATTAAAACTGGAAAATTCTAAAGATCAATAGATTGCATCAGTGTCAATATCCTGATTGCAATACTGAATTATAGTTTGGTAAGATTTTACAATTGGAGGAAACTAGATAAACTGTAAAATAGATCTTCATTTTTTTTGCAACCATAAGTGAATCTGAAATTATCTCAATAAAAACTTGAAAAAATTTAGCTGGATGCAGTGGCTTATGCCTGTATCCCAACACTTTGGGAGGTCAAGGTAGGAGAATTGCTTAAGGCCAGGTCTTCAAGAGCAGCCTGGCCAACAAAGCAAGACTCCATCTCTACAAAAAAAATTAAAAAAAAAATTAGCCAGGCATGTTGGCACACACCTGTAACCCAACTACTCAGGAGACTGAGGTGGGAGGATCAGCTGAGCTCAGGAATTAGTGAGGCTGCAATGAGCTATTATCTCTCCAATGCACTCTAGCCTGAGTGACAGAGCAAGATCCTCTCTAAAATAAAAAATAATAATACATATTTTTTTAATTCAAAGGTTAAGTTTATCTGGTATCACCAAGAAGCAAGAACATTTTGTATCTCTTCCTCCAAACTTAGAACAGTATCTAATACAAGTTAACCCTAGATTATCTGGTTAGGTTTTACTTGGGTGCATTTTGAAATTCATATGTCTAAGGGTTTTCTAATACATTTTACTTTGGTATTATGCCAATGGACTATATAATTTTGTTACACAATTATAATAAAAGTATATAAATAAACATTCATGTATTAAAGACAATACATTTATTAAATAATATTACACACATAATGTTTATTTTAATCTTATTGGCCATTTTTACATTCTATGTAGGTATGACAATCACTATACACATTTGCATGTATCTATTAATATTGTGGTACTCAGGGGTATAAAGTGAAGTAGCAGTGAAAATATCTGAGGTAGAACAGTGAAAACCTTTGTTGTTGACTTCATGTACTTCCAAATTTGCAATCTCCTTCAATTCTGTGGCATATCATATTAAAATGTTTAAAATTTCACATTGTAATTCTGTTTTCCATTGAAAGGGAAATGACTGAAACTCCTCTATTTTGTAAGCACCATTTAATTTGGAATCTGTAAATGTATGAAGAAGACACAGGACAGCAGCAATACCATGTATTTTGTCCATCTACCCACCCATAATCATTTCATCGATCAGAATTTTCAACCATACACATCTGAAATTAATTTCAGGAAAAGACACTCACCAGTGATAATTTCCTTTACAACAGTCATCCTACTGTATGTCTATTATTACATTATACTGTCAAATAAATACATCTTATCACAAACCTATTTTCAAATTGTTGACAAATTGCTATGTTTTGGACAGCCTCAGAAATTCTGTTGCCCAGAGAGATGGCTACTGTAGAAACATCTGAAAAATATGATTGCTTTTCAGGTTGGATTTTTTTCCCCTTTGGCTTAAAAGAACCATGACATTGTAGTTTGTGACAAGAGACCCATAAACACTGGAATTGAAGTTTTACCACTATTTTCATGATCTGCTTATTATGTGTGTCATTTAAAGCAAATATGGACTGTTACTCCTTTCATGCTTATTCAACACACTATATTTATAAGCCAAAACCATACATCAAAAATGAGCCAAATATGTGAAGTACCATTGAATAAAGATTTACTTGTTACTAAGGTGATAAAACAACCCCGCTATTATTAATATGTATGAACTTTTAAAAAACCTTAGCTGTTCACAGCATTTATAAACAAACATACAATAGTGGGTCAGGCACGGTGGCTCACGCCTGTAATCCCAGCACTTTGGGAGGCCGAGGTGGGTGGATCATGAGGTCACGAGTTTGCGACCAGCCTGGCCAACATAGTGAAACCCTGTCTCTACTAAAAAAATACAAAAATTAGTTAGGCATGGTGGTGCGTGCCTGTAGTCTCAAGTGCTTGGGAGGCTGAGGCAGGAGAATTGCTTGAACCCGGGAGACAGAGGTTGCAGTGAGCCGAGATCACACCACTGTACTCCAGCCTGGGCAACAGAGTGAGACTCCATCTCAAAAAAAAAAAGTAAATAAGTTTAAATCAGCTGCACAAATGGGAAAAAGTCACTGCAAGTTTTATAATGCCACCTTTTTGAAGAATATTCAAAGCAGATTTATTCTATCCAAAAGAATTTGGAGTCCAGCAGGTAACTCAATGCACGGTAGCTGAAGACCATTGAACTAAGTAATTAAAACAACAAAGCACTATCTGTCTTCCAACTGCAAGACAGGAAATAGGAAAGAACTGTGAATTTGGTGGTTGTTTCTTAGGCCTTTCTTTTTGGAAAATGTATAGATTTTATTAGCTAAATCTTTTTCAATATGTAAAAATATAATATTCTTAAGCCACTTTGAAATGAAAGTACTTGAATTTCTCTGGCCATTAGCAGTCCTTGTTGCCTGACTGATTTGTTGACTATGAAAATTTACTACCTTTAATGATTTTCAAGGACAAAAGGAAAATATTGATTATAAACAAATACAAGTAGAGAAACAGTTACCTGGACTACTAATGCTTTGTTAGTCCAGTTAGTAAGAATTTGGTGTCTCAGTGTCCAACCTTCCAACCTCTCTTCCCCAAAACATCTGGGTTGGTCTTTATAAATTGCAAACATGTTTCATTTTACTCCCTAGCATAAGCCATTTCAAAGATAACACTACTGTTTATAGCATGAAAGCCATGCTGCTTTTCTCTGGTCTTATAACTAGGCAGGCTTCATGTGGACTGGAATCACAGCTGTTTAATTCACTGCTTCATACCCAGTGCATACACTAATACCTGACACATAATAGATGCTTAAAGAAAATTATTGAATGGAAGAAAACCTCGTTTTTCTCACTGCCTATAATCAAACTAAACCCTCTTTCTTCCTGTGACTTTCTTTGACAGAAAAGACCTTCTTTTACCTGGAAAATACATATTTATTTTTTAGAAATTTCCTACTGAATGATCTTTTACTGAGAATACATCCATCACCTTTTCTGTTCCCATTGCTTCACGTTGAATTGCTGTCATTCCTATTATAACATTTGTTGTGCTTATTTATTTTACATGTCGTTCTTTTGATTATCAGCTACTTGAAATCAAGGATGAGTTTTATTCAAATTCCTAATGCCACTTACTAGCACAGTGCTTAATAGGGATAAGATGTTGACTGATTGACAGTATAGAAATAAATGTATTTATATATAGTCTTCCTTCAATATTTTTATTTGTAAATAAATATAATCAACCTACTAAAGAAAAAGTAGAAGTAACTACAGGGAAACCATTTAATAAGACAAGAGATGGGTATAGAAAACACATTTTGTCATTTGGAGTGCAAAGTAACAAAGCAATAAGAAACTGAAAACATTTTAAACAAGGAAGTAACATGTTTTGATTTGTGTTTTAAAGATATGCTTCTGACTGCCTATAGAGAATATAATAGAAAAACAAAATTTGAAGCTAAAAAAGTTAGTACTGTATTGCTAGGAACCAGACATGAAATGATGGTGATTTATAACTGTGATTTGGTGAGGCTGTGAAAGTAGTATCAATAATAGGGACACATAAAATAAGAATGAGAAAAAGATAAAATTTCAACATGTCAAAATGATTCCCGATTTTCATCTTGAGCAACTAGGCTATAACGAGTGGACCATAACGTACTAAAACAGAAAAAATAAACTGTGCTAATGGAATAACATAAAGAGATAAACAGATGGGAGAGACTAGAATAAGCAAGATATTTATAAGACAAAACATTACAAATTTATGGAGAGTAAAAGTATTATTCAATATATGGTGTTAAGACAATATATTGTTAGCTCATGCCTGTAATCCTAGCACTTTGGGAGGCCAAGGCAGGCGGATCACGAGGTCAGAAGTTTGAGACCAGCCTGGCCAACATGGTGAAACCCCGTCTCTACTAAAAATACAAAAAAAAAAAAAAAAAATTAGCCGGGCATGGTGGCATGTGCCTGTAATCCCAGCAACTTAGGAGGCTGAGGCCGAAGAATCACTTGAACCTGGGAGGCAGAGATTGCAATGAGCCGAGACCACGCCATTGCACTCCAGCCTGGGTGACAGAGTGAGACTCCACCTCAAAAAAAAAAAAAAAAATTTAAAGACAATGTATGATTTTGGATAAATACACTTAGATTTTCTTTTTCCTGTCATAAACATTATGTATTTTAAAAATTATATTCAGCAAGTAAATACAAAATTAAAGGCCCGATGAAGCCAGAAGAAAATGAAGTTTGAAATATACTATGGCTAAACACTAAACTTAAAAGTGTTAGGAAATGTCACAATTAATAAGAGCAAGCACTTCCTTTGATTTCTTAAAAACTAAAAACTTACTACATAACAGGCAATCCAAATTGATTTTCAATCAATAATAGAAAACCTATTTGTGGAATAAGGCAGAGGGTAAATGCATTAAAATTTTATTAAAATAAATTTAAACTAACTATATTTTATGTTCAAAAATAAACTATTCATAATATAATTTTTAAAGACAATAAAGAAAGAGGATTCTGGGTAAATGGCAGAGTAGGAAGCATCAGAAACCTGTCTCCCCACAGACAATAATTACACTGGGATAATCTTTCTGATGTAACTATTTTGGAACTCTGGAATTTGTTGAGGGATTGCAAATTTCAGTGGAAGGCTTAGATGGTAAATTCAGGTTAATTTTAGTCAATTTCTCCTCTTAGCACAGTTGTTGCTAAATACTCCCTGGTTCCGAGCCTTAAGGTAGGAAGCTGTGCACATATTCCTGGAACAGCTTGCATACAGCTAGCAAAAACAACTCTGCCAAATACCAGGGGTTTAGACTATGATCACCAATTGCCACTTTAGATAGAAGAGGTAAAGAAAAAGAGGGGACAGCCATCGTGTTGCATGGATGCAAGCACTTCACCTCCTCCTTATTCAAGGTCAGTCAAGTCCATCAAGCTGAAGTGGCATTCAAGAGATTTGAAGGGCCAAGATCTTTTTATTTTTCCCCTTAATTTTTCTAGTTTTCCCTTTCTGGGAGGAGCCACATATTGAAAAGTAGGACATTAGAAAGCATGCAAATATATGTGGAAAATTAGAAAGTCACTATGTGTTTTTAAGAGAAGCTACAGTCTCAGAAGAGACCTGAGAAGACCTTAGTTTACATCTCAGTCTGATCCACAGCACAGAGACAACCTATAGCAATCAAAAAATTTAAAAAAAGAAAACAAACAAAACAAACAGAAAACTCACCAAACCCTGGGGAAGACGATAAGCTAATTCTAGATTTGCCACACTTACTGATTCCAATGACCAGTTTTTTTAAAAAATCACAAAGAATACAAAGAAACATAAAAGTATGATCTATTAAAAAGAAAAACTAACAGATTATCCCTAAAAAAGACTTGATGGCAGATCTACTAGACAAAGACTTTAAAACAACTGTTATAAAATGCTAAAAATAAATAAATAATAAGAAGAATGAAAGACATGAAAGTCATAAAAATGATATATAAAAAGAATGGAAATATCAATAAAGAAATAGAAAACTTAAAAAGAAACCAAATAGAAATCCTGGAAGCAAAAAGATCAATACATAAAATTAAGAATTCACTAGAAAAATCTGAGCAGTCAGAAGAAAGAAACAGCAAACTTAAAGATAGGAAAATGAAAATGATCAATTCTGAGGAACAGAAGATTTTTTTAAAAAAATTAAAGAAAAATGAACAGAACCAAATGAACCTATGGGATGCTAACAAACTAGACTACGTACACATTGTGGAAGTTCCAAAA
This sequence comes from Homo sapiens, assembly GCF_000001405.40. NCBI lineage: Eukaryota > Metazoa > Chordata > Mammalia > Primates > Hominidae > Homo > Homo sapiens. The sequence continues at coordinate 29,402,683 of NC_000018.10, read as the reverse complement.
AAAAAAAAAAGTAGATCAAACGATAGATAAACAGATCAACTAATAGAGATAGAGGGCTATCTATCTATCTATCTAATCTATTGATCTACCTATCTATCTTTTCTATATCAGATCTAGATATATTTTTATCTATATCTATGTAGGTCTCTATTTATCTACCTATCTCCTATTCTTTCTGTTTCTCTGGAGAACCCTGACTAATACAATCCCACCAAACTTAAGACAACAAAATAAATGTTTAGAAAATGTTTCAGGCAATTCTTTAAATGGCATAAAAAATCAATAATCATGAACACACTTTTTGAAATGATCAACAAGATCTGAAAAATAACTAAAATAAAACTTGAAAATTAAAAAATGTTACATTAAAAATTCAATGCTCAAGCTAAATAAAAATTTAGAAGCAGCTAAAGAAAGAAGAACTCAGACTGTTATTAAAAGAAATTACTCAAAATGGAGCCCCAAAAGATAAGATAAAAAATGTTAAAATAAAGTTAGAAAATATGAATAAGTTAGAAATTTTACCTCATGTTTAATCAGAGTCACAGAGAAAACATCGAGTGAATAAGAAATAGTACTGCTTAAAGAAATAATGACTGATTATTAACTAAAACTGATGATGAATCTACAGAGGTAGAAAGTATAATTTAAACTATGAAGAATAAAATAAAATAAAATTCTCACATAGACACATTGCAGAGAAACCGATGACTAGAAAAGTCAAAGAAAAGATTACCTATTAATAAGTGACAACTAGATAGATACCACTTCCAATTGCAAGAAAGCAAGCCAGAATTCAGTAATGTATTTTTTCAAAATGTGAGCAGAAAATGACTGTCAAATTATAACACAAACATATTTCAAGAACAAAGGCAAAATAAACATTTTCTTTCAAAAACTACACTTATTACCATAGAACTTATGCTGATAAAACTTCTATTAGATATACTTTTAAAAAACAAATTTATTTCCCAAAAATATAAGATAGAACAAGGAAATAGAGATGTATTTTTCTGCAGTTAGTATATATAAAATGTGAGCAATGATAATATCTAATTCATAGAGTGTAAAAAAGAACTAAGTAAAAAATCGGAGGCGTGCAAGTTGGGAATATATTTATATGGATTAAAGGTCCTAAATTATTACTTAGGAGGAGGCTTATGATATTAACTTAATTCATTACCTTACATAAAGAAACGTAGTTGAAACCAAAGAAAGCTGAAATCATAAAAAATGCAACATATATTTATTTGTAAAAATTATTTGGCACATCTTTGTGAATTTAAACATTTACATCTTTACAATCCAGTTTTCAGTCCTCAATTTATACACTGTTGCATGAAAATATTTGGACAAGAATGTTTATAGCCACACTGTTCTTTACAACAGCAACAAAAACCTAAATGGCATTTGATTAATTGGTCGATTTTAAAAAATCTTGTGTATTCACATAATTGAATTTTAAATAAGAATGAAAATGAATGTATTACAGCTACATGCAACACATTACCACGAATAAATTATATATAAAAGCACACTGTGGAAAAGTGCATACACTCTCAATATTTTCAAAAACCTCCAATACAATAAAATTAAGTAATATACTGATTAAGGAAAAAATGATAAGAGAGTGATAAAGATAACATAATATTTGGATTATTATTCACGAGGAATGAGATAGAAATTAAGTAGATAACTCCTGGTCAGTGTCAAATGGGGCCCCACTCTCAGAAGACCCCATACTTGATTCAATGCTCTACTGTTGCTGTCTTGAAATTCCTAATATTTTAATCTTTGAACTGGTGTTTTGTAAGTAAAGTCCACTGAGACAATGGTGTGTGCATGTGAGCAACAGGGATATGTCAGTCATCAACATCCACACTGAGGACTCAGAACTGCAGGTCTAGCAGCCAGCCAGGGCACAAAGCAACTCACCTGGCAGCCCAGCATGCATATGACACCTCAGGGTCCTCTGGGGCACTGAGGGCCCCAAGCATGTGGTCCCTAATTGGTGGTAGTGACAGCAGCAGCACTAGTAGAAGCAACAAGGCCATAGCAGTGGTTATGGGAGCAGCTGCAGCTGTGGGAGAGAAGCGCTTTTAATGAGATACCATTTTTCATGCTGGAACAGATTTCTTTGACAATAATTTCTTGTTCATTATAAATGTGGTTTCTTCTTATCTAAAGCACACTTGACATAAATTGCTCCATGTTAGAAAAAGACTTCATCTTATATTTCTGAAGTAATCAAGCCACCAGAGTTCAGATGTTTGCCTTATCAATAGAGACAACGCCCAACCAGAAAAGGCTTACCCTTTTTCTATCAGTCCTCACCAGAGGACTCAAGGGCCATAAAGTGAGCAGGACTTCACCAATTAGACAAAGACGCCTTGACAGACCCCATCTTGCACCCAGAATCTGCCTCTGAAGCCTCTGCTCAAATCAAGGACTCTTCCTGGCAAGATGTTGATGATTGTCTGGGTCAAGCCTGGACACACTTCTTGTCTCCTTCACTCTTCTTGGACGGGTTCATTAACCCCTTTTCCTATCTCCTTTTCTCTTGATGTTAAATGTTACTGTCTGGTATAAAATTTCAATCTATAACATTTATGTATTCATTAAGTATACTATTATGTATGATTTGTAATATTGACTGACTTGTGGAGTGGTTGATGCCTGTGTGCCCATGGCTCTGAGTACTGAGTAAATGGATACTAAGGAGAATTCCTTCCTTGGGAATTCCATGTAGCTTGTGCCTAATTGTTTTCTTATTCAACATTCACATTTTGTGAATCAGAAAACAAAAAAGTGATTTACTGAAATGCACACAAGAAAGGATTTAAGCTAGAAAAAATTAATTATTCCTTTATCTGCCAAGAAATTGTTATACTTTGAGTAGAAAAAGTTATTTATCTGCTATATATCTACATCTATCTATACCATGCTTATACCTATATCTATACAATCTATCTACAATTGTCTAGAGTAAACGGCCTTGGCTTCTAATGATTTGCTGAAAACTCACAGACTTGAACTAGATTTGAGAGACAGGACTAGCTGGAGTTCCTAGGCCAACTAAGAATCCCTAAGCCTAGCTGGGAAGGTGACTGTATCCACCTTTAAACACGGGGCTTGCAACGTAGCTCACACCCGATCAATCAGGTAGTGAAGAGAGCTCACTAAAATGCTAATTAGGCAAAAACAGGAGGTAAAGAAATAGCCAATCATCTATTGCCTGAGAGCACAGCAGGAGGGACAATGATTGGAATATAAACCTGCACATTGGAGACGGCAACAGCTACCCTCTTTGGGTCCCCTCCCTTTGTATTGGAGCTCTGTTTTCACTCTATTAAATCTTGCAACTGCACTCTCTTCTGGTCCGTGTTTGTTACAGCTTCAGCTGAGCTTTCGCTCGCCATCCACCACTGCCGTTTGCCGTTTGTCATTTGCAGAGCCCTTGCTGACTTCCATCCCTCCGGATCCAGCAGGGTGTCCGCTGTGCTCCTGATCTAACTAGGCGCTCATTGCGGCTCCTGATTGGGCTAGAGGCTTGCCATTGTTCCTGCACAGCTAAGTGCCCCGGTTCGTCCTAATTGAGCTGAACACTAGTCACTGGGTTCCACAGTTCTCTTCCGTGACCTACGGCTTCTAATAGAGCTATAACACCCACTGCATGGCCCAAGATTCCATTTGTCGGAATCCATGAGGCCAAGAGCCCCAGGTCAGAGAACACGAGGCTTGCCACCATCTTGGAAGTGGTCCGCCGCCATCTTGGAAGCAGCAGCCACCATCTTGGGAGCTCTGGGAGCAAGGACCCCCAGTAACAGATTGACTAATAGAAGAAAAGCCACACAGATATATTTAACATGCATATATGGAAGCCTTCAGAATAAAGACCCAACCTCTCATTGAAGTACAGAAGCTTGTATACCATCTTGAAGTTATAGAAAAAATGGAGGCGTGGATACTGGTAATTTAGCGGTGGAACATATCTGAGTCACATGGCACCAAAGTATGTTAGCAGCGGTGAATCTGTACAGGTCTGTAGCAACCTCAATTCTTTCCACGTAAGAAAAAAAAATCATCTGAGGGGCATAAGACAGGAGAGACCAAGGCAAGTTTTAGAGCAGAAGTGAAAGTTTATTAAAAAGCTTTAGCGCAGGCATGGAAGGAAGTAAAGTACACTTGGAAGAGGGCCAAGCAAGTGAGAGAGATCAAATGCAGAGTTTGACCTTTGACTTAGTGTTTTATATGTTGGCATACTTCTGGGGTCTTGCGTCCCATCTCCCCTGATTCCTTCCCTTGGGGTGGGCTGTCTGCATGCACTATGGCCTGCCAGCACTTGAGAAGGGTTGCATGTGCCGTGTGTTTACCAAAATTGTGCACGTGTTCATTTTAGGCATCTTCCCTTACCAGTTCAGTGTTACTACGAGGTCATAGACCAGTTATACTCTGCCATTTTGCCTTTTAGTGCACATATGTGAGCCCACTCGTCCAACTCCTGAGATCTTATTAAGGAGCTGCTGATCACCAGCTTCAAGTTTTTCTACCTATTGAGAGACTACCTTTCCATGGCGCTGGCTGTGGCTAATTATTTTAGAAAGACAGTTAACAACTGCCTGACCATAACCTGATGGTTGGTTGACATTCCTGGTGGAGTGAGGAGGGGTCCTCTCTTGCCTTGCTCATGTCTGACTAGCTACGTACTATAACAGTAAAACAGATATTATAGGAGGGAAGAGAAGAGGTATTTTATTGAGAGGTATTCTATAGAATACCTAACATAATAGGTATTCTATTAATAATTATTAAGGAGAATGACTGGATCAGGAAACAGAAATTAACTTGTAAATAGTTCTCCTTGGAATGTACCTGAACTTTGAGACAGTCATTATCTTGAAAAAGCATCTCTTAAGGTGTGGTCACATTCTTGATCATTCTTTCCTGTAATGGATAATGAGCTAACAGGGAGGGGAACAGGAACAACTGTTCTTCATGGTGGGGCAGTTCTATTTTTATATACCTAGGGGAAAGTCTCTTCCAGTGCTTGTTAATCTCTGAGAGTTTTTAATTTGAAATACTCATTATACCAGGGAGTCGTATTTTGGGGTGAAATATGCTAATTTCTTTCAAGGCCTTGTAGAAATAACGGCTGATTTTTTTTGCCAGCATCAATAGTGTGCTGTGTGTAATATAACTAATTAATTGCAGAACTGAATAATTACTGAACACAAACTTTGACTTTAAAATTTAGTGCTTTTTCTACACTGTACTCTTTCCACACTTTCTGCTGCCTGTAATGAGTTACACAATACATATATAAAACATTCATTGATTTTATATAATTACAGTTCATAAAAATGATACAGTTACATGCTGGACAGAATCATTTTCATCTTAAAAACATTATTATATTTCATACATCAGGAATTATAAGCCTTTCATTTGTCACAAGAAACAGAAGCCTTCTGCAAAATTTAATGTGCCACACAAGTCTGATATCTTTTATGCGTATTTAATAGGTTAGTCAATCCAGTTGCAAAATAAGCCCACTAGTTTTATTTTTAACTGTTCCAGAATATGTATAGGATAGGACTAGAAGACCATCTGGTATTAAGTGACTCAAATATATAGAAAGAGGCCAGGCGCAGTGGCTCACGCCTATAATCCCGGCACTTTGGGAGGCCGAGGCAGGCAGATTGTGAGGTCAAGAGATTGAGACCATCCTGGCCAACATGTTGAAACCCCGTCTCAACAAATTAGCTGGGTGTGGTGGCATGCACCTGTAGTACCAGCTACCCAGGAGGCTGAGGCAGGAGGATTGCTTGAAGCCAGGAGGCAGAGGTTGCAGTGAGCAGAAATTGCACCACTGCACTCCAGCCTGGTGACAGAGCGAGACTCCGTCTCAAAAAAAAAAAAAAAAATCTATGTCTATATCTATATCTATATCTACAGAAAGAAACACAAAATATATACCCATTTATTTTAAACACAAAATATATATCCATCTATCCTAAACACAAAATATATACCCATCTATTTTAACATCAAATGACTAAATAATGGTTTTAACAATTTGAGTCACATTTTAGGAAAAGAAAACAAATTGGGATTAGTACACGAAACACCAATTTGCTGGGCCATTTGATTATAAGAGAGACATTCAACTGTGCAAACTAGAGAAAAGCTGACAGTACCTTAATTAAACTGATACTACAAGTGACATTGTGATAGTGTAGTTGTCAGGGTATAAATTCTTGTAACATCAAATAAAAGTGACAAACATCCCCCAAGGAACTAGTGTAAGTTCTTCTAAAGGGGACTGGTTTACACAAATTACTCATAGGGCATTTCATTTAAATTACTTAGAATCCAAGTGAACCTGGGCTTAACAAAAGCATTTGTCGTATCTGCTGCATAGACAGAAGAAAAGATGAAAAGAATCTTGGGAATTTTGATTTTGGGACATTGGCCAGAAATGTAATTTTGAAGTAAAATATTTTTAGATTTTTTTAATGGCTTTACCATTATTATTTGAGAATTGTTGGGTAACACATTGCTGACATAGACATCAGAGAAAGACTTTTGGAGTGATGGATAGTTTTATAATACAGAAGGCTGTTATCGTCATTTGCATACTGCTGCAAGCTTTGCCTCTTTAGAAAGATTATACATGACCCATAAGTTAAGAATTTTAATTTTCAAATACAATTTAAACGTTCTTTTCTACTTCTCTGTGAAACGAAGTCTAGCCTTGCCAAAGCAGAACATGTGTCAACCATAACTAAGAATGCTCCTGAGCTACCAGAAAAGTGATTCCTATAAAACTAAGTATTACTGTAACACTTGTCCCTCACTACTGATGAGATGCGATGGCCCTGCTGGTAGTATGAAGACAGCGAACACCGGTATGACAGAGTGAGAGTGTTTCACACTCTCACTCTGTCAGGCAGCCAGGCTTTCATACTCCAGAAACTTATACTGAACAAAGCCAACAACTTTGACAAAGCACACGAAATTCTGGTGGCTTCCCTCTAAGCCAGCGTGCTCATACCTCCAAAAGAGGTGAATGGGGTCAGGACAGTGCTGAGCATTTACCTAGAAAGATATACTTTGGCAACAGGTTTGTAGAGCTGAAGGATGTAAAATATTAAGTATTTACAAGAAGGTAGTGACTCTGTGTGGCAATTTGAGAAGACTAATTAGGTTCCATCTAGTCTTAAAACATGACCGTCAGTAGCTTCTGGCTGTAATGAATACTCTTTGGTATAACTTCTTTCTAGTTGATGTCTCCCAAAGTAGTCCTGAGAATACCTATTAATGGACAAAATCATGGCCTTAGTATCCACCAATCATTACTGAAGATTTTTTTATAGGATTATCTATTATAGTAAGCCCTCTCCCAGACATCAAGTCCTGTAATAAAGAGGAGAAAAAAGTAAACTGACACTTTAAAAAACATCTGGAACACAGTTGGGTCTAGTCGGTATTGCTCCCCTGTGTATGGGGTCCCCCCAGTTGGAAAACCTCTATCGGCTTTATCACATAGGTGCTACTGCTTTATTCCATCCATATGTTTAGTAAACATGAAAAACTGAGACAATATTTGTTTCAAAACGTGCCTTGGGAATAAGCTTCCTCTTAAACCAAAATGGCTTAAAGACAATTTTAACCTACAACTTCCCTCAGGAAATGTATGATAGCAAGAGCTGGAAAGGATTGAAAAACTCCTTGAACTTAGCACTGGAAGAGGATGTAGATGAAATCCTATGAATACACTAGATTTTGAATTATTGATTTTATATATAGAAATATCAGAATTTCTAACCTCAATTGGATAGTTTGTCAGATTATTTATATAATTTTCAAATAGTCATTTTGGTTCATCATTATTTCCAAAGTTTCTACTGAAATTTTGCTCAAAGGTGTATAGAAATGTGCAAAACAAAAAGCTTTGTGGTCAATGAGCTCTTGTCTTCTTTCCTTCCTTCCTTCCAGCTTCCTTCCTTCTTTCCTTCCTTCCTTCATTCCTTCGTCTTTCTTTCTTTCTTCTTTCTTTCTTTCTTTCTTTCTTTCTTTCTTTCTTTCTTTCTTTCTTTTTCTTTCTTTCTTTCTTCTTTCTTTATTCTTTCTTTCTCTATTAATTCGTGGCATGATCATTTAAAGTGATATTTTAAAACAGAAGAAAGCAAATAAATCTATATCAAATTATATAACATAAAAATTAGCATTGCATCTTATCACCACAATGCTTACTCTGAATTTAGAAATAATTGAAGTCATCTAATGCAGGCATCTCTCATTTTCCTGCTCTATTCTTTATCGTTTCTGTGTATCTTTGTTGTCATTTTCTTCTCTCCTGTTTCAGGAAGTGTCCCGTTCTTCAAGATTAGCTCTTATATATTGTTTCTTTCTTTAACCATTTATAATACAATATTCTACCAAATGTTTCTTTATATTACATGTTCAATTTTCCCCTTCCAGTGTGCCCTTCTTCCTCAGTTATTACTTATAATGGATACACCTTCTCCCGTAAAAACATGGCCTAATCTACAAACAAGAACACTTCTTCCCTGTCATTTATTCTCCCCGACTAGCAAATTTAAAACAATCTCTCTTTTCTCTTTTCCACACATAACTCCATCATAAAGACTTGTCAAATTATTAGATTTTGCCATTAAAAGGAATGGCCAAAACTGCAATTATTTTTGCACAAACCTAAAATATATGCCAAAGTTGACAGTTTCTTATCACCTCCATTACTACTGTAATCCAAAGCCACACTTATCTTTCTCTGGACAGATCAAAATAGTTACTCACTGGTGTCTTTACTTTACCTTCTCCTCCAAATATCTCTATTCTTCACTTAGGTGTTATTCTTTAAAGCAAGGTAATTTATTTCACCCCTTTGCACAGAAACCCTAATGATTTCCTGTCTTGTTTGAGCATAAAAGCTAAAATCCTCAGTATGACAAGATATTCTTCCTTGCTATCTGACTCCATCTCTTACCCCTTTCTCTCTGTAGCTTATGCCAAAGTATTGCCTCACTACCCTTCCTCTGCATGCCAGGGTGCTATCACATGGGAAGTTTTACAAAATCCTTTCTTCTGCCTAGAAAAAAACTTGTTCCTCTGCCCTTTCCCTCAGATAGCCACATTTCTTGTTCCATCTTCTTCAGGTCTACGCTCAGATGTCACAACAGCATAGATCTTCTTTGACTAGCATCCCTCTCTATCTCTTTAAACTCACTTATCTTTTCTTCATAACACACAGTATCTGTTGATATAGCTACCAGTTTATATTTTCCTACGAGACTGTGAACTGATGTGAGCCGGTTTTCTTCATTCCTTCAATTACAACAGTGTCCGGCACACAGTAGGTGCTCAAAAACATTTGTTGAATAAGTGAATGAAATCCTTGAAGTTTTCTCTAACATTACCTATGTTCTTATTGGCAAATGGTGAATCACTTAGGAAAACAGAAATTGCTAGGAAAACAGAATTATTGGGAGGGGGTGAGTGAACAATTTTAAATTAATTCACTCACAATTTGAAATAATTTTTAAAGTAAATATAATGAGAAAAAAGTTGTATTGGAAGGTTATCTTGAGAAATTAAACTAAACTTAGAAAATTAGTTGTTTTATGTTGTATTTTAATGTTTGGGATTACAATAGCAATTACACTCTAGATCTCAGCACCACATAAAGAAATCAATTGTAATACTTGTAGAAGGAAATAATTTATCCTTCTATATATATATTGTGTGCAGTATCTCATACATTGTACCATGCATTTAACACTTTCAGAGTGACTTTTCTGACAGTCATTTTTAACAAACAAAAAAAGCATGAAGTTTCATTAATTTTCAGAAGAGCCTTTCAAGAATTTTACATGCAATTCATTCATTTTGGAAACTTGTATTGATTTTCTTCTCTTTGAGTAATAACAGATTCAACTGTCAGAGTCTCAGTAGTCAATGTGCTTGAATAAGGTTTGACAACTACTCCAAAATCATCAAGTGAAATACTGAATCTTTACATTTTTTTCATTTTGTCATATTTAGTATTGTAGTTACAACAGAAACATGAAACTGACAAAGATTTTGACGCTCTTAGTAATGATATGTCCTAAACAAGTATTAAGTAGAAAGAAATATTTGAGAAGTCACTTTATTAAGTGCTTTTATGTTATAATGATTTTTGTTTAAAGATTTTGATGACTTTTAATGTTCCGTGAAACTTTCTGTTTACAGGGATTCAGATAATAAATACCCTAATGTAGATTGATTGCATTATGAAAACAGATCAGGTGAACTTGGAAAATGGGATAGAACATTTTAGTTCTGGGTCCCAGTTCTGTCCCTTAATAACAGTAATGGCACTTTCCAAAAATACACAAAGTTAGCATCTAATTAACTCTGGCAAAATATACAGCTCTAAACTATTTTTTGTGTCCTGAATTGATGCCAACTGAAATTATGACAGCTGGGATACCAACTGTATTAGTCTGTTCTCACACTGCTAATAAGCAGTGTGAGTCTGGGTAATCTATAAAGAAAAAAAATTTAACTGACTCACAGTTCACCAAGGCTGGGAAGGCCTCAGCAAACTTACAATCATGGTGGAAGGGGAAGCAAACATGTCTTACATGGGGGCAGGCAACAGAGCTTGTGCAGGGGAACTCCCATTTATAAAACCATCAGATCTCATGAGACTTATTCACTACCATGAGAACAGTATGGAGGAAACTGCCCCCATGATTCAATTATCTAGACCTGACCTCACCCTTGACATGTGGCCATTATTACAATTTGAGGTGAGATTTGGGTGGGGACACAGCCAAACCATATAATTCCACCCCTAGTTTCTCCCAAATCTCAGGTCCTCTCTTTTCAAAAACCAATCATGCCTTCCCAATAGTACCCCAAATTCTTAACTCATTTTAGCATTAACTCAAAAGTCCATGGTCCAAACTGCTTTCTCTTGCTGGCATTGAGTGTCTGCACCTTTTTCAGGTGCATGGTACAAGCTGTCTGTGGATCTACCATTCTGGGAGCTGGAGGACCATGGTCCTCTTCTCACAGCTTCACTAGGCAGTGCCCCAGTGGAGACTCTATGTGGGCACTCCAGCTCCACATTTCCCTTCTGCACTGCTCTAGCAGGAGTTCTCCAAGAGGGCCCCAACCCTGCAGCAAACTTCTGCAGGAATTTCCATACATCCTCTGAAATCTAGGCAGAGGTTCCCAAACCTCAATAATTGACTTCTGTGTACCCACAGAGGTAACACCACATGGAAGCTGCCAAGGCTTGGTGCCTGCACCTTCTAAAGCAATGACCTGAGATGTATGTCGGTCCCTTTTAGCCACAGCTGGGACACAGGGCACCAAGTCAAGTCCCAGGACTGCACAAAGCAGCAAGGCCCTGGGCCAGGCCCACAGCACCATATTTTCCTCCTAGGCCTCTAGGCCTGTGATTGGAGGGGCTGCTGTGAAGCCCTCTGACATGCCCTGGAGACATTTTCCCCATTGTCTTGGCAATTACCATTTGGCTTCCTGTTACTTATGCAAATTTCTGCAGCTGGCTTGAATTTCTCCTTAGAAAATGGGTTTTTCTTTTTTATCACATTATCAGGCTACAAATTTTCTGAACTTTTATGCTCTGCTTCCCTTCTAAACATAAGTTCCAATTCCAAGCCATATCTTTGTGAATATGTAACACTGAATGTTTTTAACAACACCCAGGTCACCTCTTGAATGCTTTGCTGCTTGGACGTTTTTTCCCGCCAGATGCGCTAAAACATCTCTCTGAAGTTCAAAGTTCCATGAATCTCTAGGGCAGGGGCAAAAAGCTGCCAGTTCCTTTGCTAGAACATAGCAAGAGTCACCTTTGTTCCAGTTCCCCACAAGTTCCTCATCTCCATATGAGACCACCTCAGCCTGGACTTTATTGTCCATATCACTATCAGCATTTTGGTCAAAGCCATTGAAGAAGTTTTTAGGAAGATCCAAACATTTCCACATCTTCCTCTTTTCTTCTGTGCCCTCCAAACTGTTCCAACCTCTGTCTGTTACCCAGTTCCAAAGTGGCTTCCACATTTTTGGCTATCTTTACAGTAGAATCCCACTGTACTGGAACCAATTTACTTTATTAGTCTGTTCTCACACTGCTAATAAATTTATAAAGGAAAGAGGTTTAATTGACTCATAGTTCAGCATGGCTGGGGAGGCCTCTGTAAACTTACAATCACGGTGAAGGGGAAGCAAATACATCTTATGTGGGGGCAGGCAACAGAGCTTGTACAGGGGAACTCCCATTTATAAAACCATCAGATCTCATAAGACCTATTCACTGCTATGAGAACAATATGAAGGAAACTGCCCCAATGATTCAATTGTCTCGACCTGTCCCCACACTTGACACATGTGGATTATTACATTAAAGGTGAGATTTGGGTGGGGACATGGCTAAACCATATCACCAATAGAATTTAGCATGCAATAAATAAATGGTGATGTGTTCATTCATTTGGATGAACCAACTAGTAGATGCCCTTTAAAGTGAATGGGCTGATGATAGTCAAGAAAAAAGCAAAAACAAGAAGAGTCTCAGCAGTAGTTTTACCTAAATGATGAGTGATACAAACACATCAAGCTGTGAAAAATTCAAGTATTCCAGAAACAGGCACACATATAGAAGCAAAGGCAGAATGAACTGATAAAATTCAACATATAGGGACATAGGCCTAAAAGGAGAAAAAAGTGTTTATTTCTACTTTCTACTTCCGTACCCAACACAACACTTCTGATACCAGATGTGTAGAGGTTCTTTTTCTACACACCAATAAATTCTGCAGTGTCCAGCCAGATGCCTTCTAATTCAATTTAATTCTGACACTAGCTACCAGAAGATAATGTCAGATCCCACTGGTTGAGGGCCTCAGTCCCACAGGACTGCCTCCACTTTAGATGTCAGTGGCAAGTAGTAGACTGTCACCTATACTTCTGACTGACAGTATAATCAAGGTTCCCATGACTCCACCTTGGGTTAGATTTGCTAGAACAGCTCACAGCACTCAAAAAAACACTTTACCCGTGTATTATAAAGAATATTAAAAATTGTAAAGATGAACATCCAGATGGAAGATATGCATAGGGCAAGATATATAGAAAAGGGTCACAGAGCTTCCATGCCCTCTCTGTGGCTGCCACCTTCCAGAGACCTGCATGTATTCAGTTGTCTGGAAACTCTTTAAAGGCTGTCTTTTTGGTTTTTAGAGAAGCTTTATTAAGTAGGCAGTATTGAGCAAATCACTGGCCATTGCTGATCAACTGAGCATTCAGCCCCTCTCCCTTCCCTGGAGGTTAGTGGGGTGGGCTGGGGGGTGAAGGAGGGGGCTGAAAATTCTAACCCTCTAATCACACAGTTGGTTCCCCTGGCAAGTAGCCCACATCCTGAGGCTATCCAGGAGCCCTCAGCCATCAGTTACCTCATTAGTGCAAAAGAAACTCTATCATCTATGAAATTCCAAGTGGTTGGGGGCTCTGTGTAAGAACTAGTGTCAAAGATAAAATATCAGCTCAAAAGAATCTCATATTACACCTATCTGCAAATGTTTTAGGAGCTCTGTGCCAGGAAAGATGGGTCAGCAACCAAATATATATTTCATATTATATCAAAACAGGTTTTAGAGACTTGCTAATGCCATTGCTTTCTTGAAAAACACTAATGAAAAGGTGCAATACTTTATTATCTATATTTAGCCTCTTTTGGTAGGTGATTCCCATAGAACAGATTGTATCTGATGGATATTCCTCTGTAAGACAGAATTTCTCAAAGAGATGAAATGTTTATAGAACTCTAATTGATTTTACCTAAAAATGTCTATGATCCTTTAAATATAGGAAACAGTGACTTGAACAAAGCCTAAATATTTCTTTGCTTGCTTGCCTATTTAGTTGCTGTTGGTAGCAATTTTGGTGGGGGAGGATGGGGGAAGATATGAAGGAAGTTGCATTTATTTCTCCAAACTTTGCGAAGGCAATTGTTAACTTCAATTTCTCATGGGAAATTGAAATATAGTATTACTAAAAATTATTTTTATAATTTTTATAGGAAGAAAAGTATACTTTAAGGAGAGTTGTATTAATGTTATTTATTTCCTGTTGTTTTGATTATACAGTTACCAAGCAATAGACTAAACATTAATTGGCTACTTGTATAAACATTTCTACAAAAAGTGGAACATGCAGACCAGTCACATGCAGGCTAGTCTAATCTCCCTAGAAAGTCTTCTTTTTTTTTCTTTTTTTTCTGGGGTTTGGTCCATCATTAACAGATACCTAACTCTAAGTAAATATTAGCATGCTTTCATACCCAGAAAATAACCAAATAAAGATAGATTCTGCATAAATGTCCAGCAATATTTTATTTTATAGGGGGTGCTGAATATGTTTATTAGTAACACATACATTCCAAATCAACTATACAAAAAGGAATTAAATAAGGTAAAAAGAAAATATAGCCATTTCTCTGCGGTGGATATATGTATACAAAGATCACTGTGGTAAACACATTCCTTACAAAAGTTAAAAAGTATTAGGTATGAACCAAATATAATCTGACGGCCTTCACTTGCTGGTGAGATAATTAATTGGGAGATTTATGAACTCATTCTGAATTTAACCATTGTTTCTTTCTTTCTTTCTTTCTTTTTTTTTTTTTTTGAGATGGAGTTTCGCTCTTGTTGTCCAGGCTGGAGTGCGATGGCACAATCGTGGCTCACCGCAAACTCTGCCTCCCAGGTTCAAGTGATTCTCCTGCCTCAGCCTCCCAAGTAGCTGGAATTACAGGCATGCACCACCATGCCTGGCTAATTTTGTATTTTTAGTAGGGTCAGGGTTTCTCCATGTTGGTCAGGTTGGTCTCGAATGCCCAACCTCAGGTGATCCGCCCGCCTCTGCCTCCCAAAGTGATGAGATGACAGATGTGAGCCACCGCACCTGGACAACCATTATTTCTTTTATGTGTAATTGTAAATCCAGGATTGTCAAAAAAATTGTCCATCTTTCTTTAGAGAATGTCCTTGAATATTCAAAATTACATTAATATTAGGAATAAAGAATATAAAGATCATAGAATGATTCCCAACTTAAAATTATTTCCAAGTAATGAGCAGTATTATTGAATTTAGCATATACTTTATCTCAAATCCAGTCATTCAGAAAAAGTAAAAATGTTCTTTACAATGAAAATAGCCACTTAGGGGATCTTCAGTTCCTTAAACATATATGGCATGTTCCTTAATGGGAGAGGCAGAGAGAGAGAGAGGGAGGGAGCAGGGAGAGAAACAGACATAGACTGAGAAAGAGAGAGAGAGTGAGGGAGTGAATTCTCTGATGTGAATTAATCAGCAATTTGCTAATTTGTTTAAGACATATATTAACAACTTCATAAAATGTACATATTCACTTACCTAAGCATGTAGTCTGCTAGACTATTTAGTTTTCAGAGTGTTTTCTCTATAATTACTTATTTTACATCATTAGTTGCAAGAAACTGACAGGAAGCACTAAAATTAATGCAAAAGCTGACAGAAGTTCAAGTCTATGAATCAGAAAGCTGCCAAGAATATGAATTTTTGTCACATACAACAGTGAAATCATTTGTATGTGTTAAACTCTTTGGGAATTTAATGAAAATTGACTAACAGAGATATATACTAATAATACAGAGCCCGAGCTCTATAATTTCTCCATTTTTGCTACCAAGTGTCCCATTAAACTTAAATAATTCCACTGTTTATCTATATTGTCTGGGACAAAAATGATCTAGTGAGGAGATAGAGAGGGTGAAGAAATAATACTACAAAATATTAGGAGCTAAATCTCCTAATAAATATTTTATATTTTCTTGCAGCCACTTTCCGTAAATCCCTATCTCTGTCTACTGACCTCTGTGGCACCACAGTAAATGAAGAAGATGGTATACATACCAAAACTGGGGCAAGCAACCATCTTTGCATGGTTTATTCTGTGATTATTCCCTTGCTACCCTTCCCAGGCAAAATTCCCTTTGATATTAAAATATAAAGGGAAAATCTTCAACTGATGGCCACAGGACCAACAAGAACTGCTGGCACCTACAAACCAATGAAGGAAGTGCTAGACAGGTGGATAAGGGATTGGACATATTATGGAAAGCATCATTAGTTGAACATAATGGTACAGTACGTCTTGAGGAGACTGTGTTTTATATTCTGTATATATAATTTATAGTTATAAATTATATATAATATATATATTTAACAGGGCATTAGAGAAATGAAGTGGTGCTGTTAAGTAAATAAAGAGGTACTTGTCAGAAATTTCTCTGCTGTGCTGATGCATGACTTGTATAAGATAGAAGGACCCATTCAACAGCTTTCTTGTAGTATGTCATAAAGATCAAATTTTGTGATCTCCAGAAATGGCTGAAGAATATGGGCCCACTATGGATTGGATTGAAGAAGTTAGTTCTTAACCAGGTTACAATTTAGAATAACCCAGAGAATTTTTATTAGCCCTGTTGACCAGATAACAATTCAGATTAATTAGATCAAAGTATACTGTTTACTGTTTAGTAAACACAGGAATCAGTAATTTTTAAAGCTCTTCAAGCGATTACTTTTTAAAAAGCTCTTTAAGTGATTACTTTGAGCAAGGGCGAACAACCGATTAACGAAAAAATTGGGAAGTTCTGCAATGACTGAATGGGGAAATCAATAGAAATTATCTCCAGAAAAACAGAAATTTAAATGATTAAAATGATAAAACAAACTATATTAAAGTCCCTGGAAATTAAGAACATACAGCAAATGAAGAAACTTTCCTTCAAGAAAACGATTAATCTTCAGTAAGAATGGTGAGTTTGTGACCTTTGAGACACAACTCACTCCATTATCACCACCCACAGCCCTGTGTTAATGAAGTTCTACCTCTACCATGAAGATGACAAAGGCTTCCTCTCCCACCAGCTTCCAGTCTAGGACTATGGTTTCATTCTGGGAGGGGCAAGCTGCTGACATGTCCTATTCCCACATCTCTCAACTTAGTACCACGTTGCTGAAAGTCTGCTCCACATAGGCATAGCTAACAGGATTGGATGTCTCTTCTCATGCTAGTTCTCACTCATAGGTAAGAAGTCTACTCTGAGCACAGAGCATGGAGAATACTGGGGCGTCAATTGCTCTGCCTAGCTCACTTATAGCATGGAGGCTTGAAGCTGGGAGGAGTAGCTAAGAAGAACAATAGATTCTACACCATCCTCAGTGCTCATTCATGAAACAGGGTGTTACTCAAAAAAAAGCAGGGTTCTGCCCCCAGCTATATTGCAGAGATATAGGATTTCTGCCCAGGGAAAAGGCAGGACATTGGAGCAAAGAGCTCCACAGCTCTGCCAGAGACAACTGACTTTATTTGGAACAGAGAAAGGAGAACTTTATTTCTAAAGCCATTGTTAGAAACAGTGGAGATCTTGGTGGATAGCAGTTAAGAGAAGGCTGGTAGCTTCATAATTGGACAAAGTGGCAGAGTAGCCAGAAGTTTAATAGAAAGAAATAGGAAAAGAAGAAACCATGAAGAGTATTAATAAGATTATAATAAACCATGGAGAATGCGAATGTTGTACACAGCTGCTAAGTTGCACCTACAAGGGATTAATCAGGGCAGTAGTGGCTGAATATGAAGGCACTCCCCATGCTGCATACAAACTCATCAAAAGGAAGTCTCACTGGCACAAGGGGCTTACACATAACCTGTCACCGAACACTACCAGAACAATAAGCTCTGCTGATTTAAGGGTGACTCTTGGAAAGCCAGGAGTAAAAATATTAACCTAGTCATCCCCAGCAGTCTGAAAGGCTCTGTGCATCCCCAAAGAAGCAACTTCTCAGAAATGATCAGAAGGAATCTTCAAGCTACTAGTCCTTGACTAAAGGTGGGCAAAAAATCATAAACTCACTGAACTGTGAACTCTAAGACACACACACACATACACACACACACACACACACACACACACACACACACACACACACACACTATGGGGAGTATCTAACTGGCTAAGCAGGCTATAAATTGAGACCAATAAGTAACATATTCTGACCAAGAGGGACACCTAAATAAAAGATCAAAACGAGAGAAACAACTCAACAAAGACATGAGAAGTTTCAACATGTAAGCAAAATATTTTGCAGAATTAGAATTAGTTAGAAAAAAATAAATAGCTGTAAATGCTTATATTATGAAATGAGGAAAGATTTCAAATCAATAACCCAACAACCCACTTTAAGAGAATGGATGAAGAAGAGCAAATGAAATCCAAAATAGTAGAAGAAATGAAATAATAAGAACAGGAACAAAAAGAAATATAATAGAAAAATAATAGATCAAATTAACAAAAACTATATTTGTCCTTTGCTAAATGAACCAACCTATACCTGGCTTAACCAAAGAAAAAAAGAAAATATTAAATTACTAAAATCATAAATGAAAGAGGAACCATCACTGTACACTTTACAGAAATGAAAAGAATCATGGAGGAATACTGTGAATAACTGAACCAATAAATTAGACAACTTGAATGGACACATTTCTAGAAAACCACAAAGTCATAAGTTTCAAAACCACAAAGTCTAGAAAACCACAAAGTCGTAGGTTTCAAAAGTGAAAAGGCTAAATATACCCATAACAAATATAGAGATTGAATTCAAATTTTAAAAATTTCTACCAAGAAAAGCCCAGACTCAAATAGTATCACTGGTAAATTCTACCAAACATTTAAATTAAATAAAATTAAATTACAATAATAACTTATATTTATGCTCTGCAAATTCTTTCAAAAAATAGAAGAATAATAGTGCAACTTGAGCTTTATAACAAAATACCACAGACTGAGTTGGCTTAAACAATGGTTCTGGAGGCTGACAAGTTCAAGATCAATGTGTCAGCATAGCAGCTTTCATTCTAAGACCTCGACTCTTGGCTTATGGGGGGCTGTCATTTCGCTGTATGCTCATATAACCACTTCTTCATGTGATTGAGGAGGAGGTGAGATTGAACTCTCTGGTATGTTTTATAATGACACTAATTCTAACAGATTAATGCCCCGGTCTTATGACCTCACTTAACCTTATTTACTTCCTTAGAGGCCCTATCTGCAAATACAGCCACACTCAGGTTAGGGTTTCAACATATGAATTTCGGGTGCTGGAGGACCAAATCTTTCAGTCCATAACAAGGAGGGAATCCTTTTCAACTTATTCCATGAACCCAGTGATGGCATGATCCAGGCCTTCTCTGGAATGGGGATCTGATGACCTACAGTCAAACTGGTAGGTCAGATAATTTCTTTATGGCTACTTTCTACATAGAATATTATTAGATTTCTTGGCTGGCTTTCAGAAAAAGGTGTTCTGGTATTAAATGACCCACACCAGGGAAGAGGGATTCTACTTTCTGTGGCTAGCCTTGGTAGAGAATTGAACTGAGAGAAAAAGGCCAGATAAAAATTCATTTCTGAGGCTGCTGCTAAGGCCTTCATTTTGGGATATTGTTTTCTGGACCCTGACATTATCAATGAACC
Source organism: Homo sapiens (assembly GCF_000001405.40). NCBI lineage: Eukaryota > Metazoa > Chordata > Mammalia > Primates > Hominidae > Homo > Homo sapiens. The sequence goes on along the minus strand of NC_000018.10, from coordinate 29,383,062 downwards.
ACTCAAAAACAAAAATTAAGGGAGCAATTCTATTTACAATAGCATCAAAAAAGAAATTCCTTAGGAACAAATTTAATAAAGGAATTGCAAAATGTATACACTGAAAACTACAAGCATAATTGAAAGAATATACACTATCTAAATAAATGAATGTATGTTCATGTTCGTGTATCTTATTAGTAAGATAGCAATACTCCCAAAATTACATATTCAATGTAAACATATGTCTATATAAAACCTGTACAAAATTATTAGAACAACATTATTTATAATAGCCAAAGTATGAAAACAAACCACATGTTCATCAACTGGTGAATAAAGAAAATATGTTAGAGCCACATACTGGAATATTATACAGCAATAAAAAGAAATGAAGTACTGATACAAATCACAACTTAGATTACTCTTGAAAATACTATGCTAAGTGAAAAAACATATTTAACAAAAGATTGCATATCACATAATTTTATTTCTGTCAATTGTCCAGAATAGGTAATTCTGTAGACACAGGAAGTAGATAGTGGTTGCTTAAGGGTAGGTTATTTAGATTAGGATAAAATGGGAAGTGACAAATAATAGGTAAGAATTTCCTTTTTGGATACATTTTAAAATATTCCAAAATTAGACTGTGTTGATGATTGCAAACCCTATGGATATTCTAAAACACATGTAATTGGACATTTTAAATAGATGAATTACGTGGTCTGTGATTCATATTTCAATAGTTGATTAATAAATAGAGAAAGACAGGCAGAGAAAGAAAGGGACAGAAAAGGAAATAAATAGTAAATATTGTTTGCAACCCTCCTGGATACAAATATCAGTATCCGAAAAATACAGATTTAAAAAATATCCATCCAAAATTCTACATGCGAAGATTCTCAATTCATTGGTCAGCTGTGGGCCAGACATGGATAGATTAAAATATCCTTAGATTTTTTTCAATTGTGGACTTAGTTGAAGAACCATTGAGACAGGGAGAGTGTTGGAAAGACATAAAAGGGATGTGCAAAAATATCTGGCTTGAGCAGTGTGTGGTATCAAACTTAAGAGACAGGCTTTTTTTTTCTTTATTTTGGTCTAGATAGAATATTTTATAAGGGTCATATTTTGCACTTCCTTATCAAAAATCTTAGATCATTTTGCATACAGAAAGAGCATAAATAAAGTATAAAGATTTTCTCTTTTCTATATAATGATATTTTACTATTTTCGCTCGTATGTGAAGGAGCAAATAAACATATTGATCATTTTAATGCTATTCAGACAACCAAATTATTTCAAATTTGTGAATTTTTTTTCTTAATCACACTACAGAATTTCAGATATTTAACATTATTCACTACATAGGACCCATTTGCCCTACCCAAAAGTGGACAGTATACCATCTCGGCCCTTATGTTCATTTTTGTATTTGGGAATGATTTACCACCATTATCATATTAACTCTGAGAAAATATCTCTCAGGACTTTAAGATTTAAAACTGCCTGCCAATCTTTTCAGTTTTGAAAAGATGCCTTTGACTACAACCTCACTTGCTTCATTCCTAACAAAGCTTTTCCCATTTGAAATATTCTCCATTAAGTACCAACTTATCATCAGCTTGTAACAAGGTTCACCCTTTTTTTTACTTTAATATACTAAAAATACATATACAAACGATTTATGCAAAACACTTCATATGGTTGATATCCAACCACAATTATGGCTTCCATCATGCAAATATGAATGCCTAATTAATATCAAAGGTCAAAATTTTCACAATGATGTAGCCAGAAGAAATCGTTCCAGGATGCCTTTGGGAATCCAGCAACTTTGTCACGCGTTGATGCTTATTAGATGAAAATGAATCTCATTGTCCAAATTAGATCTCAAAAGCTATTCCTCCTCACTTACAGGCTGACTGCATCAAATATTAGCTTACTTTAATAGTATTTGTCCAATATAAGTCAATAGTTATATTTTATCAGTTAACTACAATCCACTTAAATGTAAACATTGCTATACCAAAAGAGTAGACAAAAGTTCTTAAATGCACATTGCTTATGATTTTAAAAATAATATTATTTCATGATGAGGAAATTATATATATGTAAAACATTTAAAGCATACCTTTTAAATTTAGTATATTATTTGACACACATTCTTAAAGAATTGGTTTTGGATTTATATGTTAAAATTGAAAGATTCCTGCAAGTGTGATAGCATAATGCTTTAATGAACAGAACAAATGACCATGCCTACATCCAAAGTAAAATGTTTTCCAGATCCACCATCCTTCATTAACTGTAATGAACTGAAACATTTAAAGTTGTGATGTAGAACTTCAAGTGATTTATGAAGCTCCTTTTAGTCAATGTAGCAATAGGCATTGTATCATCTGTCCAATATAAAATGACTTTTTATTAATTAAAAAACCAGAAAAATAATTGTGTAATGCTTTATGCCTCTCAGTATTATTATGCAGATAAACACAAATATCTTATTGAGTAAAATTAATGTTGAATCATGAAAACCAATTGCTTTGTTTTACTGATCTGGAATGCTACATCTATTTATTCTAAGACTTTCCACCAAAAGCTTCATAACAGAATCTTTGTATTAAATTCCAAATTTTGAAGTGATCAACTAAAGAAGTAATCAATCGTATTATAGGCAATTTGAATTTATTACTAAATTATTTGGACTAGCTAAATGAAAAGCAACCTGTGCAAAACTCTCAAAACACTTATTTCACGAATTATCTAACTCGTTTGTCTTTCTCACTCTGCTATGCCCTAAGTTCGTTAAGGGTAAGCAGTGTATCTTTTTTTTTTTTTTTTTTTGAGACAAAGTCTTGCTCTGTCTCCCAGGCTGGAATGCAGTGGCATGATCTGGACTCACTGCAACCTCCGACTCCTGGGTTCAAAGAATTCTGCTGCCTCAGCTTCTGAGTATCTGGGATTACAGGCACCTGCCACCACGCCTGGCTAATTTTTGTATTTTTAGTAGAGACGGAGTTTTGCCATGCTGGCCAGGCTGACCAACTCCTGACCTTGGGTGAACCACCTGCTTCGGCCTCCCAAAGTGCTGGGATTACAAGCATGAACCACTGCACCCGGCCTAATTTTCATTCTTAAAAGTAAGCTAAAGTAAACACTCAAATATTTATTTAATGATGAATGATTGATTGAGTAAATGAATGATTAAATGACACAAGACTAAAGCATACTACTCTACCTCTAATAATTTTGGCTAATTTAAATTTCAACATAAGCTCACTAAATACTAGATCTGTCTCATCATTGTTTAAAGCATCAAGGCAACTAAATTAATGCCATTATTTCTATAATTTATTCAGTATAGTAATTTGAATTTATTGTGTATTATATTCAAAGAATACTTTGCCAAGTGGTAATTATAACAATGATTTCCCCATAATACAGAAAAAGATATGTTAAATCTTTTTGTTTGAATGATATGAGATTAACGTATTTGGAGACACATTATATTAATAATAGCTTCTCTGATAGCTAAATATACTTCGTGGTAAGTGAAAATACCTTTATCCACTCCATTCCACAAGTAAAATGTATTTACAAGACTATATTGTTATAAGTCCTAATGGAAAAGTAAAAATTATTTCACATATGTCCCACATGTCACTTCAGCCAAATGTGATGCAACTTGTTATTTATGAGTACATGGGATTTAACTTCTCCTTCCAAGCCAATAGACAATGTGCTATATTAACTTCTATTCAAAAAATTATCATTATTTTAATATTATCACAGTGTGTCTAGAAATATATATCTAAAACTACATATATGTATTTCTTTTAGGTTCGAAAAGAAATATACTAAGTGTTCATTTTAAGAGATATTCAACCTTAATAAGAACCCACTTATAAAATTTGATTTAAAATATTTGAATTATAAAATGTTCATACATTTTAAATTTCATGCATTCCCAATACCAGTGTGAAATCAATTTTCTGTCATTGTGTTCTGCAACAGAAATAAATTTTATTGCTTTCTGAAAACAAAATCTTACTGATAAAAAACACACTCTGATGTGTATAGGCATGGCAGAGCATGACTGCAAAGATACTGCTTTGCATTTGCTGCAGTTTGCCAAGGCTGACTCTGTCATTGGCAGCAATCTTAATAAAATGTTTACTAATAGCCCTGTAGAGAAGTGGTATTTCCATAGCAACAAATGAACAATACTAGAGAGATTAATCACTTCCACATTATCAGTATACAGTTAGCTGTAAAGCAACATTTTATAGTTTGATAATTGCAAGTTTAGAATGATTGTACATTATGAGTTGATTAGCATAAACGCTTAAGATGAAGAAAGTCTCCGTTGAAACAGGGAGAGCATTGCAAACCGGGCAAGACTATATGGCCATGTTTCTAAGACTTGTCTAGAGCTATTCAATTCTGGCATTAGTCATATTATTTGACACTGGTCATTTGATATGGCCCATTCCCAAAGAGTCCTTCACTGGCAACATACATACACACACAAACAGACACACACCATGAAAAGAATGGCTTTAGAAATTTAGTCAGAGATCCTTCTTGGGATAATCTCTACACAGTCATTAGCTGGTCTCTCAAAACTTCAGTCTTGACTGCAAGTAAAAGGTACATGAGAACTGTGTCCAGGCTTTGATTTCTTAAAAGCCTATATTCCATGTAAAAGCTCTTTGAGTATAATATAGATTTGACTATCATAGAATTCCTGGGTTATTGTATCTTTGTTTCAGCGTTATGCATTTTGACAAGAAAAGGGATATTATTCTCAAAGGTTTTGTGTTCAGTTGCTTCCTAGAAGCACACAATACATTTCATATGTGTACAGGCACGAGGATTGTATTTATTAACTCCTGACTAATAACGAAAAACCACATTAAGAGTAGAATTAACTTCTGTTTTATTGGATTGAGAGACTTTACTAAATCTGTCATTTTATTTGTAAGAACAAAAAGTTTTATAATGATATCTATAAAGTCAGAAGAAAAATAATTTTAAGTCTATTAAAATTGTATTTCAGTCTATTAAAATTGCATTTAATTCTATTAAAATTGGTGCTAGTCTAAAAGTTCCCTTGTATCTGAATGTTTTTTGAAAATAAGTGGGTAAAATAAGTAATAAAATGTGTTAAAATGTTCACTATATTTGTCATTGAGTAGCATAGTAAAAAATAGGTCTACCATTTGTAACAGTCTCAGCATTTTGAATATCAACATTTCTAACATTTATTATATTTTTAAGGGTTATTTATTTTAAGGGTTTTTAAGGGTTATTTATTTTAAGAGAACATTCACTGCGGCTGTTCAGTAATCAGAATTTCATTGATTGGACTATACTTGAAGATTTTCATTTTTGCTGAATATAATTAGTATATAGGGAGCACTGTCCAATTTGGGCAATAAATATTGCCCATATGGTTCCATTAGAACCACAGTTCAGAATGATTGTAAAGGAAATAACCACCACCAGTGCACCTGGGGAATATGTGGTTAGCATCTTTGGAATGAACCCAATGAGTAAGATTTTATTTCCAATAAGCAAACCAGCTGTTCTTTCCATGGTTTCTCTAATAGCTGCATCCCCATGCAGTATGGATTAACTTGCAAATGTTGTTCAATTTATTCATTAACCCATGGTTCTTCTCACAGATTAAATTGAAGAGGCTCAACTGAATGTTATAGCACAAAATATCAAACAATTCTAACATGAAGAATGACAAAACCAGAGTTGAATGACCATTTTAGATTAACATATAATATACATAGATTCTATGTTCATACATTCACTCCAAGATTTTACTTTATACAATAAGTAGATTACTAAAATTATCTTTATCAAATTGTTTTATAAATAAAATGTTTTTAAAAATTAACTCTATAATTAAAATTTTATAGATGATATACTGATATTTGATTAATTTCCAGTAACACTTAAGATATTCCATGATGGCCAGGCGTGGTGGCTCACACCTGTAATCCAACTACTTTGGGAGGCCGAGACAGGTGGATTGCTTGAGGCCAGGAGTTCAAGACCAGCCTGGCCAACATGGCAAAACCCCGTCTCTACTAAAAACATAAAAATTAGCAGAACATGGTGGTGCAAATCTGTAATCCCAGCTACTTGGGAGGCTGAGGCATGAGAATCACTTGAACCTGGGAGGCAGAGGTTGCAGTGAGTAGAGACCATGCCACTGCAATCCAGCCTGGGTAACAGAGTGAGACTCCATCTCAAAAAAAAAAAAATACTACATGACTACTTGTTTCTGTCATTTCTTAATAATCTTCTACAAATAAACAGATACCATCAGTAGAATTTCCACCAAAGACCTTCTTCAAAATAATTAGTGTCTTCTTTTGGTGCTCTAAAATTCAGATTTTCATATATCTGGCCTCATTGAGGTAGGGATTACATTTTGTAAAAGCATGCTGAAATATGTAGAACATTATAAACTATTGTTAATTATTAAATAATATTCATGTTGAAAAACAATTTTTAAATTACTTTTAACTTGTACAATGTTATTCGTATATGGCATACTATGACATATACTTCTATAGAAGAGAATGTAATACATAAATTTAGATCAAAACTCCAAACTAAGATACTAAAATACAAATGTAAATCTCTAGATACTAACTTTCAAGGCAGTTTTCCTTAAAATAACTTTTACCTCATCCTGATGAAAATTAGGAATGTGTGTTTTTTGGAGGGGAGTTTAAGGTGAATGATATTGCCTGTGATGGATAATTTCTTCACCTAATTTCCAGCATACTTAGTGTTTTTGAAAATTTTGGGTAAATATACAATATGTCTTTAAGTAAATTGATGAGTATGTCTGCTTTAGGAAAATATAAAAATTCCAGATTTACTAAAAAGTTTTAAATATGGAGTAATCTATATACAATAATTTTTGGAAATCCATAAAATTAAAGCACTATTGATACATTGTAAAATTATAAAAGTATCATATATGCAACATAGAAACGTGAAAATTTACCGAAGTTTGTGTGTATATGTATAATCCTATGAATATACATATATATTCATTTGGGTCTGATTTTGTAAAGTTTGGTGTTCTGATAATTCATTAAATATATCAGAGAATTTTGTCAAGTCCTCATTAAAACCATACATTTTAATAATTGCAAAGTAATACCTCTTATGAATATCAGATAGTTTATGTGTTCATTCTATTCATATTAACATTGGGATATGTTTCCAGTTTTTATATTATAAAAACATCAGAAAAATTCCCTTAATGTATATAAATTACACAAATATGAATTTGTGATTATTTGCTTAAAATTGTGTTTTAGATTTGGCATAAATAATTTGAAACCATTTATACAGATTGCTAAATTACCCTCTAGACTTGTTATAACAATGTATTTCATCACCAGTATATGTGAATCTGTTACACACTTCTTTTTTCTCTAATTTTTTTTTTTTGAGATGGAGTTTCACTCTTGTTGCCCAGGCTGGAGTGCAATGGCACGATCTCGGATCACTGCAACCTCCATCTCCTGGGTTCAAGCAATTATCCTGCCTCAGCCTCCCAAGTAGCTGGTATTACAGGTGCCCAACACCACACCTGGCTAATTTTTGTATTTTTAGTAGAGACGGTGTTTCACCACATTGGCCAGGGTGGTCTCAAACTCCTGACCTCACATGATCCACCTGGCTTGGCATCCCAAAGTGCTAGGATTACAGGCGTGAGCCACCACGATTGGCCTCACACTTCTTTTCTGAATAATATGTTTAGTGTATAGAAATACAGCTTACTGTTGTTGGTCTTATTTCCTTTAATTTTGTTGAATTCATTTATAAGCTCAATAGTTTGTGTGTATGTGTTCTTTATGATTTTCTACGTATAAAACCATGTCATCTTTGAGGGTAGTTTTATCTCTTGCTTTCCAAGTTTGATTCTTTTTATTTAGTTTTCTTACCTACTCACCTAGCTAGCACTTCCAGTGCAATGTTGAATAGAAGTTTCAAGAAAGGACATTCATGTCTTTTTGTCTTATTTTAGGGGGAAATCTTATAGTCTTTTACCATTTAACATAATGTTATATATAGGTTTTTCATATATACCAATTATCATATTGAGAAAGTTTTCTTGTATTTCTAGTTTTGTGTACTTTTATTATTAAAGTGTGTTGAACGTGTTCATTTTTTTCTGCATCTATTGAGATAATTTTTTTAAGTTTATTTTTCTTTTTAATAATGTGATGCATCACACTGAATGAGTTTTGTATGGTTAATCATCCTTATATTCATGAAATAAATCTCACTTGGTCATGGTATATATTATTACGTTGCTAGATTTCGTTTGCTGAAATTTTGTTGAGGATTATTGAATCTATTTATACAAGGATATTAGTCTATAGTTTTCTTCTTGTGTTATTTTTTCTGACTTTTATATTAGAATAATACTTTTCTCATTGCATAAGCGGGGAAGTTTTTTCCTTGTCTCTTGTTTTTTGAAAAATGATAAGAATGATGTTAATTATTCTTTAAATATTTGGTTGAATTCAGCAGTAAAGGCATCTAGGCTCTGCTTTAATTTGTTGATATATTTTTCATTTTTGTTTTATTTTTCTGAATAAATCTTCTTGATATCTTTTAGGTGAATTGAGACTTTTTTTCTGCTTGAGTCACTTTGGTAGTTTGTGTGTTCCTAGGACTTTGTCCATTGCATTCAGTGTACCTAATTTTCTTTCATGTAATTTTTCATATTATGCTTTCATATTTTTTTCATTCCTGCAATGTTAGTGGTAACGTTAACACTTATAATTCTTAAGTTAGTCATTTGAGTTGTCTTTTTTCCTTGTCAATCTATGTAAAGGTCTGTCAATCTTCATCTTAAAAATCAACTGGTTTCATTGCTTATTTCAATTATTTCTCCACTCTCTAGTTCATTCATCTTCAGTCTTATCTTCATCTTTTCTTTTATTCTACTTGCTTTGGATTAACTTTGTTCTACTTTTTCTAGATCCTTAAGTAGATGTTCTGGTTATTGAGTTAAACTCTTCCTTTTTTTAATGTAAGCTTTTATAGCTACAAAGTGTCTCTAAGCACTGCATTCACTGCATCCTATATGTTTTTGTAGGTTATGTTTTTATTCAACTTGAAGTATTTTCTGATTTATTTTGTGATATCCTTTTTGAATCCAATGGTTGCTTTAAAGTGTATCATTTAATTACAATATATTGGGGAATTTCCAGCTCTCTTTTATGGATCTCTGATTTCAATTGATTGTGCTTGGAGAACATACTTTATACAATTTCAATCTTTATAAGTATATTGAGACTTATCTTGTGGGTATAATATATGCTCTATCCTGGTGAATTATTGTGCATTTAAAAAGAATATGCTTTCTGCTATTGTTAAGTGGAGTATGCAACATATGTCTCTCAAGTCTAATTATCTTATACTGTTCTAGCTATCTGTTTTCTTATTTATCTCATTTCTAGTTGTGCTATTTTTGAAATTGGACTTATGAAGTCTCCAATTATTAATATCGAACTGTCTATTTCTTCTACTCTGTCAGTTTTTGATTTATGTATTTTGGGGCTCTGTTGATCTATCTATATTTGTTATGTTTTCTTGGTGGATTTCACTTTTTATTCTTATATAATGTCCTCCTTTGTTTCTTGTCACAGTTTTCATCTTCAAGTTCATTTTGCCTAATGCTAGTCTAGTCACCATATCCCACTTTTTAGTTACTGTTTGCATGGAATATCGGTTCACATTCTTACAATTTCAACCCATTTGTGTCTTTGGATATAGTGTGAATCTCTTCTAGATAGCATACACTATGGTCGTTTTTTTTCTTACCATCAATCTCTGCCTTTTAATTGGAGAGTTTAATCCATTTACATTTAATGTAATTACAAATAAAGAAGAATTTACTTCTACCATTTTGACTTCCTCCTTACTTCTTTTACTAATTTTTAAAATTATTATTTTTTTCTATGAATTTTTTCCAGAAGAAAAGAGTTTTAAAAGACTTGGAATGTGCAGTGTTTGTTTATAGACTTTATTGAGTAGATTACTCTCAATATTTATATCGACATTGTTTGCCTTATAATTATCTTTAAATTGTTATCCTGTCTCTTAAAAATAGAGTCAGAATTTAAAAAGAAGCAGATAAATCTTTTAGATACATGTTCTGGAGCTTCAGTTGCCCACTGACAATGCTATTAATTTCCTGCAAGTGTCATGTTTATTTTCTTATCAAAGTCAGGTTCAACGTTGTCATTTGTTGAAAGATGAACATGAGACAAACACTTCGGAAGTTTGTTCACATTACATTCTCCAAGGAGCTCTGTGTAGTAGCATATTTAAGTCAGGAGTGAAAATACATTTGTATTTTAACATGTAAACATACAGGGTGTTTCAGATTTCAATTTATAAGATGTATTAATTAAGATGCAAAAAATAGATTACTTAGTTACTTGATATAAGCAAAGTATTAAATCATAAATTGATATATACCATTGTTATTCATTTAAGTTTATAGATAATTGAGTTTATAGAGAATTCTGAGCCAAGATAGCAAATACCCACATGAATAACAGGGTTATAATATTTCTTCAGCAATAGTAAAACAGTAAATATATTTTTTATTACTAGGTTATGAATTGCTCTTACTAACCTTTACTAAAAGAGAGGCAGGTTCAAGGAATTCCAGTAATATAATTCTTCCTTTCCAACTGACAACTATAGAAATGCTAAGTCATGTAATTCTCCTGCATTAAATATTTTAAAGTCAGAAATATGAAATTCACAAATGAAGATAACAAAAATCTTGCATGTCTTATTTTCACACTTTCAGTTTTAACCTCAATTGAAACCATCCCTGAGCTCAAATTGGCCTTTAGTATTACTTTTTCCCTTCAAAACTAGTCAGCTATTGAGAAAAAAAATCATTTCAAAAAAATAGTTGTTTGCTGATTTTCATCCTTGAATATATTTTAACATATACCAATTCAGTGTTAAGTATCTCCATCAACTTATTGTTAGTTTACAGACTTTACTTCTTTAAATTTACATAGAAAACTAGAAATAAAATCTTGTCTCCATAAACTTCAATTCTATGAATCTATTCAGTCCCACAGATGGGATTTAAAATGCTTCAACCATATAACTATTTTAGCCATTTGGTATACAAAAAGTATTTTAGCCATTAGGCATTTTTAGAGCTGGCTGTTGGATTCATTTCTCTAGAGAGATGAATGCAAGAAAGAAGAGAGGAGTTGCAGAGCAGTCAGAGAAAGAATAATTATTAAAAAAGAAATGTATAGCAGGGCAAAATTTAGAGCTGGAAAGGAGGAACAAAAGGAATAAAGCTGAATGCACAACACTGATACAGATTAGCATTTTCCTGAAACCAAGTTAGCTGGAAAAGGGGAAACACTGTTTCTTGATTACTATTTAAGTTATTTTGGTTTTTAACAAGACACAGAGTCTTACTACTTTATTATTTTTTAATGTGTTTCTTCGTGGGCTTGGATGATGTTATACAGTGTGGGGAAACAAAAATTTGGATTTCTTCCTTTGTGCCATTTTATATTGATCACAGATCCAGGAATTATTAAAGTCATTATAATAATTAAATTCCCTGACATAAAGACAACTTTGCTTTAATCATTCTCAGTAGACTTCTAATTAATTAACATTTATCATATTGAAGTACATTTGTTCCAGAATATGAGTGAAAACTATTAGATGTGGTAATATGTGATCCAGAATAAATTAATCAAGGATATTGTTTCTGATAGAGCCATTCAATTTTATACATTTATGATATAGTCACTATTAAATATATTATTCATGATGTAAAAAATAATATTTTTTATTATTTTAAGTTAATGTTACTTTTAAATAGATACAATGATACTTAAAGTAAAATGTATTCCATTGTTCATCAAATCTGTTTCACTATTACATTCATGCTCTTTACTAGAGAAATAATTTTTTTCGTGACTGGTTACTTACAGTCAGAATATATTTTACCACAGCCAGATGCAGTGTCTTAAGCCTGTAATCTCAGCATTTTGGGAGGCCGAGGCGGGCAGATCACCTGAGGTCAGGAGTTCAAGATCAGCCTGGCCAACATGGTAAAATCCTGCCTCTACTAAAAATACAAAAATTAGCCAAGCATGGTGGCGGGTGCCTGTAGTCCCAGTGACTCAGGAAGCTGAGGCAGGAGACTTGCTTGAACCCAGGAGGCAGAGGTTGCTGTGAGCCAAGATAGCACCACTGCACTCCAGCCAGGGCAACAGAGAAAGACTCATCTCAAAAAAAAAAAAAAAAAAAAAGAAAAAAAAAGAAATAAGAATATATTTGACCACAAAATGATATAATTAATCAAAGGATTAACAAAGAGAAAAGCATGGTAGAAAATCTTGAGAATTTGAGGATATATACTCAGCTGTGATGATCCATTAGAGTTTCATTTACTAGCCCATATGTCCCAGGTACAGGACTTCTAGGCTAGTATAAGTGTGGTTCTACCATACAAAGAGTAATACATTGAGCAAGACAGAGCACACTTTATAGTTTGATATAATTTGTCCATTCCCATTACAGTCAACTTTTTCCTACTAATCAGCTAATATTTAGCAAATGTTTTATCAATCATTAGGAAATGTCCCTGAGCAACATATTTATTGGATACAAAGTATCCAAATAATGTTAAGGAAATCTCAGTATGTGTAGGGTAACCTTTGTTGATGTGGATACATTTTGACAAATGCTGTTATTAGTAAAGAAAAACATTACTGGTATAATTAATTCTAATGTAATTTAGTGTTAAAAGGAGTTGTATGCAACAAATTTTTGAAATATACTAAATAAAATTTGGAAACTAGTCTAATTTCAATCAGCATATCAGTTTGAAGCATAGTCTTCTCTTATTATTTCCATACTAAATAATATATATTTAGTATAAATATACTAAATAAATAAATATACTAAATAATATAATATAAATATACTAAATAAATAAATATATTTATTTAGTATAAATATACTAAATAAAATTTGGAAACTAGTCTAATTTCAATCAGCATATCAGTTTGAAGCATAGTCTTCTCTGTTATCATTTCCAAATTATCTTGTTTTATTTTATTAATTTTATTGTAATTTTACATTTTTTCATCGTGAATAATACAGGTACAAAAAATAATAAAATGAACACCCATGACACTGATATATCACTTAAGAAATGGAACATTTTTTACACTTTAGAGACTTTTGTGTACTCGTTGTAGATGCCATATTCCTTCTTTCCCTAGAAGAAAACACATATTTTGTTGTTTTCTGTTACTCATTCTTTAATTTTTCAAAAAGAGATTTTAACATTTGGGTGTATAACTAAAGATATTGTTTTAGTTTTGATTTTTAAAGATTACATATTATAAATAGAATTATGTTGCAAGCATTGTTTGTGATTAGCTTTGTTGGCTCAATATTCTTGTTTTTCAGTTTCACCCATTCTGGTGTGCATATATGTAGTTCATTTATTGACTCTCAATGCTATACAAAATTACATTGTACCAATCAAAATCACTTACTTTCTATTCTATTGCTGGCTGAAACACATTGTTTTCTGTTGCTTTGTTTTATTATTATCACCTTCCTACTCTATAATTCTTTATCAATTGTATATGTTGCACATATATTCTCCCAACTTGTGAATTATACTTTCTTTATAATGTCTTGTGAATAAGAGGGATTCATATGTATTGGCCTTTTCATTTAGAGTTGGTGCCATTGTAGCTTGTTTAGGAAACACATTCCTAATAAAGGTTATAAACACATACATCTATGTTGACTTCTGCTTTCGAAACTCTTTTTAAAATTTGAATTCTCTCATTTGGAATGGATTATGTGTAGCTGTGAGATATGAATCCATTATAAAATATACGTATGTATTTTTTCACTTGGGTAGCAATTTGTCTCAGCATCATTTACTGATGAGCTTGCTTCCCCCTAGTGATTCATAATGCAATTTCTGTAAAATAGCAAGTTCCCATGCATAAGTTTGTTCTGGGCTCTTTATGCTCCTCCATCGGTCTCTTTCTCTGTTCTGCTGCTGAAAACTCACAAATTAATGACTATACTTTTCTAAAAGTTCTTAATAATTAAAAAGATAATTCCAGAATATTATTCTTCTTTAGGAGTGTCTTGGCTATTTGCTCTTGAGTTTTTTTGTTCTTACATCAAGTTATTAATAAAACTCTAATGGGATTTTTATTGCAGATGAATTAAATATATAGATCAATTTGGGAGAATTTACTCATAAAATATTAAGTATGATTAATATATATTTAGTGAATATATATTTTTAATGTTATATATAAGGATTTCTATACAAAGACAAAAGTCTTAAAATATTTTGCTACATTTTATTTGCAGTTATTATTTATTAGTAGTATAAATGGTATCTGAAATTATGTATTCATTCTTTACAGAAATATAACAAAGATTGGAATAGCACACTGCTTATAAACTACTTATTAATATAAATATTGTTATAGAATTTAAAAATAGAGAATACTATTATCTTAATAGTTGCTTTAAAAATATTTTCCAATATGTATATACTTTTCTTATATTATTATGCCATTTAAAGAGTCTAGTACAGTATTGAATTCAAGTATATTAGCAGACTTTTTTTCTTCTTCCTAAATAAAAGAAAATACATCTTTGTTTATAGAAATTCTCTTTATGTATAGGTTTCTAACAATTTTATCATGATTAGCTATTGGACTTCGAAGAAAACTTTTTTTCATTATTAAAATACTTGATTGGTACTATGTCATTTTCCTGATTTGAATGAACATTATTGTCCTGTAATGAAGTAAATGGCATTTTGTGTATTTTATACATTCTTGAAATTTCTTTTCTAATAGTTTACTTAGTAGTACATTTCTGCACATTTTCCTGATTTTGAATTGGAAACGAAAGGCAACCAAGTATGCAAAATAAGCAAAGCCTTAAACAGGCACTTGACAAAAGAAGATAATTATAACCACCAAGAAAATGCAAATTAACACAAAATGAGATATCACAAATAGCCAAATGGTAGAGTAAAAAAATCTAAAAAGTCTAAAAAAATCTGTTGATACAAAGTGTCAGATTTTGAAGCAGATGATATTCTCATATATTTTTGATGTGTGAGAAAATTGGCACTTTCACTAAGCAACATTTTAGTAAAATCTATTAATGCCAAACATATGGATACTATATTACCCAGAATTTTTACTCTTAGGTATGAATGCCACATAAATGAAATGCATGGATCCTAGATACCTGTACAAGAATGTTAACCGAAGGATTATTCATAGTACATACAAGCAACAAACAACACATTTTGTTTTATAAACCATAAAATAGTTAAATGAATTGCGGTCCATTCACATAATAAAATATAATTATTTACATCTACATGAAAGATATTGATGAGTCTTTCAAACATAAGACTAAGTTCCATCACTTAGGAGATGATCCCAAAGCCCCACACAGCACTGAAATTTAGTCACCTGCCAATAGCTAGCAACGTTGGAGAGGTAGAAATGAAGTCTCTATGTATGCACCATTGTGTCTAGGTAAATCTTTAGGTGTTCCCTTATTAAAAAGAAAAAAAGAGTAGGGATAGTGAAGAAATATTGTTGTTTCTGTCATAGATACTGCTTTAGTCATATACTAAAGTGGTAGTAATATACAAAACCATATAATATTGTAAAGTAACACTGATTCTTTTGCCAGAGACATCAAAATCGATTGCCAACATCTATAAGGAGACATCTGAAATCCTACATATTTTTCAAATCTAAAGTCACCCACTTTTTAAATGCAGATAATATGCTTCAGGTTTTCTTACAGAAGGCTTCATTTTCACAATTCCTGATGAATCTATTCTCTGTACTATTTTCTCATCATTCTTGTCAAAATTTGTTTAATATAGTGGTTAATCACAATGATCCACATAAATTCATTTATATTGAAGTTTAAATAAGAAAAGATTTGAGAGTTTACATTATCATTTTAATAGAAATTTCATCCCTTAATAAAACAAATTAACCAGAATGGTAAAACTTTTGGCACCAGAAAGAAGCAAATAGAAAAATTAGGGCAAATAGATGAGATATTATCAGTATCTCTCATGTTTTCCAATGTGGAGGATTGACTTTATGGATCTGTATATAATGCTGATTCCATTTAAATGACATAAAAGAAAATTTTAGAAGCTAAAAAGCCAAATGTTATAATTCCTATAGTTATAGGTAATTTCCTTCTTGCTAGTCAAAGTTTATTATACAAGGAAATAATTTAATAGTATCTTAAGAAATAGGGACAAAGCAATAAGGTTTAAAGTTGCTTAATTTAGAACCAGGGTAGACTCATGCCTGTAATCCCAGCAGTTTGGGAGGCCGAGGAAGATGGATCACCTGAGGTCAGGAGTTCGAGACCAGCCTGACCAACATGGTGAAACCCCATCTCTACTAAACATACAAAATTAGCCAGGTGTGGTGGTGCACACCTGTAATCCTAGCTACTTGGGAGGCAGAGGCAGGATAATTGCTTGATCCTGCAAGGCAGAGGTTGCAGTGAGCCAAGGTTGTGCCAATGCACTCCAGCCTGGGCAACAGAGTGAGACTGCATCTCAAAAAAATAAATAAAATAAAATAAAAAATAGAACCAGGGTAGAGTTTGGTCACAGATAACTTACATTATACTGTCTTTTATGAACAGTATAAGAAATTTGGATTAAAAAATAATATGTGAAGTTTATTAAACTCAAGAAGTTTATCCAGATCCATAAACTCTTGTCATGTTAAAATTTATGGTCAACTTAATACAGAATTAAAAACATGTCAAATTCCTTTTCTATCACTAATGATGTAAGTAGGAATATATAATGTCACTTGCTTTATTCAGTCTGATTTGCATAGCAATGATGAATTATGTAACTGATACTGTGACACTAAACAGAAAATTGTATTTGCAATCACCTAGGATATTCATTTGCCTTCATCAACTGACAATGTCCTAACATTTTTTAAGAAAACATCTTCTGTGCCAATATTTTTTGACAGCTGTAGCTGTCTATATAGAATTAAATACTTTAAAAAACCAACTTGACGGCCGGGCACAGTGGCTCACGCCTGTAATCCCAGCATTTTGGGAGGCTGAGATGGGCGGATCACGAGGTCAGGAGATCGAGACCATCCTGGCTAACAGGTAGAAACCCCGTCTCTGCTAAAAATACAAAAAAATTAGCCGGGCATGGTAGCAGGCCCCTGTGGTCCCAGTTACTCAGGAGGCTGAGGCAGGAGAATGGTGTGAACCCGGGAGGCAGAGCTTGCAGTGAGCCGAGATTGCACCACTGCACTGCAGCCTGGGCAACTGAGCAAGACTCTGTCTCAAAAAAAAAAAAAAAGAAAACCAACTTGACTTTATAAGCAGTAATGTGGTGCTTTCAAATAAAAGAAAAGTTTACAGTCATATTAAGTACTAATATAATCTGTTATTTCAACCTCTCATCTTTTCTTTGAATCAGGTACACATGTTTGACAGCTGAATGAAAAAAGAAAAGTGAAGCACTTTAAAACCAGATTTAAACAACTTTTTCTATAAAGAAAACACATGGTTAATTTCCCTCAAGATACCTCCAAATTGCCTCTCAGAGATTGGAAATTTTGCAAGATAGTCATTCAAATTCACATGCTTGATTAAAAGCAGCAGAACCCAGGCTTTGCAAGTCCAATTTTCTATTATTCTTTATTTAAAATATTGCCCTAATTATGATAGTGACCCAAGTAAACATCATAAGTTATTCAATCTGTACTATTTGTGATATGTTGTACAAATATCAAAATGAAAGTTGATATAGTAGAAAAATTACTGCCTTTGTCATTTGAAGACCAGGGATTACTTTCTCTTTCACATTGCTAACCTTGTG
Source organism: Homo sapiens (assembly GCF_000001405.40). Taxonomy (NCBI): domain Eukaryota; kingdom Metazoa; phylum Chordata; class Mammalia; order Primates; family Hominidae; genus Homo; species Homo sapiens. The sequence goes on along the minus strand of NC_000018.10, from coordinate 29,365,067 downwards.
ATCTTGAAAAAATATTTAAATTCGGGTCTTCAGCTTTGTAATTTGCAATTAGAACACAATAGTTGATACCTCACAGTGTTTGCAGATTAAGTAAACATGCACGTATCATCTTAACATTGTAAAAGTTCTCTGATTTACCTCTCTACATGCCTAGCACAGAGTCTGCCATTTTGAAAATAAAGTTTGGTAATTTTAAATCTTTTAAGTAAGGATTAAATGAGGTAAATCTTGCCTTTTTGGCCAGAATGAAAGCAAATGATTTTTCTAAAGGAAAGGAAAACAGCACTCTATCAATGCTGAGGTGATAATTAATATTGAGTCAGATTTCAAGCAATGGTAAGCGAGATTCCACTTCAGCAATCAGAAACAATCTCTTTGCCTTGCTAATTGGGTAAGAAATAAAGACCAGTATTGCTGCAACAAAGGAACTCCCTAGTAAGGTGAGCATACATACAAGTTCAGGTAATAATCAGGTTTATTGGGTGCTGTGTCTATGTATATGAAGGATAGAAATTTAAAAAACCAAGTATATTATCATCAGGAATTTCACAAGTGAGAATCATATAGCATAGCTTGATACTGACATCTAAGGCTTTTATGGATGGACTTTTGTACGATGTCAGCAACTGCAATACTTTCATAATATTATTGCAGAGATTTTTACATCACTATAGTATAGAACTCTAGACTATAAAATCAATGATAAAAAAGGAAAAAAAGTTTTAGTTGCTCCCCAGTCTTGTTGTCTTGATAGCAGTTAAGTTATTCATAGACTCATCTAAAGAGTATCCTAACACCACAATTCTTCCTGTGTTATGCTCTGAGTCTAAACTTTGTCTAAATTATCTTTTGCACATAGTTCTATGAATAGGAACTTGAAACAGGGCCTTCCTGATACATATATTGCTCTCTATGAAGAAACAAAATTTCATGGGATCAGCTACATGAGAATATGCACTATCTATTTTAACTCCTTTTTTTTGTTGAAATTCTTTGTTGTCCCTTAAAGATATTTTGTTTGTTATCACATTAAATTTTCTCTGTTGTTTCACTTCCTTAAATTACACTTACCAAAGTGGTTATTACAAATGTTCAATATGTTTATTCATCACTGTTATTAATTTCAGTGAGGATTGTGGAATAAGTGGGTGGGGATATGCATTGGCTGAGGTTCCCTAAGTATTTACATCAAGACTTGACTAGAGATTTATTTGGGAAACATCTGTGAACTGGGAATATTCTAGTTCTAAGAAAGTTGCAGCAAAGTAGGTGGGTTCTTTGAGACCAGATTGATCATCAGAGAATTGCATGTTTTGCAGGAACCAATCTGACTTAGTATCCTTGCTATATTCAGTCACTGCCAATTCAGTCACTGCCTGGGAATGGCTCATCGGAAGCTTGGCCTCCAGAGGAAGACAGTGGTGAATTTCCCAGTGCAGCAAGTGGGAATGACAGTCAATTGTGCCCTCTTGAGCTGGAAGAGCTGAAAGATGTATTTTTACGGTCAGCACAGGAGCCCTTTCATACAAACAAGGGCTGCTAAGGGCTTATTTTAAATTTGGCTTATAATAAAGAGTTTCACTTAGTTCTCTGAATATTTCTTCTGTTGACAATAATCTGTATGATAATTACACACTGAGCATCATTTTTCAGAACTCAGAAAAATAGTAACCAAATATTGATATTCATTAGATTCATAATCCATGCCAGTTCTGCTCCAGATGAGCTTCCAGAATAGATTTAACTGTTTGAAATCTAGGAATCTTAAAAATCAAGTAAGTAGAACATCCTACTGAGAAAGTGCCGCTTCATTTTATCTTCAAACATAATTATCCTAAAATAATCATATATTTATCACCTTTTCAGAATGATTTCTGAGAGCTATAATAGGATATACTTTGCTGAATTTATTCTCACACCTATCTGCTTCTACAGAAATTCCAGTGAACTTTGTTCACCTTTCTTTAAGTCAGTACCTAGAAAAGTAAACACAAAAAAATTCAAACAAAAGCCCCACTGTATTCATCCATTTTCATACTGCTATAAATAATACCTAAGACTGAGTAATATATAAAGAAAAGAGGTTTAATTGACTCACGGTTCTGCATGGCTGAAGAAGCCTCAGGAAACTTATAGTCATGGTGGAAGGTTAAGGTGAAGCAAGGCACATCTTACCCTTATGGCGTCAGGAGAGAGAGAGAAAGGGGAAGCACAAGACACTTATAAGCAGCCATATCTCATGAGAACTCACTCATAATCATGAGAAGAGCCTGGGGAAAACTGCCCCCATGAGCCAATCACCTCCCACCAGGTTCCTCTATCACAGGTGGGAATTACAGTTTGAAATGAGATTTGGGTGGGGACACAGAGACAAACCATATCACCCTGCCCCGGCCCCTTCCAAATATCATGCCCTTTGCACATTTTAAAATCAATTGTTAGTTATGAGTTCTAAATTTCTTTTCAAAGAATCAATATGTCAGTATGTTCAATTCTTTGCCTTCTACTTTTAAACTTAACTTCCTTGTAAAGCAACCTTTTTCGATTACCTACTCCACCCTGACCCATTCTGATTACCTCCTCTGCCCTGACTCATTCCAATTACCTACTCCACCCTGACTCATTCCGATTACCTGCTCTGTCATAACCATTTTTCCCACCAAACCACTCACCCCGTCACTCTCTTTCAATTAGCCAATCAGAATTAGTTTAGCCTGTGCGGTCTAACCCTTGCCAATAGGGGCCACATGCGTCAGGGATAAGAACCCCTTCCCCTCCCTTGTCCAAGTGTGTGCTCACCATTGCTCCATCTGTAAGGGTGTACCCTTCTGTAGAAGTACCTTGCCTTGCTGAGAATTAAAAAGAAAATTTTATATTCGAGTACTAGTTCTTTTGCAGCACCGAAACTTTATTTATAACAATTTGGGGCCTCACCGGTGATTACATTATCCTCCGGGGGCGGTCTCTGGTTCTCTCTTCTGAGGAGACATGCCCCGCCCCCTTGTGGCGGCCTCGGGGGTGAGAACTCAAGACCCACTCAGTGCGAGGAATAACCGCAGCTCTCAGCAACGCGCAGGGGAGGGGCTGGGGGGAGGGACTGGCCAGCAACCTAGCTTAAAGGATCCTCATAGACTGCAGCGACGATTCTGTGCACAGACTAAGGAAGGAGAAGCTGCAGGAACCGGTAAAGTACTTCCTTGGTGGTCAAATTCTGGAGGGCTAAATGTATGTGTGCGTGAATGATCACAAACAACCCTACTTGTGGTGCTGTTCATGTGGATGGTGAAAAGTTCTACTGCTGGACGGAGTGAGTGGGTCCTTTCTGCACTTCCATAGCTACCTCAAATGGCTTAGGGCAGACCCTGTCGTGGGATTTATACCAGCACGCCAACACTAAGAGGGGCCTAATTCTCCCTTGGGGAGCAGCCAGAGAGGACAACATGAGTGGGAAGTGTGCAAGGGACCTTCAAAGGGGTAAAGGGAGGAAACAGGTCAACCTTCCAGAGCAGCAAGGCAAGACTGGTGTGAGGGGTTGAGCCTTCCGGGACAGGCAAGATGAGACATTTCGGTGTGAGGGGTTGAGGCTTCCAGGACAGGCAAGGCGAGACATCCCTGGTGTGAGGGGTTGAGCCTCCCACTAATTTCAGGGGTTGAACCTCACACAAACCTCCGGTAATAAGAAAAATATTCAGAACTCCTCTTTCCTTTCTTCTCGGGGGAGGAAAGGGTAGCTCCACTCCCGCCAGTCCCTCCTCTAAGGGAAGGGGAAGGAGAGGGGAGAACAGCAGCATAAGCGGCAGGCAGAAGCAGGGAAAGAACAGCAGAGAGGAGAGAGAGAGAGGAAAGAAAGAGAGAGAAGGGAAAGAGAGAGGGGAGAGAGAGAGAGGCAGAGAGAGGGGAGAGAGAGAGAGGAAGAGACAGAGAGACAAAGAGGGAGTCAAAGAGAGAGAAAGAGACAGGCAGAGAGAGAGGAAGAGGCAGAGAGACAAAGAGGGAGTCAACGAGAGAAAGAGAGAGACAAAGTCAAAGAGAGAAAGAGATAGAACTAGTAAAGAAAAAACAGTGTACCCTATTCCTTTAAAAGCCAGGGTAAATTTAAAACCTGTAATTGATAATTGAAGGTCTTTTCCATGACCCTATAACACTCCAATACCACCTTGTTGTCAGTGTAAACAAGGGCGTAACCCAAAAGCACTGAGGCCACTAACGACCCGTAGCCTTCCTATCAAAAATTAACCCAGTAACCCGAGGATGGCCCAAATGCATTCCTTCTGTAGCAACAACTGCTTTGCTAGCAGAAGAAAGTAGAAAAATAACTTTTAGAGGAAACCTCATTGTGAGCACCAGTTCAGAACTACCTCACCAGTTCAGAACTACCCTAAGTCAAAAAAAAAAAAAAAAAAAAAAAAAAGCAAAAAGGTAGCTTACTAACTCAAAAATCTTGAAGTATGGGGCTATTCTGTTAGAAAAAGATGATTTAAAATTAACCTCTGATAATTCCCTTAACCCAGCAGGTTTCCTAACAGGGGATCTAAATCTTAATTAATTACCATACAAAAGTTCAACCAGACCTAGGAGGAACTCCCTTCAGGACAGGACTATAGAAAGTTCCTCCCGGGTGATTGAGGAAAAAAGACACAATGGGTATTCAGTAATTGATAGGGAAACTCTTGTTGAGGCAGAGTTAGGAAAATTGCCTAATAATTGATCTGCTCAAACATGTGAGCGAGCTGTTTGCACTCAGCCAAGCCTTAAAGTACTTACAGAACCAAGAAGGAACCATCTATACAAATTCTAAGTTAATTTGGGCTAAACAAGGTCTTATTAATAGCAAAGGATAATTAAAATCCCAAACTTACAAGGTTTTCAACTTAAGTAAAATTTGCTAAAAGTTAACAGTGTAACATGTATTATCTTAACTTCTAGTCTTGTGGCCTTAGGCAGTCTAGTCCACAGACATGAAGGAAGTTTGCTTTGGAGAAAATAAAAAAAAAAAAAGGGTAGGGGAAGAATTTATATAAAAAGAATGTTATGTGATAAATTCTTGTCCTAAAATAAATTAACTGGTTTTTTAAAGAAAGGCATGTTTGCAACAAGTCAGAAGGTTGAGGCAAGTCAAAGACTGTGAAAGTCGTGAAAAAAAGTTATAAAAGGGAATTTATGCAAGAAATGTTGTATAATTTAGAAGTAATTAGGCCTCCTGAATGTAAAACTATTGAAGAAACAGTTTATGTGCAAGGTGTGCAAGGAAAGTAAAATATAATTTTGATAAAAGGATTATAAGGAGGCATAAAAATGTGCATTTTTACCTACATTAAAAGGTTAAAAATTTTGTTTTAAAGGTTTAAGCAAGTTTTAAAATGTTAATTGCAAAGGAAATTCTGTGTGTAAACATATTGGCTAAAGTTAAAGGGGTATCATCCAGTTTTTCTGTGAACTGAACATTAAAATAAAAGCACAATGGGTTTTTCTTAAAGCACTAACCTGCTCTTTAACAAAAATTATAAAAGGTTAAAAAGAGTCTATAAAAATCTTACCTTGTGGTCAGATGTTAAAATTGGATAAATATGTCTACAAGGTTTTATTAAAATTGAGTTTAACATTAACAACATACTAATATAAAGGTGAAATTTAGCTTACCTGGCATAAAAATCATACAGGAAGCATTGTCAAATATAAAATAGTGTTTGGCTTTCTTTGGTCTAAAAACTAATAAAAATAGGTGCTAAAGAAAATTTCTCAGTAAGAAGGCACCAAGGACTATAAAGTCCACTGCTGATGTCCCCACATTTAAAACAAAATATCAGTTTCTTAGAAAATATATACTTGGTTTATCTTCCACTTTCCTTTCCCTCAAAACTGAAAGTATTTTAGCAAAGGTACCACCCCTAGAATTTCTGGTAAACCAGCACCAGCCTGAAGATCACATTCTCCTCAAAGGGTGGAAAGAAGAAAAACTCAAGCCAGCCTGGGAAGGACCCTACCTTGTGCTACTAACCAGCGAGATTGCTATTTGTACAGCAAAAAGGGGATGAACTCGTTACACTGGTGTCAAGAAAGCACTGCCCCCTCCAGAGTCGTGGACCATAGTCCCAGGGGAAAACCTGTACCAAACTAAAACTAAGAAAAATTTAACTCTCTTTCATCTATTCTGTTACTCTTTCTTCTTTCCTCGCTCTATTGCTGACCATCTAGTTATTAACATAACCAAGTCATTTTCACCTCAAACTATTGTATTTAATGCTTGCCTTGTTATACCCTGTGGGAACGTGTCAAGTCAAAGACAGCTCTCTACTTCAGAGAAGCACCTCTATCTCTCCTAACTCTCCTCAGACTGGGCATTAGTGAATTGGGACCATTTAATCTGGGGAGATTTTGATAAAGATCCCAGTGTCAACTAGGAGTCTTGCCCCTCTGATGTAGAGCTTTTATGCCACAGTCGATCCAACATTCTGTGAACCACTAAAGAGCAAGGATGGACTGCCCCAACCGGTTTTTGTAATTTCCTAAAACCATACATTCATTTTACTAGAGGGACAGCCCCACCCCCTAACTGTCAGCTAAACCAGTGCAATCTTACACAGGTTATTATCTCAAACCCTCAAAGTTCTTCCCATTTTCTAAGCCAGTTCCCTTTAAGCCGGTTTTATGGTATAGGGGCTGAGGTTTCAGGGACAGACCCCATTGGATTCTTTGATATGCATTTCTTTGATTCCTCGCCACCTGCACCTTCCTCTAAGCCTTCTTCCAAAACCTCTCACAATGGAACAATTGCTTCTCTTGCATCTAAGATCAAGATAGCTACGGTAGAAGTTAAAGACTTAAAACAAACTTTGGCAATTAAGACAGGATACCAAGATGCAAATGCCTGGTCGGAATGGATCAAATATTCCATCCGCATGTTAAACAAAAGCAATTGTTATGCTTGTGTAAACAGCAGGCCAGAGGCCCAGACTGTCCCCTTTCCACTAGGGGGTTCTTCTTGTCAACTGGGCATGGTAGCTCTTTTCTAGGATTCTACAGCCTGAAGTAACAAATCATGCCAAGCTCTCTCTCTGCTATATCCTGAAATCTGGCACCTTGTGGGTCAGTCCCCAAGGGCCATCCTCCTTCTGTCTCCCAACACTAAGTTCACTTCATGTCTCTCATGACAGGGAGGAAACAGCATTCCTTGGAGACCTGAAGGGATGCAGCGAGCTTAAGAATTTTCAAGAGCTTATCAATCAGTCAGCCCGTGTTCATCCACGAGTGGATGTGTGGTGGCATTGTGGTGGAACTTTACTGCACACTATGCCAAATAACTGAACTGGCACTTGTGCTTTAGTTCAGTTGGCTATCTCTTTCACCCTGGCATTTCATTAACTAGCGGAAGAAAAAAATAAGACATTGTAAAGTGAGAGAAGCCCCTTATGGATCTTTTAACTCTCATATCTATTTAAACGCAAATGGAGTCCCACGGGAAATACCAGATAATTTAAAGCCCAAAATCAAATAGCTGCAGGATTTGAGTCAGTATTTTGGTGGATGACAATTAATAAAATTGTAGATTGGATAAACTACGTCTACTACAACCAACAGTGATTTATTAACTACGCTAGAGATGTTGTTAAAGGAACAGCTGAGCAATTAGGGGCTACTAGCCAGATGGCTTGGGAAAATAGGATAGCCTTAGATATTATATTAGCAAAAAAAGGAGGAGTTTGCATCATGACTAAAACTCAATGTTGTACCTTCATCCCAAACAACAGCGCCCCTGATGGAAGTATAACAAAGGTATTGCAAGATCTGACTGCTCTGTCCAGTGAGTTAGCCAACAACTCAAGGGTAAATGACCCCTTTACAGAATGGCTAAAAGAGTGGTTCGGTAAATGGAAGAGAATAATAGCCTCAATTCTTACTTCCCTCGCAGCCGTAAAGGGTGTACTTATTCTTGTCAGGTGCTGTGTCACACCATGCGTCCGTGGGTTGGTGCAGAGGCTCATAACAATGGCACTTACTAAAACCTCCCTTAACTATCCTCCACCTTATCCAGAGAAGCTTCTTCTTTTGGAAAATCAAGTGGAACAACTAAACCAAGACATGTTAAAAAATTTGAAAAGAAGGAGCTGTAAGGAAATGCAAGAGGAGGGGTTGTTAGATATGAGTTCTAAATTTCTTTTCAAAGAATCAGTATGTCAGTATGTTCAATTCTTTGCCTTCTACTTTTAAACTTAACTTCCTTGTAAAGCAACCTTTTTTGATTACCTACTCCACCCTGACCCATTCCGATTACCTGCCCCACCCTGACTCATTCCGATTACCTGCTCCACCCTGACTCATTCTGATTACCTACTCTACCCTGACTCATTCCGATTACCTGCTCCACTCTGACTCATTCCGATTACCTACTCCACCCTGACTCATTCCGATTACCTGCTCTATCATAACCATTTTTCCCGCCAAACCACTCACCCCATCACTATCTTTAAATTAGCCAATCGGAATTAGTTTATCCTGTACGGCCTAACCCTAGCCAATAGGGAACAACACAGCAGCAGGGGCCACGTGTGTCAGTGATAAGACCCCCTTCCCATCCCTTGTCCAAGTATGTGCTTCACCATTGCTCCATCTGTAAGGGCACACCCTTCTATAGAAGTACCTTGCCTTGCTGAGAATTAAAAAGAAAATTTTATATTCAAGTGCTATTTCTTTTGTGGCACCAAAACTTTACTTATAACACAACCATGCCTTCCCAACAGTCCCCCAAAGTCTTAACTTATTCCAGCATTAACTCAAAAGTCCAAGTGCAAAGTCTCATCTGAGGCAAGGGAAGTCTGTTCTGCCTATGAGCCTGTAAAATCAAAAACGAGTTAGTTACTTCCAAGATACAACAAGGGTACAGGCATTGGGTAAATGTTCCCATTCCAAATAGAAGAAATTGGCAAAACCAAGGGGACCACAGGTCCCATGCAAGTCCAAAACCCAGCTGGGCAGTTACTATATTAAAGCTCCAAAATCTTCTTTGCTTTCATGTCTCACATCCAGGGCACACTGATGAAAGGGGTGGGCTCTCCAGGGCTTTGGCAGCTCCACCCCTGTGGCTCTGCTCTGTAGGGTAAAGCCTCTGTGGCTGTTTTCACAGGTTGGCATTGAGTGCCTGTGGATTTTCTAGGTGCATGGTGCAAGCTCTCAGTGGATTTACCATTCTGGGATCTGGAGGACAGTAGCCGTTTCACAGCTACACTAGGCAGTGCCCCAGTGGGGACTCAGTTTGGGAGCTGCAACCCCACATATCCCCCTGCATTGCCCTAGTAGAGGTTCTCCGTGAGGCTTCTGCCTCATTAACAGACCTCTGCCTGGGCATCCAGGCGTTTTCATACATACATCCTCTGAAATCTAGTTGGAGGCTGCCAAGCCTCAACTCCTGACCTCTGTGCATCTGCTGGCCCAGGTCCATGTGGAAGCCTCCAAATCTTGGGGCTTGTACCCCTTGAAACAATGGCCTGAGCTGTAAATTGGCTCCTTTTAGTTACCACTGGAGCTGGAGCTGCTGGGACACAGGGTGCCATGTCCAGAGGCTGCACAGAGTAATGGAGTCTTGGGCCCCACTCATGAAACCATTTTTCATTTCTAGGCCTCCAGGCCTTGGGAGGGGCTACCGTGAAGGTCTCTGACATTCCCTGGAGACATTTTCCCCATTGCCTTGGCTATTAACATTTGGCTCCTTGTCACTTATGCAAATTTCTAAGGCTGGCTCGAATTTCTCCCCAGGAAATGGGGTTTTCTTTTTTACCACATAGTCAGTCTTTAAATTTTCCAAACTCTAATCTTTTGCTACCCTTTTAAATATAAGTTCCTCATCTCCATCTGAGACCATCTCAGCCTGGAGTTCATTGTCCATATCAGTATCAGCATTTTGGCCAAAACCATTCAACAAATCTCTGGGAAATTCCAGACTTTCCCATACGATCTTGTCTTCTTCTGACCCTTCAAAACTATTCCAACGTCTGCCCATTACCCAGTTCCAAAGTCACTTCCACATTTTCAGGTTATCTTTATAGCAGCGCCCCACTCTCCATGTTACCAATTTCCTGTATTAGTTCATTTTCACATTGCTATAAAGATACTACTTGAGACCAGGTAATTTATAAAGAAAAGTTTAATTGATTCACAGTTCCACATGGCTGAAGAGGCCTCAGGAAACTTACAATCATGGTGGAAGGTGAAGGGGAAGCAAGGCATGTCTTACATGACAGTAGGAGGCAGAGAGAGAAGGGGGAAGCACCAAACACTTATCAAACAACCAGATCTTGTGAGAACTCACTCACTATCATGAAAACAGCATGGAGGGACCAGCCTCATGATCTAATCACCTTCCACCAGGTCTCTCCCTGGCTCCCGACACATGGGGATTACAATTTGAGATGAGATTTGTGTGGAGATACAGCCAATCCATTTTACCCACAAATACTTCTATGTTTCCTGTTTGTTCATGTGATCTTGAAAGTGAAGAGTTTTGAATGACAAATATCCTCAAATATTTTAAGAGTTTTTTATACGCCCTTCAAAACACATTTCTACTTATTCAAAATTTATTTCTAGAAAGTCCTAGTCAGATTAATTAGGTGAGAGAAATAAATAAAAAGTACCCAAATAGGAAAAGAAGAAGTCAAACCACCCCTCTTTACTGACAATCTGATTCTATAACTAAAAATCCCTAAAGACTCAGCCAAAAGGTTTCTTGAACTGAAAAATGACTTCAGAGAAGTTTCAGGATAGAAAATAAATGTACAAAAATTAGTAGCATTTCTATATATGAGTAATATTCAAGCTGAGAGCCAAATCAAGAATGTAACCCCATTTACAATATCCACAAAATGAATAAAATACCTAGGGATACATCTGACCAAGAAGGTAAAAGATCTGTACAAGGAGGACTACAACACACTGATGAAAAAATCAGAGATGGCACAAATAAATTTAAAAAAGAATTCTATGCTTATGGATTGGGAGAATCTATAACATTAAAATGGCCATACTCTGCAAAGCAATTTACAGGTTCAATGCTGTTTCTATCAAACTACTGATGGAATTTTTCACAGATTTAGGAAAAATTATTCTAAAATTCATGAGGAACCAAAAAAGAACCTAAAGAGCCAAGGCACTCTTAAATAAAAAAGCCAGAGGCATCACACTACTCAAATTTAAACTATACTGTAAGGCTATAGTAACCAAAACAGCATTGTGCTAGCACAAAAACAGACACATAGGCCAATGGAATACAATATGGAACACAGAAAGAAAGCCATACACCTACAACAATTTCATCTTTGACAAAGCTGACAAAAACTAGCAATAGGGAAAGTGCTCTCTATTCAATAAATGGTGCTGGGATAACTGGCTAGCCATATGCAGAAGAATGAAACTTGACCCCTACATTTCACCATATAAAAAAAAAATAACTCAAGGTGGATTAAAGATTCAAATGTAAGAACTCAGACTATAACAATTTCTAAACAAAAACCTAGGATATACCCCACTGGACATTTGCTTTGGCAAAGAATTGTTGGTAAGTCCCCAAAACAATTGCAACAAAAACAAATATTGACAAGTGAGAGCTAATTAAACTAAGGGACTTCTACACAGTGAACAGATATCACACATAATGAGAGAAAATAGTTGCAAACTATGCATCTAAAAAAGGTCCACTATCCAAAATCTATAAGGAACTTATATCAGTAATCAAAAAACAACCTCATTAAAAAAATGAGCAAAAGACATGAACAGACACTTCTCAAAAGAAGATATACAAGTAGCCAACAAACATGAAGAAATGCTCATCATCATTAACTATGAGAGATGCAAATCAAAATCACAATGAGTTCCAATCTCACACCAGTCAGAATGGCTATTATTAAAAAGTCAAATAATAACAGATGCTGGTGTGGCTTCAGAGAAAAGGGAACATTTATATGCTGTTGATGAGACTGTAAATTTGCTCAGCCACTGTGGAAAGCAGTTTGGGTATTTTTCAAAGAACTTATATCAGAGCTACCATGTGACTCAACAACCCCATTACTAGATAAATATCCAAAAGAAAATAGATTGTTCTACCAAAAGACACATGTATTCCTATGTTCATCACAATGTTATTCACAATAACATTATTCACAATAGCACAGCTGAAGGTGAATTAACACAGGAACAGAAAACCAAATACCACATATCCTCATTTATAAGTGGAAGCTAAATACCAGGTACTCATGGGCATAAAGACAGGAAAAGTTTAATTGATTCAGAGTTCCACATGAATAGATATTGTGGACTATTAGAAAGGGGAGGAAGAAGAAGGAGCATGGGTTAAAAAGCTACCTATTGGGTACTAAACTCACTATCTGGGTGACAGGATCTGTACCCTAAACCTCAGCATCATGCAATATACTCATGTTACATTCCTGTACATGGACACTCTATATCTAAAATAAAAGTTGAAATTTTAGAAATCAAACCCACAAAAATTATTTCTACATTGGTAAATATTCTATGACAAAAATTCTAAAGCCTCTGTATTAATTTCTTCTTGCTGCAATAACAGCTTACCACAAACTTAGTGGCTTGAAACCATACAAATTTATTATATTTCTAGATGCCAGAAATACAAAGTGAATCTTACTGAGCTAAAATCTAGTCCTGAAGGCAGGGCTGGGTTCCTCCTTGAGTCTCTAGGCTCCCATTGTCTTGCCTTTTCCAGTTTCTAGAGGCTTTCCAATTCCTCTGTTTGTGGCCCTCTTCCATTTTAAAGCCAGCAGTGGTTATTGAGTCTCTCATGTTTATCACTCTGACTCTTCCAGCTCACTCTTTCACTATTAAAGGCTCTTTTTATTACATTAGGCCTACTTGGATAACACAGGAGAATTTCAACTCAATGTCCTTAATTTAATCACATAAACAAGGCCTTTTTTATTATGAAATACAAAATATTTACAGATTTTAAGGATTAAAATTTAAACATCCTTGGAGTGAGCATTGAAGGGAGGTGGAGATTATTCTGCATCTATCCACAGACGTTTAAAATAATGAGACCTTAAGGATAATGATGGCACTAAAACCTTTTCAAAAATCTGTTTTATGGATAAAATTACACTCTACATATGCAATTCCCAAGTCTGCAAAGTCTTGAATATAAAAACCAAGGCCAAATTAGATGGTGACTATTGATTTCATGAACTGTTGCTGTTCTAGTTTCTTAACACAGATCCCTAGAAAACAGAAATAAAGTAGGAAAAATGCCGATTTTTCTCATTTTTGTGTAATTTTGGGAGGAGGACAGTTAAATCTCAGGACAGGAAGATTAAGGAAAAAAAAAAAGTAAAGAGGAGAAACATAAGAAGCAACATAAATTGGTGTGCTACTCTGCTGGCCAGTTTTCCATCATGAGCCACAAAGATGCAGTTGCCTGGTCACACAAGGTGTCTCAGACAGGCAGTATGAAAGACACAACAAAAAATTGTTATTTGGAACAAAAGCATGTAAAAGGGAGGAAAGAGAGATAATACATCTTCCTTGCTCTTTTTATCTTCTTCCAAGTTTTATCTTCAGGGACTCTAACAACTTCTGCTGAACCCAGATACTGTTCTCAAGAGATCACTTCATCTAATTCTAGATGTTGTGAAAGCAGCCAGAAATGCATGGCTTTGGCTGGTTTCACTTGCCATGCAGCAGTGGTTAAAGGGGAGAACCCAGTCAGTCTAGCACTGCTAGGTAAGCAATTGGTCATTCCCACATGGCACAACCTCCTGACATAAAGTAAAAGCATCTGGCTGTAGCCACCCAATGCGCAGTGGCATATCTCATCACTACTGATGCAATTTGATAGCATTTGAAATTCCATGTACTCTAAGATTTTACTAGCTGTGAGAAGGAGAAAAAACATTTACTAGCATTTGGAATGATTCTGCTAAAATTTCAACCCCAGAAAGTACAGACATGAAAGACATTTTTTCATGAGGTGCATGTATTGGATTAGTTATCTGACTCAAAATTGACTAATCAAGCCCTTTTATTATGTCAATCTAATGGGGCTACTTGATATCCAGTTGGGCAATGTTTATGGATATGCCTGTCGTTTTTTGTTGTTGTTGTTGTTGTTGTTTTTGTTTTTTGAGAGAGATTCTTGCTCTGTTGCCCAGGTTGGAGTGCAATGGTGCAATCTTGGCTCACTGCAACCTCTGCCTCGTGGGTTCAAGCGATTCTCCCGCCTCAGCCTCCCAAGTAGCTGGGACTAAAGGCCAGCGCCACCTACGCCCAGCTAATTGTTGTATTTATTTAGTAGAGACCAGATTTTGCCATGTTGGCCACACTGGTCTCAAACTCCTGACCTCAAGTCATCCACCCACCTTGTCCTCCCAAAATGCTGGGATTACAGGCATAAGCCTAGCCGACATTTAAAAAATATATTTATTTATAATTAACAGCTCTATTAAAGCACAATTTACATATACTAAATTTACCTATTCTGATCCACTTACATAATTAACTGTTTATGCAGGTACTTTTAAATTTCAGCAATATTTTAAGTTTTTAATTTACAGGTTTTACACCTATTGTGGTACATTTAATAAGTATTTCAGGTTTTTTGTGCTATTGTAAATGTTACTTTTTGAAATTGCATTTTCCCAATTGTGTGGCCTCATAACATAGAAATAAAGTAATTTTATTCTTACCATGTACCCTGCAAACTTGCTAAATTTATTAATTCTTGCACTTTATTTTTGATTTCTTAGGATTTTCTACATACACAGTCTTCTTAATGACTACTTCAATAATTAAGGTTTTGTGAACTCTTTAAAGTTGGTAGCACCTGTAGTAATATCCACTTTCTCATTCTTAATATTGGTGATTTGTGTTTTCTCTCTTTTTCGGAAAAATTTCATTGATCTTCTCTATGAGCAAATTTATGCTTCCATAGATTTTTCATAATTTTTTCCTTTTTCTTTTATATTGAATTCTATTCTTACCTTTATTTTTCCTTTCCTCCTGCTTACTTTGGGTTAACCTGTTATTTTTTTTTCTAGTTTCCTGAGTTGCAAGTTTAGGCTCTTGGCTGTAAACAGTTCTTCTTTCCTAATGTAAGTATTCAATGACACAGACTTCCTTCTAAGCACTGTTTTAAGTTGCATCTCACAAATTTAGATATGTTGGTTTTGAGATTTTTCTCCATTCAAATCAAAATATTTACTAATTTCTCTTGAGAGTTATTCTTGGTACTTGAATTTTACATTTGAGATTTTTTATTTAGAACTTTGTTATTCATTTTCCAAATATTTGGACAATTGCTTGATTCTTTCTCCCTTTTTCTTTTGCAAATTTTCTTAATATATATTGTAGACCAATAATAATTGCTTTTGGTACTTTAAAAAGATCTTGCCATTTCTTTTTGACTAAGATAGATTCTGATAAAAGTTTATGTAATCCTTATCTTTATTCTTCTGTATATACAGAAGAATATGGTTGTCTTTAAGAATTTCTCTTTATTTCTGATTTTCAACAATCTACTTATGATTTACCTTGGTGCATTATTATTTTTATTATTGTGAATGGGTTTTAGTATTTTATGGATCTGTAAGGTTATATTTTTCATCTCATTTAGAGAACCTTTAGCTATTCATCGTTCCTTTCTTTTTGTTCCTTCTTGGGTTCTAATTATACATATATTAAATCCACTTGATATTGTGTCATAAGTCACTGAGATCCTGTTCAGTTTTTCAAGCTTTTTCCCTCTTCTCTGAGCCTCAGTTTGAATAGTTTCTGTCACTATGTCTTCAAATGCATTAATATTTTCTACTATGATATTTATCTTGCTGTTAATTTGAGTAAATTTTTCCTTTTGAGTATTATTTATTTGTTCTTATTATTTTGACCTAGTCTTTTTTTATATCTTCAATTTCTCCCCCCATTATTTTCATATTTTTCTTATATTTATATTTATATATAATATAAAATATTATAAAGAAATATGTATTATATATTTGTAAATATATAAATATAAGAAATATTTATGTATATATTTCTTATATTTATAATTTTTGTGACTTTATATATCCATGTCTGTCAGTGAATTTCATAGAGATCAAATCATTTCTGCCATTTCTGGAGTGATATCTAATGACTGATTTTCATCCTTACATGAGTTTTATTTTTTGGTTTTTCACATAATATAATGGGCAAATAATGCTGCCACTCCCTTCAAAGATATTCATGCCCTAATCCCTGGAATCTGTGAATATATTTTTAATATTTACATGGTAAAGGATACTTTGCCATTAAGAATACAAACTTTGAGATGAGGACGTTATCCTAGAATAGCTGAGTGGGCCAGTCTAATTAAAGGAGCTCTTAAACGTGCATATCATTTTCTGGCTGAGGTCAGAAAGTTGCAACATGAAAAGTAGTCCACCCCCTGTTGCTGGCTTTGAAGATGGAAAAAGGAAGCCATGTACCAGGAACCCTATAGTTTCTGGAAGCTGTGAATGAGCCTTGATTTCTACAGCTTGCAAAACTGTAAATAAGGCCGATAGAGACCTCAGTCCTAAAATCACCAGAAACTAAATTTGGCTAATAACCCCAATAAACCAGCAACCAATTCTCCCTTAGCTCCTCCAGAAAAGAATGCAGCCTGTCAACACCTTGATTTCAATCTAGTGAGACCCTTACT
Source organism: Homo sapiens (assembly GCF_000001405.40). Taxonomy (NCBI): domain Eukaryota; kingdom Metazoa; phylum Chordata; class Mammalia; order Primates; family Hominidae; genus Homo; species Homo sapiens. The sequence continues at coordinate 29,348,374 of NC_000018.10, read as the reverse complement.
AATCTTGTGACCTACTACACTGCAAGGTAATGTATTTGTATACTTCAAGCCACTAAATTAGTGATAATTTCTTATGGCAACAAGAGAAAACTAATACATGTTTCTAGTAAATTTTTATTTGTTGCAGAACATTGTTATGTTGTTGAATGTTATGATTTAGTTTTCTTTCTTTAAAGAATGCTTAATTTATTTGGCAGGTAGTTATGTTACTTGCAGAGCAGACTGATTCAATGCATAATTTTAAACTCTTTAGCCTGGGCAACATAGGGACACCTGGTCTCTATAAAGAAAAAAAAAATGATCCAGTTGTGGTGGCACCCACTTTTGGTCCCAGCTACTCAGTGGGGAAGACCCTTTGAGTCCGGGGATTTGAGACTGCAGTGAGCTGTGATCATGCTACTTATGCTTCAGCCCGGGTGACAGAACAAGACCCTGTCTAAAAAAATAAAAATAAGAAAACTCTTTTAGGTATTACTAAATAGCCTGATTACTAAGATATGACCCTTTGTGGTATCCACGGATTTTCCAAAGTATTAAAATAAGCTTCTGTATTCTGGGCTAATGAAATTCAAATGCCTCTCAGCCTTGCGTTGCTCTGAGAAATGTTCATTCTATAGTTTCCCAACAGTTGTTAATTTGTTTTGGTCTTATGATTTTTTAATCTATACAAATACAGATTAATATTTAGCTAAAGATTCTCAGAGATTCCTATTCAGATATCTGAAACTGTTTTTTTGTTGTTGTTGTTGCTCCCTTCTCTCTAACACCTGCCTCACTAGTTCCAGCTATATCCATCAGCTCAAAGTCTGATACCTATTTCTTTACTTCCACAAGACTGCAATATTCTGCTGCTGATCTGCTTCCCCATTCAGGAAAGAACCTCCTGGCAGAAAGCCAGAGCCAGTGCAATAATCCACTTATTTGCTTGTTTTCTGTAACTCTCCAAGTGATCAGACTATAACTTTGCATGATATCTGATATATAAAAATAGTTGTTTTATAATTTTTTTTTTTGAGACAGAGTCTCACTCTATCTCCCCCAAGAGTGCAGTGGAGCTATCTCGGCACACTGCAGCGTCTGCCTCCCAGGTTCCAGCGATTATCCTGCCTCAGCCTCCTGGGTAGCTGGGATTACAGGCACACGCCACTAAGCCCAGCTAATTTTTGTATTTTTAGTAGAGATGGGGTTTCACCATATTGGCCAGGGTGGTCTCGAACTCCTAACCTCAGGTGATCCTCAGTCTCCCAAAGTTCTGGGATTACAGGTGTAAGCCATCACGCCTGGCCTGTTTTATAGATTTTTATATTCATTTTTCAATTATCCCTTTGTTTCCAGCTTCATTTTACATGATAGTGTAAGTACCATGGCTGAAAATGAAGCTCTGGTTGCCTTTTGAGACAAACTTGATTTTATGACAAAGGTTAGAATAGTCATACATACACACACACACACACACAAACACACACACATGCATGTCTGGTTATTTGACTTTAAGATATATATGTGTATATACACAAACATAAACTCACATACACACACATATATTTATAATAAAATCTTAACAGTTATTTCAAATAAATTTTTATACAGTCGCGCATCTTCCAGAGATCATTCTCTAGGCCTTGAATATGCAAACTTTAACCATTGTGGACCCTTTGTAATAGCAACAAGAAATTTATCACTTGGGGAAAAGAAAATAAATTAAAAAATAGTTATTTGTAAAATGAGTTATTTACGGACATTGTTACAATTTTAGTAAAAATGTATCATGTTAGTGCAGTAAAAACAGGTAACCATTTTTGTCATACACACACATTTACATCCTTAATTCAATAAAGCAAATATTTAGTTAATAAGCCCTATTTTTAAAGCAAGAAGTGATTCACTGGGAACTGTGATTTAATAAGATTAATCATACAGTAGTGTGTACCCTATAATGGAGATAGGCGAATCTAGAGTCAAAGAGACCAATTAGGACATTACTGTCTTAATCCAGGTATACACTTGATTTAAAAACTAACTTTAAATAGGGTAAGTGTAATAAATTGCATAGGAAAAAATGTAAAGGTTCCTAATTATCAGGTTTGTCTTTTATATTTGAAAAGGTACTGATTTATGCCAATGTTATCACCCCAAACTTTATGATCTCAGTGGAGGATACTCAAATTAAGGGATTTTTAGAATAGTTAATAGTTTACACTTCAAATAAAAAACAGCTAAGATCCTGACATTTTCCTCCACTAGTGTTTTATAGTAAATCCGTTTGAAAACCATTTGTATCTGATTGTCTACTCACAATTAGACAGAAGACTAAGAGTGATACAGCTCTAATGGGATGAAAGTAGATTATATAGTTCAATACCCTACAGTTGAATAGTCTACATATGACAATAACCTTGGAGGCCATTTCATTTAATTTACTTAGAGTTGAGAAAAAGAACGAGAAATTTTTAATAAATGTGAACTAAGACTCATGATGGTTTGGTTGTACCTTTAAAATACAAAGTCAAAACCTTTCCTTAATTATTATATTAATCCTCAACCACAAAGAATAAAAGCTTTTGGATTCAATTTGAGGATCTAAAAAAATGTTGCCTAAGACTCTGAGTAAATGAGAAGCTGTGTGAAAACTGACTCAATAAATTCTATGTTAGAGTGAGAAAATGACTATTCATTGCACAGAATATGTTGCAAAACCTTAGACAAATCTATAAACCCTCTTTGCTCTGTTACAAAAGTCCTCTTTCATTCTTTCTCTTAAGAAGGGATACTAGATTAGATGGAAGGGATTATTTTAACTCAAAAATGTGTGACTCTCATTGTATTTAATATTTTAGGATATGCTTTCCTCCAATTCTTTTGTATTCCTTCTCAATATACATTTTCAGCACATCAGCCACGAAAACTACCCTTTTCTAATTAGTACTAACTACAGAGAACAGTATATTGCTAAATCCAATGTCTATTTTCAGTTCTCAGCTTTCAAGTCTGTCTCAATCTGTCCCCTTCATACCATTACTTATCTGACTTCATTACTTACTTCACTTGTTTTTAATCTACTCTAGTAACATAGGCTTTCTTTCTTGTGGGATATCAAAAGGCCTAGGTGCCTCATCTTTATCAAATATTTGTTTGTCACCTTCTCAGTGAATGGTACCCTAAGCAATCATGTTGTGTATGTGGTGAAAGATACATAAAGTCTGTGATTTTCATCATTTTTAAATGTAATGTTCTGACATTCACATTATTCTGCAACCATTACCATAATCCATTTTCAGAACTGTTTTTCAACTTTCCAAACTGAAATTTCACACCTATTAAACACTAACTACGCATTTCCCTTCATCATTGTACATTCTTAGCAGAGTTTTGCTGAAAATCAGTTGGCAGTAAATGTGTGAATTTGTTTCTGGGCTTTCTGTTCCATTGGTCTGAATGTCTGTTTTTATGCCATATCATGCTACTTTTGGTTATTACAGCTTTACAGAATACCGTGAAGTCAGACTGTGTTATATCTCCAGCTTTCTTCTTTTTGCTCAAGTTTTTTTTTATTTTATTTTTTAATTTTTTTTTTTTTGCTAATCCAAGGTATTTTGGGGTTCCATGCAAATTATAGGATTTTTTTTTCTGTGTCTGTGAAGAATGTCATTGGCATTTTGATAGAGATTGCATTTAATGTGTACATCACTTTGGGAAATATGAACATTTTAACAATATTAATTCTTTTAATTCATTATCAAGATTATCTTTTCATTTATTTGTATCTTCTCCAATTTCTTTCATCAATGTTTTATTGTTTTCATTGTAGAGATTTTTCACCTTCTTGATTAAATTTATTCCTAAGTATTTTATTCATTTTGATCCTATGGTAAATGATATTGTTTTCTTATTTTGTTTTTTGGAGAGTTTGCTGTTAGTGTGTTGAAATGCTATTGATTTTTCTATGTTGATATTGTATCCTGCAACTTTACTGAATTTATTTATTAGCTCAAACAGTGTTTTTTTTCTTGGTGGAGTATTGGTATATCATATATATGATTATGTCATCTACAAACAGAAACAAATTTAGCCATTTTTCTCAATTTGTGTAAGTTTTATTTCTTTTTCTTGCCTAATTGTTCTGGCTAGGACTTCTAGAGCTATATTGAACAGAAGTGGTGAGAATGGGCATTCTCTTCTTGCTTCTCATGTTAGAGGAAAAGTTTTCAGCTTGTTTCCATTCATATTATATTAGCTGTGTGTGGGTTTGTCATATATGGATTTTAACTTTATTGTGTTAAGGTACACATCTTCTATGCCTAATTTGTGGAGGTTTCTTTTTTTTAATCATGAACAGATGTTAAATTTTGTCAAATGCTTCATCTGCAACTATTGAAATAATCATATGGTTTTTCACTTTCTTTTTATTAATATGATGTCTCACATTTATGCATTTGTATATGATGAGCCATCCTTGCATTCCGGGAATGAATCTCAATTATAATAAGTGATGTTATTGATATGCTACTGAATTCAGTTTGCTACTATTTCTTTGAGAATTTTTTCATCTATCTTCATCAGGGATATTGGCCTATAGTTTTCTTACTTTGTTGTCTTTGTATTGTTTGGAATCAGAGTAATGATTGCCTTGTAAATTGCGTTTGGAAATAATTTTCCCTCTTTAATTTCCTGGAAGAGTTTGTGGAGAGTTGGTATTAGTTTTTATTTAAATGTTTGTTAGAATTCAACAGTAAAGCCATCAGGGCCTGGTTTTCCGTTTGTTTGTTTGTTTGTTTTTTTGATAAAGGACTTTTTATTACTGGGGAATTAATCCATTAACCTTTAAAGTTATTATTAATAGGTAAGGACTTACAACTACCATTTTGTTATTGTTTTCTGGTTGTTTTGTACATCATTTCTTCTTTTTTGTCCCTCTCTTATTGGTTTCCTTTGTAGTTAGGAGCTTTTCTCTTATAGTTTGCTTTGACCCTGTGCTCTTTATTTTTAGTGTATCTATTATAGGCTTTTGCTTTGTGGTTAGCATGAGGCTTACAAAAACTATCTTATAGTAACAGGTTATTTTAAACTGATAACAACTTAACTTTAATTGCAAAGGATGGAAAAGAAACAAAAACAAACTATACACTAACAATATCCCCCATTCTCACATTTTGACTTTTGGATATTAAAATTTACATCCATTTGATAGTGCTTATCGCTTAACCAGTTATTGTAGTTATTATTTTTTAATATAGTTTTTAGTCTTCATACAAAAGATAGATAAGTGGTTTATATACCTTGATTACTGCATTAGATTATTTTGAATTTTTCTGTATATTTGCTTTTACCACTGAGTTTTGTGCCTCTAGACATTTACTTGTTGCAATAATAAAAGCATTTGTACTTTTTAAATCTTTTTGCTCCTCTGATTGAGTAATGTCATATGTTCTGTCTAAAGAACATTCTTTTCAATGTTTGATCAAGTTTGCTGGTAAAGATTTTCAGTAAGTTTTTCAGTCCAGCTACTGCATTCTTTATTTCTAGGATTTTTATTTTTAATTGTTTATATTTCTTTGTCAAATTTCTCATTTTATTCCTGGATTATTTTCTAATTTTATTTAATTTTCTAAGGATAACTTTTGGTGATTTGTTAAGCTTCTTCAAGATAATTATTCTGAATTATTTGCCAGACATTTCATAACTCATCAATTCTTTTGGGACTATTACTAAAGCTCTATGTGTTTTTTTTGGTAATGTCATATTTCCCTAATTTTTCGCAATCATTGATTCCTTACATTGATATCTGCACATTTGAGGGGATGGCTACTTCTTCCAGCTTTTGCACGTTAGACCTTTACTATTTAACATTGGAACTTAATTATTGGTCTCCAAATAAATAAATATCAGGTAGTTATAAGTACTACAAATACAAATTAAAAAGTATAAGGGGATAGAAAATGTGTATAAGGGATAGAAAAAGTGGCTAGGGAGGATTTTTCTGATAAAGTGATATTTGAGTGCAGACAAAAATTATTTGAGGAGACAAGTGGTTTTCTGAGGGAAGAGTGTTCTAGGCTAAAGAGATACTGCATGTAAAGCCCCAAGGCGCTAAAATGTGTGGCATGTACAAAGAAATGGCAAAGAAGCTAAAGTGGCTGAAATGAAGGGAGTAAGAAGAAGTGTAATAGGAGATAAGTTCATCAAAATAGCCAGGGAAAAATTATATGGAAAACTAGCAGAAATTTAGAGCAGAGAGAGACATGATCTGAGTTATTTCTTTTTTTTAATTTCTAGAAAGTATATGCAGAATAGACTGCAATGGAGCAAGCATAGAAGCAGATAGGATAGTTAGAGGGCTATGCCAGCAAATCAGGCAATAGATAAGGATGGGTTGCATAAGAATATCAGCTACCAGTGGAACAAGATCATGATAAATGGGTAATTCTGGATACATTTAAGAAGTTGAGCCTATATGATGTACTGATAGATTTGCTACGTTATGAGAGAAAGAGTTTTTTTGAACTAAGAAATTGGAAAAATTGAGTTACCATTTAATTAGACAGAAAAGTTTGAGGAAGGAGCATATGGGATGTGTGAACATAGTTCATGTTTGACCCACTGAGGAAGTGAGGATGTCTGAAAGTCACATACAGAAAACAGCTTGCAAGGAACAAGAATGACTATGGGAAAACAATTTAGAAATTTAGCAGAGTGACAGTAAAAACATAAAGGTGTTGAATGCAGAGAGTGGAAACTTAATTGGGAAGTAGAAATAATGTGAGAGGGAGAAATTTAGGATAACTTTATTTTCTGGCTTGGTTGACTCTTTAGAAAATAATGCCATTAATCAAAATAGAAATTACAGAAGGCAGTATATCCTTTGGACCTTTATTATAATTAATCTTTATAAGAACTCATTTTAACTGAATATACTTTTGTAATTTCAAGTGTTATTGACTTTAGGAGATTAAATATTGCTCAGTTATGCAGTTCTAGCCACACTGGGTTTTAACTACCTAGAAGAGAGATTATTCCCAAACTGAATAAAATGGATGTGCTCTTAGCCAATAATATGAAGTTAAACAGCTCCTGTCAGACTCTTGATAGATTTTCTAATTATTCTATTTTGAATACTAGCTTTCTCTATCAGGAAAAGATCTTCATCAATCCAACTGTCCTTTTGAATGCTTAAGAGTACCCCCAAATTAGAAATATCAAATTATTTTAAAATGGCACTGGAGCATTTTAGGACCTAAGATTAAAGATAAAAAGCATGAAATTACCCAAAGAAATATCCAGTCCCTACAATGAGAAAGTGATATTGATTTCTGAAAGTGATTTTATAATTGATTTTAAAATATACTTATAAATAACTATACCCTAGAAAAAGCATTCTTTTTTCTATGACAAAATAGTCTTCATAATTTTATAGACTGATTCCTGAAAAATCTCATGGTCACCATTAGAAAGCACCTTCTGTCAGTGTATCTACATTAATCCTATGCTAGTCTGTACACTTGTGTTTTCTGCTGCATTGTTAAGAAAATGTTGTTTGATTCAATTGGCTTTTTAAAATAATATATTTGGGTTTTCTTTATACTTTGGCCTTTACACTAAAACTGAATTGCTTTTTATAACCTTCAGATGAATAAGGTGCATTCTACTAGTTATCAAGAAATAGATGAAATAATGAATTATTTGTGATTCCTAGTGGAGAAACATTAACAGATTTTATTAATCCTCTCTTAAATTGGAGTCATCTACGATTTGTACCGACTATACTCCTTACTTGTAAACACTGTCTTCTACGCTCAGATTTTAATTGTTCCATGAAAGCTCTTTTTTTTGCTTCTTTTCTTCCTGCCTTTTGTCATTCTAGCATTTATTCTGTGTTTGCTGCGCATGGATATCTGCCAAGTACTGGGCTAGATTCCTAAAAAAAAAAGATGAATAAAATAAAATTTCTGTCATCAAAGATCTTATAATCTAATACATATGTATTGATAAAAGACATTACTTAATCAGTCATGAAATATCCAAGAGTGCAATGGAAACACAGTGAGAGGAGCAATTTTCTCTACATGAGGAAACAAGGTTCCTAGTGTAACTGAAATTTGAGCTGAGTATTGAAAGATGAGTAGAAGGTTCATTGGAGAATTAGACAAGAGACAAATCTGATACAGAGGTTAACATGTGTAAACTACAAATTGTGGGAAAAAAAGGACTTGGGGAACCATAGTGTTACAGGGAGTGTCTGGAAATGTGTCTGGGAATTTAAAAGGAACTAGGTTATAGAGGCCTTCAATGTCATGACAAGAACTTTAGACCCACTACTCAGAGAAGCTAGAGCCAATGGGTGTTATAACAATACCTGTAAAAGTTCAGCTGAGCGGTGGGTTGAATATAGGAAAACTAAGTTCAGAGAGAACACCTTTGGAATGGGAAAGGGGAAATTACCATATTTAAGAAAAATATACGAGATTAAATATTAATGAAGTTAAATTGGGTTGCATATAAAAGAAATCACACACAAAATAGCTTAAATAATAAAAGATTTTCATTGACATATAGCAAGAACTTAAGCAGACCTTAGGATTTTGAGTGAAGATTTTAAAATATTGTTCATAAACCTGGTTTCTTTCTGTCTCTCTGCTTGTACTTTCATAATGTCACCTGCCTCCCCACTGTGATTGCCGGATGGTTGTCCACAACACTTTAAACTTCTCGTTTATTATGCAGCCTCAATGACCACCCCAATACCTGGAGAGATTTAATTAGTGGATGTAGCACAGCAGCAGTTGTCTCTAGCCATTGCCTATGTTTGCATTTGAATCCAGAAGGGACACATCTAATTTAGAGCAGAACACCAGTTAGGAGCTGGAAATATTATGGCTTTCAATATAATACCCTGATCAGAAGGTGATAAAGTGCTAAGAAGCTGGGCTCTAGCTCTATTATCTGGCTTGGGGGCTAAGTTAGAGTTCTAGTAAAAAAACTGAAAGGAAAGTAATTACTTGAAATAATACAATTGCATAAACTGAACATACCTGGTAGGGTAAAAATTGTACCATAGAAAGGTAAAGGCTGATAATTCAATGCATATAGTATGTGCTTCAAATCCTTATTTGGCATCTATAAGCTACACACTGCTATTGGGAGCTCTAGATCCATTTAACATGAACGCTGAAAGATAAGGTAAACACAAATATAAAGTAATCTAAATTCCTAAAGGAAATTTTAAATATGTACTCTCAGACTGCAGATTAAATATTCAAAAGTCTAATCATAATATTTAATTTACTTATACATACATATTTAAAACCACATATTATATAAAATAATAATGAAACCATTCTATTCAAACTTTAATTTTCGACATCAGACTCTAATTTTATTAGGGTGACTTTTTAGATTTATGTAACACAGATTTTTATAGATATCATCTTCATGAGCATCTACGTTATGTTACATGAGAGGTAGTCAATGTTGAATCCATGAATTTTGCTGTCACTGTAAATTTTGTTCAAAGCCACAGTAAGTCATTTGTACAACATTAGAATATGTTGTATTTACGCTTTTCATGGAGTGTCTTTATGATCTCTGCTACCTACCCATTTTCTCTATTGCTTCTTTAAATTATTTAATGATCTTGTTTAAAATGACATGCAGCCTTTAAACCTGTGAGGTCACACTCCCAGAAATAATGCCTACTTGTTAATTTTCTTTGCTTCTTGTTTTGCTTTTCTATTGGTGACCTCTATGAATATCCCAAATTAGCATTGATTGAAGTTATTTCAGGCTTCAGTTAATGTGTCTTCTCTCAACAATGCTTTGATGCTCCAAATAAAGTAATTGAAAAAAAAAAACCCAACATCCTCATAATATGAGAGCTGTAGTAGGGATTCAAATCCAAGATACTCCTTCTTTACTTGGATATATTTTTTTGAGGGGAAAAAGCCTCCTGTTATATTTAGAAGCATGTGGCATTCAAATGAGTATGTCTCCTTGTGAGTGTTTAAAATGTACCTAAAATCAATATGGGCAAAACAGAGCTCAAAATCTTTTCTTCAAAAATTGGCTTTCCTTCCTATACTTCAGTTCTCAGACACCAACAACAATATTGACCCATTCCTCTTCCTCAATGGCTCTGTTCAGATAGCCACCAAATTTCTCCATTTCTAGCTCCTCAGTATCTAGTATAACTCCTTTCTCTTTCCAGTGCCCTTGTCTCATTTTAGACATCATCATTTATTCCTTGAACTGTTGTAAACATCCTCAAACTGCTATTACTGTTCCAACTTTTCACATTCTCAGCCACATCATACTGTTTCTCAATTAATTCTTTTAATTACTTGTTGAAAATGTTATTCTGTGATTCCATCACAAACAAGTGCCTATAGTTCCTCGAACCCTATATCACTTTAACACTTGCACAATTTTTACATACTGATGCCTTTTCTTGGAATATTCTTTCCAATATGTATGTCAATATGTATTTATAATCTATGTAGTCTTTCCTATCAAAATTACTTTGTGTCCGGTTCTGTCCAATATGTATTACATATGCCTTCACGGTACCTACCTTGATGCACATATTGCTGATATATTTGTTTTCTATCCATTTCTGAATCCCTTAAGGGAGAAGTCATAATCTATTCTTGTTTCTCCAATGTAAAACATGATATCTTTCAGAGGGCAGATTAAGCCCTTAAGTTAAATGAATGAATGAGTGAAGGTAAGAAATTAACTCAAAGCCTGTCAACTCTTTCTCTCCTAAGCAGGAAGAGCATTTGCTAGAAATAAATGTAGATGATGATGTTAAGAAATTTAGTGAGACTGTTAAATGTAAAATGCATTTCAACAACACCATCAGGAACAAGCACAATAATTATTCAGTATTATTAAAAGCCCTAAATGAGAGTATAAACTCTATGTTTTAACACATTAGACAATAGAATTTAATATTTTACTTTTATAACAGCACCAGGCCACAGAAAAAAATGATGAGAAATTAAGATACTTTTTATCTTTACTTGAAATGTATCACCATAGTTCTTAGAATGAGAAAAAATATCGAGTGCAAAAATTCAAAAAAATAAATTGAGATTTTTTTCAAAGGAGGTTTGTAGGAAAAGAAGGCATGAGAAAGATGGAAAAACAGGTTGTTTCCAAAGAAAATACATTTCTTGTGAATTGTGTTCAGAACACCACTGTGGGAGTAGACTGCTTTAGAGGAAGAGGATGCAGTCACTGAATAGAAAGCCAAGCTACTTTGATGTTCCAGGGCTAGAAACATTTTCAGGGGATTTTTAAATTGTCTAGCTGATTTGATAAATTAGGGTGCCAAGGTAGACTGTGCTCCAGGTACATGATATCCAAGAGCTGAGAAGTGGGAACCTCTAATTGTTATGTAACTAGTGACCAATATATCCAGGCACTATGAGCTTTGAAAGAGAAAGGCTAATTCTCTAAAATCCCCTAGTTGTACATTTAAAACATTCCTTCAAACTTCCAGTTTACTCATTTAGTTTTATATTTTTTATTCTATAGGTAATATATATAACTATATAATACAAAAATATGATAATCACACCACCATTAAGTATATAATTTCTCAAAAACTAAACATTATTCATGGATTTTTTTCATGGTTGTTTTGTAGAATATTCAAAGCCAAAATTGCCAGTATTTTTAAAATCCTTAAAAACTTAAAATATGATTCTGGCCATCTAAGAATTTAATTTTGAAGCTAATATCAAGATTGACAAACTTTTATTTTATATATCACATACAAGCACTGTACGCAGACATTATTTCTATTTGTTCTACCAGAAAACATAACGCATATATGTGCAACACACACATACACACACACACACACGGTTATTTCTGATCTGAAGAAAGCAGTAACAGAAATGGCAGCCTTTCCTTTCATATATTAAAAAATCTTGTAGTTAATGAACACAAATTACCTGTGGGAAGAAAAGATTGAAAACTGAAGGAGGAACTAATCAAGTATCAAAAATTAAATTTAAATGACTATGGAAACTAATACAAAAATACTAATTTAAATGAAGATAGAAAGCTATAGGAAGCTTGAAGTTGTAGGTAAAAGTGTCTAAATGCCTGAAAGTAACTATGAAAAATTTCTAAATTTTTTATTATGTTAATCACTGCCATTCTGCCGAATTGCTTCCATTGTTTTTACATAAAAATAGTAAGTACTTCAGAAGTAAAGGAAAATTTTAATTTATAGCAATAATATTTGTAAAGACAACTTATTGTAGAGTGATGAATCTTTTTTTACAGAATTACGTATCTCAAATTATTTAAGAAACTAAAATTACATTTCAAGGAAGTTTGTAAGTTTTTAGGTTTTTCAAAGATCCTCTCAGTTCAATGTTACCATCACTGTCTTTCTCATGATTTTGAGGTATCTACTTATATACACCAAGAATATATGGTGACATTTTTAGACTTACTAAAGTCTATCATGAAAATGAATATGCACACATTTCATAAAGAAAATCAGAGGTGTTTGCATTGAAAAATGAATCTTCTTTTATCCTTGACTTTAAATTCATACTGAAGAGAATATCTAACTTCATTAGTTTGTGTATTCTCTTAAAAGAGCCATTCTTATATCTATATATTATTTAAACAAACAAAATAACAAATTATACTGTATTGCATTGTTCAGAGAGTATAAGTGGACATGGCAAGCATACTTTATCTCCTTAGTCCTTTGACATTTCTACTATTCTAGTCAATTATTTTCTGTCTTTACTTCATCCATACACTCTGCTGATAGACTGACTTATATTCTTATTTCTCAGAAAATGTAACCAAAATGGAATTTCTACATAGTCCCACCACTATATTTCTACACTTACCTATCTCTGAGCCCACGTGTACTAAAAAAAAAAAAAGAAAAAAAAACATTTTTTTTTTTTAGTTTATATTTCGAGTCATACAAACTTACCTTATTCTTTTCATGGCTGAATATTGTTTCTAGTATAGATATACCTTAATGTATTTAACCATTCTCTATTGATGGACATTTATTTTGAAGGTTAGTTAGAAACACACATGAAATGTTCAAGACATGGCTTTTTCTTTTTTGATCTTTGATTACCTTGTCAATTACTTATTTCTCAGTGAAATTAATGATATAGGTTTTCCATATTTTGGAATCCATGTGTTTGTGTTCTTAGAAATTCAACCAACTTCTATATTTACAAATATATTTTTAAAATTGTATGTATCATTATCTTATATTTAGTATCTCTTCTATATTTTCTAAATTTTTTCCATTATGATGCCCTTTGCTTTATTATTAACTATTAATAAAATGCTTTAATCATTTTAATTTCAAACATTCTACCCTCCAATTACTGGTTTTTTATATTTTCAATTTTCTTCCTTTGGTATTCTATATCCATAAATCATCCAACCCTGTAACATCTTCAATCTGTTGAATCTGCCAAATTTTCACTGAATCTCACTACATTAACATAATTATTTATTATTTTTTCTAATTTATTTTCCATACTCAATTATTATTAAGTATTTTGTGTATCACTACTGTCTCTTTTTTACTCTCTTTTATTCACTTACGTAAGTCAAACATCGGTTATTTCTACTTTTTACTTACTATTTTTTGTCTCTCACAAAGTTGAATGTGGCTGCACAAAGACACACAATTTTGCTGGTTATTTGCATACTAAATTTCTGCTCAGACACTTTAAGTAGACATGGCAAGACTACATTATCACTTTAGTCCTTTGATACTTACACACTTCTCATTTATGTCTCTACTACATTCATAATTTTTGTAGAGACTGACTTCTATTTTTATTTCTCATAGAAAATGCAATGAAAATGGAGCTTCTACATCCTCCCATCACTATATTTATACATTTATCTGCCTCTGAGCCTACAGACTCTATCTTTTATCCTGTTATTATGGATTACTTGTGTGTCCTAGATCCCAGTCCCTCTTACCGATTTAAGGTTATTAAAAAATTCTCCCTCTCTCCTCCAGTATCAATTCCCTGCCTGACTATACTTGCCATTAACATACAAAAATGGTATTATTTTAGCTACCTTAAAAAAATCCTATCTAGAGTAAATATCACCCCCCCAGGTACCAACACATTTTTTTCTTTATTTTATAGCAAAAATATTTTTAAATTTGTCTTTACATTATCGTTTTCTAGTTTTATCCTCAATTCTCATTTGAATCCTTTTCTATCAGATTTTTGTTACTCAATCACCACACACTTTTGTAAAGATTTTTCTTAATTTTTTAAAGAAACTAAAACTAAATTTCAGGGAAGTTTGTAAGTTGGGTTTTTGTTTGTTTTTTCAAAGACCCTCTCAGTTAAGTGTTATCACTGTTTTTCTCATGATTTTGAGCCATCTAATTATATATGTATCAAGAATATATAAAACCAAGAGACATTTCTCTCAGCTATATTGGATATAACTTCACTTGACCTCCTAGGCAACATATTCACTTAGTTTTCCTCCTAACACACTGGTCACTCCTGCTAATTATGTATTAGGGGTGATTCCTTTCTTTGACCCTTTTCTACTTGTTGGAGTGACCAGGACTTTAGGACTATTTGCCTACACCTTCTCCTTTGGCAATCTCAATACCATATACATGCCATTGAATCCTGAATTAATGTCTCCAGCACAGACATCATCTCTCCTGAACTCCAAACTACTACATCCAAACGCATATTCACAAAATTTACATTTGGAGGACTAATAGGCATTTCAATAGAAACATATCCTAAATGAAGCTCTTGAAACCCCCATTCTCAAATCCCTTACCTTTCATAATCTTCCACATATCATTTTCTACTACCTACCATCCCCTGCTCAATTTCTCTCTAGGACTCTCTGCTTTTCCTGAACACAATAAGTATACTACTACTTCAAGGAGCTGTTTCATTTGCCTAAAATGTACTCCCCTAGATATGTGTATGTTTTACTCATGCTCGTCCTTCCGATCTTTACTCAATTTTAATTTTCAAGAAGATCTTTCCTTACCACTCTATCTAAAAACTTGCAACTGCCTTTCTTACTACCTTTTTCTCCATACTACTTCTTACTGTCTGATATATAGTTTAATAATTCATCTTACTTATTGGCCTATTGTCTTTCTCTCCATGCTTGATAATTCCACTAAGGGAGGGATTTTATTTTTCTGTTTTGTTATGTCTATAATCCTAGAGCATACAGTAATGTCTGGTGCACAGTTGTTGCTTAATACTTGCTCCTTAAGTGACTTATTAAAGGCCCGTAACTATGGTTTCTTTCTCATTCATAATATTATTTTTGTTCACTTGTTGCTACTTTCTCTTTACTACCATGTTTTCAAAGTTTTGCCTATTTTATCAGTCTTTTCAAAATCTATATTTACTTTAATGTAAATTAAACCTTTGTATTTAGGATGGCTTTATATCATTCTTTTTGTATGTTTGTTTTCTAGCATCTTGTATGTTTTGTGTGTTTGTTTTTAACATCTTGAGTTGAATGCCTAGTTTATTGATGCTTTTTCTCCCTAATAAATTTTCTCCTTAAATCCCACATGAATTTCTAAGTTAAGCTTTCATAGTGTTTATTTCTAAGTAATTCCCACTCTGATTACACTTTATATGATTTGCGAGAATCTGTTTTCTTTTGTTTTTCTATTAAATTGTGTTTTGTTGTTTTTTGGTTGGTGAGTCAACTGGTATAATACCCCAGTAAAGAAAATGTCTTGGTTTCTCCTTTCATTGTTCATTTCTAATTTCTTACATAGGAATCAGACAAACTTTTTGTATGATTTATGCCTTTCACTTTTGGACAATTTCTTGAGGCAATTTTTAAACCTTCTTTGCTACACTATGAGTTTGAGCTCTCTTACTAACGTATTATCTTACTTAACACCTACTCACTAGCCTATCTTACCCTTTTTCATGTCAGGAAAGATATGAGAGAGAGGGCAAGATGGGCTACTGACTAGGCGGTAAGATGCAAATTACCTGAAAAAATTACGCAAAATGGAAAAGTATAAATCATACAAAAATGTTGTTCTTTTCTTGTTTGATTTTAAGGGAATATCAGAGAAGAGGTTCAAGAAAATTTGGAGGAACAACCAGATTAAAAAAGTATAAATCATACAAAAATGTTGTTCTTTTCTTCTTTGATTTTAAAGGAATATCAGAGAAGAGGTTCAAGAAAATTTGGAGGAACAACCAGATTAAATTTAATTACCTCAGTAAGTTATGGAAAAAGACTTTTGGGTAGCTTCCTTCCTTCCAACCTCTTTAATTGGCTTGTGAAGAGAGAAAAAAAATGATATAGATTTTTTTCTATGTGACATCGATCAAGATAACAAGATATGGTAAGGCAAAGGGAATGTTTAAATTTGAAGAATTTAGATTTTGTAAATAGTCATTTCCAAAACAGAACACACATACACACAGGCAAATTGTGACTAAATTAAAACCTTTACTTGTGGAAATTTCTTCTTTTCACAGAAAGAAAAAATTTTTTTCCCAGTGTAACATAAGCTAATATTGAAAGAAATATATAACAAACTGGGCCAATTAAATAATATACTGCATTCACTTTCTCCTTATAGTTCCAAACAAGAATGTAAAACCTTCACTGCAATGAGATGAAATTTTTAATTAATATTATTCATAAGTCAAAATTGCTTCAATAATAATTTCCCAAGAATTTATTTTATTTGTTCAAACTTCCAAAACAAATATATTATTTACTTTGTGGAATTTAGGGGTAAAATAAGTTAACGCAAACTTCTTGTTGACATCATATTTAGCAACAATGTATTAACATCAATTGCCAAGCACTAAGATAAATTAGCTTATAAAGTAAAATTTATTTGTACCTCTTTTTGGCATTTTGCTTTAAGAAAACAATAACACAGATGCAGCTTAAAGTCTTAAAGATAGAAAGTGGATTAAAAGTATATGTTTTAATTAGTTTTAATGGATTTTTGATTTGAGTTTTTGGGGACCTAGAATAATTTTATCTAAGACTTTTTAAAAATGTGTAAGTTTCAGATAAAAGCATAGGAATATGATTTAGCAAAAGACATTCAAAAGGAGGTATGACCAGGAAGGCCTTCTGGAATGGTAGTGTAAGAACCTTAAAGAAACCTCTCCTGTAGAGAGATATTCATTAAGCTGGTTGAAATTAGCGAAGACAATCATATAAAGTCTCACAATGGATCAAAGGGCTTAGATAAATTGAGAAGCATTTACTCAACACGTCTGTGAAAACTCAGTAAGAAGCAGCTGTGGCATTTAAGCTATGGACTGTACCCTTCCCACAGCTCTGTCTTGCAGAAATACTGTTTCAAAGAACTCAGCAGACAAGTGGAAATGTCCATGTCTCCCAGTTACGTGGGTTGAAAGAACTATTCCAAGTAGTTTCAGCTGCTGATGAACATCAACAGATCTCATTTTCCATAGTTCCATGCTATGGAAAGCTCATGTCAAGCCTGGCTATAGTCAGGAGGCATTATTTCTCCTGACTTCCATCTTCCTCTACCTAGTAAGAATCTTGGCAGAACAGCTCAAGAAGAGAGCAGAGCAGTGTCCCTTTTGCACACAACTCTGCTGTAAGACAATGGCTCTGGTGGGCTTGGCAGTCAAGTAGCCATGCTCATCTCCTTCAGTCTCAGAGAAAAAGTGCTATGCTGGGTAAATTCTGGTCTGCACTGATATTTAGTAAACATAGCCAGATATTATTCTTCTGAACTTAAGAGTGTGGAAGATCCCTACTGGGCAGTTGCTAGAAGCCATTGGCAGTTTCATTTCCTACCCTCAACAACACAAACACATAGCTGTAGCTTCCTAGGGAGAATCTAGTTAGAGCTGCAATGAAAAGCAAACAAGCTACCCATACACTTACCTCCTATTTCATAGTCTACATGTTGTACTCAGAAGAGGTTCAGAGTAAGTGTCAAAGGCTGGCAGTACCCTGCATTGGCCAAGGAGAGTAACTTCAATTGAATCAGAACATGGAGTAAAATGTGCACTACCGTATGGGAAAAAAACAAGTTATTAGCTAGCAATTAGTGGAGGCTAACAGCTGAATGTAATATCAATAGACCAGCAAGAATCTCATTAAGAAAAGAGAGAAAAGAGATAGCCAAACAGATCAAAGCTAAAACAACAATCACCTTTCATGTTCAGGAGGTTTGGGGACATAAATATGTCCTCTAAGGAGTGAAATCAGTGGATACCCATAACTGGGGAAAAATAACTGAACCAGTCCAGCCAAGTCACTAAAAAATTAATAACCGAACAACTATAATAAGCCTTGTGGGGAGACAAAAAGATCACTACTCAGAGTTGCTACAATATATTATCTAACTTACAAAGTTATCAAAGACTTAAACATAAACAGGAAAGTATAACAATCTACAGGGAAAAAAAACAGGAGATTGAAACTGTATTTAAGTTGGCCAGATATTGCACTTGGCAGACAATAATTTTAAAGCAGCAACTATAAACATACTCAAAAATCTATAGAAAACCATTGTTTCAGATAATTAAGGGAAAATACACTGGCAAATTTCATCTGAGAGAGAATAAAACAAAAATAGAATTTATTAAAAAAATAAAATTTCTGAAGTTGCAAAGTTAAAGAAACCAAATGAAAAATTTACCAGAGAGTATTAATAGTAGATTTGAGCCAGCAAAAGAGTCAGCAAACCTGAAGATAGATTGATAGAAATAATGCAATCTAATGAATAAAGATAATACAGTAATAAAGAAAAATAAACATAGCCTCTGAGAATATAGAACCCTATTAAGCACACTGATACACATAATGGGAGTACCAGAAAGAGGAAAGAGAGAAACAGAAAAAAAAAAGAAATAACAACTGAAATTTCTGAAATTTGATTTAAAAAACATATATCTCCATAACCAAAATATTCAACAAACTTCAGGTAAGATCTGGATATAGATACAAGAAGGTCCACACCCGGATTGTCATAGTCTGAATGTTGAAAACCAAGATCTTGAAGGTAGCAGGAGAAAAACAATTTATAACATACAATGAGACAACACTAAGAAAACCGTTGACTCTATTAGAAAAAAGAAAAATGGAAACTAGATGACAGTGAGACAATACATTCAAAGCATTTAAAAACTTAAAGCAAAACAAATTCAAAAAACTGTTCAACTAAGAATATTATGTCAGCAAAACTTCATTTCAAAAATAAAGGCAAAATAGAGGTATTCTCAGATAAACAAACGTTCACAGAATTTGTTGCTGCCAGACCCATTTTAAGAAGAATGCTAAAAAATTTATCAGGCTGAAAAATCAGTGATGCCAGACAATAATACAAATAAACAAGAAGAAACAAAGAGTTTCAATAAAGGTAATTATGTAGGTAATTATAAACACATTATAATTGCACATTTCTGCTCTTAACCTATTTAAATGTAATTTTACAAAATGACATTCATATAATTGCATTTTTGAGTCTATAACATACAGAAATAGAATGTATTTTACAAGAATAGCACAAATGGAAACAAAGATTTCTGGAATGAAAAAAATTGACACCAGATGGTAAACATGAATCTAAATGAAAAAAATGAACAGAAATACAAAGGATGAATAAAAAGATTACTAATACAAGAAAATATATAAATACATATATTTGAGCTTCTTTCCGCCTCAGCTTCTTCAAAAAACATATACCTATACTAGTAATATTTATGACAATGCATTGCTGGATTTATAATATCTAAATATGTAACATGTATGGCATTAATATTTTTCTAATAAGATAATAAGAACAACATAAAATGAAGAGAAGGAGTAGAGCTACACGGAAGTGTATTTTTTGTTTTTTTAAGAAATGTTAAGAAATTAAAGAAATTTTTCTTTAAAAATAGAAAAAAAATACACTTCTGTGTAGCTCTATTTCCTCTCTTATTTTGCCCAGACTGGCCTCAAACTCCTAGGCACATGTGATCCTCCCTCCTCATCCTCCTGAGTAGCTGGGATTACAGTTGCTCACCATTGTGCCCAGCTCAGAAGTGTATTTTCTATAGCACACTGAAGTTGTTGATATAAATCTGAAGTAGATTCTAACATATTAATTCACACACACACACACACACACACGCAGAGAGAGAGAGAGAACATTAGAGCGAACATCAACAAAATAAAAGAATATAACTTAGAAATCAGAAATCATTAAAGGAATAAAAAATGTTACATTAGCTAATATTTTAGTGCAAAAAAAGAGAATTAGAGGAATACACACACACACACACACACACACACACACACACACACACAGTCAAGAGACTCCTAGATTAGAGACAGACTTTTAATGGCTAATAGAAAAGCTTGCATTAGTCTCTTCATGCCTAGATTCCGCATGAGACAACACCATGAATGCAGGTATCAGCAGTGTGTACATTGATGTTTGTAGCATAAAAAAGGAATTGCAAAATTAGGAATCGCAGAATTTATGTAGGTCAGCTGACAAATCTACTACTTCCGTCTGAAGAGAAAGAGAACAACCCTTAATCTGAATGTAAAGAAACCTTCCCAAGGTAGGGAACTAGTCTCCAGGTTTGGAAACCCTAGAATATAAACAAATGGCTTCAGGGAATTAGGAAGTGACTATTAATTAGAAGCAGATTTCTTTTGGGAGTGACACAAATGTTCTAAAATTGAAATTTGGTTATGATTATGTAGCTCTGTGATAACACTAAAACCATTGAATTGTACACTTTAATATGGTGCATTAAATTATCTCAATAAAATTGTTAAAAGTAAAAGCTATGTCCTCCAGTAGGAATTTCTCAACTCAGGGTCACAGATTACTATTGGTGTGGAGTGAAATATAACAAAGAATGAGGTTTATTTTCAAACTAAACATATTCAATTTAAAGGATATGAGGAAAGAAAAATAGTTTAGAGCAGTTTGAGCTATGTGCGGTATGCAAAATTTATTAGGCCCAGAGAAACATGAGTATGCGACTTCAAACTCATAAAGTCTCCATGACTTCGTGGGTCATTTTCTTGGAGGCAATTGTTTAAATGCATTTGTTCCTGACTAGCTGCCTCACCCGTTGTCTTTATGTTCTAAACTTACAATACAAAAAGCATTGTATAGCCAATCAATAGTTGATGTTATTTTAGTGTAAATTATTGGTAAATAACTTAGGAACTGCCTCTTCTTTTTCTTTAAAAACCTACTTGAAACTGCTACTCTGAGTGTATATTCAGGACAACTTGAATATGTGCTTCTGAGTTATAATCCTCAAACTTGGTCCAAGTAAAATCTCTACTTATATTAATTTTGACTCAGTTTTTTCCTTTAGTTTGACATATCTTATTATATTTTGAATTTAATCATCTCCCAATTTTGTGTGTGTGTTTGTGTGTGTAAATATTTCTTTTGTTTTAGTATATGCTTATATGAATTAAATGTATTAGTAAAATAAAAATGGAAAATGTTGTGTATCTCCCAGATGCTCCTTCCACCCCGTAAAATAAATACATTTGCAAATATGGGGCCTATCAATTGTCCAAGGGCAAAGGGTACTAATGTTGACCTAAAATTTTTATAACTCAGCTTCTGTTTTACTGAGACACAGTAAAAGGGCTTTTCTTTATATTTTTCTCATGTAGAATTATGAACATTTTATGCACTAAAGGTCTATTCTAAGTACTATGAGTTGATGCACTTCTGCTCTTTCTATTTTGGAATGATCATGGTTAAACAGGAAAACACATGGGGAAAGGAGAAGAGATAGAGAAAAGTTTTTTTCTACTACCCTCTCCCAAAAAGAAAATGGCTAACACCTCCTGCTGTGTAGAACAGAGCTTGCTGAATTCTGACAATTCACAGAAGAGCTTTCTGTAAACAGAAGCTTAACATTTAACTGCTAACATAAGAAATTTAGAGTAAATTGAATTTTCTATGGCCTCTCAGGTCCAGCAATGGAAATCAACAAGCTGAAGAAGCCATGCTTAGCTGTTGCTAAGTTACAGTGAATACCTATTGTAATGTGCGTGGATGTACATTAATTCCAAGTACTGTCATTATGCACCGTGGTAGTACAAAGAAGAACAAATAGATTTAAAATGATTTTTAAATTCTTTAAATTAAATATCAGTCAAATGTTTTTGTTCTTTTTTTTTCCCTTTGTCTTCAAGGTTTTTTGTTGTTGTTTTTATTAAAACTTAACAGTAAGAGAAAGAAGGAAAATGTGGCTTTACAAGTAGAAATACACTATGTTTCTGCCTATAAAGCAACAAACTAGAAAGCAGTTCTAAAGAGACATAGTATGTGTATATATACAATATAAACGGAGATCGTATATTTAATATTTTCTTGGTGCTCAGTGACAACACACAGCTAATACTGAAGCTTACTTAGAATAAGGTTTATTTTGAGACAGAAATTTATAATTTCCCCCTGAAAACCAATGACTATAGCTCAGCTATCCAAAGTTCCAAAACCAAGAAAGAGAAAATCATTTGTACATCATTTGGCAGTTAATATTCCTTACAATATCTCTTCACTCTAAGGCCCAAAAAGCTGACATAATTTTCACATTTTCTAAGAATTTTGAGAAGATATTTAATTTGTAGCTTTAAAAAGACAAAGGATATTTAAAACAGGATTAATCATTATTGATGAAGTATATTTTACATGCAATATACTAAGCAGTTTACTTAAGTTCTTTGTATATAATGTATACTATAGTACATATGTCTTTACCTATGTAAATACCACAAGTATAACTAAAACTAACATAAAGATAAACTTGATATTAATTCATCATCTCTACTCACTGAGGCCAGTATCCTTTTGTTCTTTTTTTCTGGGTTAATTTATTCCTGCCAGCCTGCCATCCCATTTTCTCTAGCATTATACTTCTCTGGACTGTATTTTAACTGTTGTATTTTCTCATAGTCAGTCATTCAATCAATGAATAATTGAACACCTAACAGATGCCAGGTGTGTGCAAGGCATGAAGAAAACATTGGCAAATAGTATCAGGGTTTCTGGCTTCTAAGAGCTTGTGACCCTCCCCAAAATTAATTAAATGATTACACAAATACATATAAAAGTGTGCCTATAATAAGTGTTATGGAGAAGTTTAGGGTGTCATGAAATCACATGCTAGAGAAGTTGAGCCAATCAGGAAGATCAAGAAAAGCCCACCAAAAGTAGGAACTGAGATGGGACCTGTAGGATGAGAAGGCATTCAACCAGGCAAAGTGAGTAAAAACAGAGAGTTACTATCACAGGCATGGGAGTGTATGTGTGGCATGATGAGGAACAAAAATGAGGGTACTTCAAGCTGTGAGTGAAAGGCTGATGTGAAATGAGGCATGAGGCTAATGGGATAGGGACCAGTTCACATAGTGCCTTGAGCAGCATGTTAAGGAAATTGGTATTTATCCTAATAACTATTGAACTTTATTAAAATAGTGTAAGCTGTGGTCGGTAATAGAGTTTGAAAAGTGGGAAAATGGGCCATGCAAGGTGGCTCACGCCTGTAATCCCAGAACTTTAGGAGGCCGAGGTGGGGGTGAATCACCCCAGGTCAGGAGTTCGAGACCAGCCTGGCCAACGGTGAAACCCTGTCTTTACTAAAAATACAAAAAGTAGCCGGGCATGGTGGTGGGCACCTGCAATCCCAGCTACTCGGGAGGCTGAGGCAGGAGAATAACTTGAACCTGGGAGGCGGAGATTGGGAGGCGGAAATTGCAGTGAGCCAAGATTGTGCCACTGCACTCCAGCCTGGGCGACAGAGGGAGACTCCACCTCAAAAAAAAAAAAAAAAAAAAAAAAAAAAGAAAGAAAAGAGAAAAGAAAAGAGGGAAAATGAATAAATATGGACAAATCTCTTGGAAAGGTACTGTTTTAATGTAGTTTAGCGTGAACAATAGTTTGCATTAAGGTGGTGGTAAGTTCCAGGTAAGTAGAAAGATTAGGAAAAAATTTAGAAATGAATGTAGGATTTAAGGTGTGGGAGAAGGATGTGTTAAGGATGACTCCTATGAAGATTCCTTTTGCAGATTTTGGGGGGGATGAATAAATTTAGTTTTCAGCACACTAAGTTTGAAGCACCTTTGAGAAATCCGAATTGAAATGTTTAGTTCAACAAGTTCTAAACTAGTGGTTGAATTATGTCAGTTGCTGAGATGCTGGTAGAAATTGAAGCAATGTGGATGCCATACATTATAAAGACATTATGAAATGAGAATAGAGCAGATCTGGGAATAAACTTTGAGTATGTCAAACATTTAATGACCATATACAAAGGGACATTTCCAAAAGACGAGCTAAAGAATGACCAAAGATGTCAGAAGAAATTTAAGAAAGTGATGTGTACGGGGGAGAATATATCAAAGAATGAGAATTTTAAAATGTTGGATATTACTAAGAGGCCAATTAAAGTGAGTACTAGAAGATTCCTATCAAACTGAGAGACAAGGAGGTTAGACATCAGTGATCATAATAGATTTTAAAAATTGAGTAGAAACAGGAACAACAATCATTTTCTCTATCACACTCATACTTGGGGTACTCTAGGTCTTCACTCCCTTCATCATACTGACTCTTACTGGAAAAAACTTAGTCCTAAATGAAAAATACAACAAAAAATAGCAAAAAGTAAATAAAATGTAATTCATTATTTTCTTTTTTTAATTTTTATTATTATTTTTTGAGATGGACTCTCGCTGTGCCACCAGGCTGGAGTGCAGTGGCGCAATCTCGGCTCACTGCAGCCTCTGCCTCTTGTGTTCAAGGGATTCTTCTGCCTCAGCCTCCTGAGTAGCTGGGATTACAGGCGCCTACCACGCCTGGCTAATTTTTGTACTTTTAGTAGAGATGGGGTGTCACCATATTGGCAAGGCTGGTCTCGAACTCCTGACCTCGTGATCCACTCACCTCGGCCTCCTAAAGTGCTGGGATTACAGGTGTGAGCCACCATGCCTGGCCTCATTATTTTCAAATAAGGAGTAAATAAAATATGAACAACAGGTGAGATAATATATTAGATGCTGAAACTGCAATTATTTCAGGAAAAATTAATTGATCTTAAACATGAGAAGGGTAAACGTAAAAAGTGGTGCATTCTATCTATCTCTACTTGCTAATTTAGTATTTTGCCAAATTGTGTCTTGGAGAACAATAGCAATAATTTTCTCAATATACTAATTTAAATGACATCAACTGAACGTTTTATTTTTCATATGCTTTCCAGTGAGTTTTGAAGGTTCAAATCGGTCATATGCACATTTTAAAAGAGAGAAAATTGGTACATTTTATGTATAATTTTTCCTTTACAGATTTTGATATCTAAACTTTATTGTAAAACTAAATTCTGGAAAATATTAGAAATAGTCAAACGAAAATCACACTCTCTTTCTGGTAAAATATTCCATATAAATCAGTAATGATATAAAATTTTCCTGAATTGTCAATACAATAGATGCTGCCACAGAAGAACAGGGTTTCAGGCAGAAGTAACTATCTCTGAGAGCTCAACTTCCCATACATTTAAGATGATGCTATCAGTCAGATTAAAATAAATCTTTTGTATCGTCAACCTTTGTCTAGATGATAATATGTCCTCAACAGTGTGTAGTCAGGCAAAGATTTTCCAAGCAACACAGACACAATGCATAATTGTTACATCATTAAGTACTATGCTTGTCAGAATTATAATCTAGTCATTTATGGCTTTTAAACTCAGCTTCATAATTAATTTTACTGTACCAGCTCAGATTAATGGATGGAAAGCCCTAAGATTAGTTTGGTCTAATTAGCAGTAGTGCCCACTTGTTCTGGAATAACCTATTTATTAAGCATTTTTATTCCTTAATCGAGATAATATTATTTATCTCTTCCCTAAACACACACATGCACACATGCGCTCACACACACACACACATCACTTTTTTTCCCTTTAATAACCACCTTTTCTATTATTTTTCCTTAGAATTTCAGGAGAGGGAAAACAGAGGTCCAAGTGTTGTATGTGTTAAATTTATTCTTTGCTCTAATAATGGAATCTTGGTGTATTTCCATTACAAACACTGTTTGCTCCTTAGAGCATTGACACATAGAAATTCCTTAAGTGTATGGAGAGTCATGCAAGTTCACAAGAGAGCAGAAGCCTTGAAAAGTACCCTTTCTCTGTCATTCTTGTTGACACATATCCATCAACTTTGTCCTGAACAACAAATAACGCTGCATTATTTATCTCTCTAACAACGATTTCCATTTCAACAATCCAATGAAGCAAAGTCCAAATCTAGATGCAACTGACCAATGCAAAAGACCCAAATTCTAGGAAATAATAAGAAGTGCTAAGATTTTTGCTAATTTGACACCTTTTTTATTTTTTTAATGTCCTCCAAAATGACAAGCTTGATTTGACATTTCCATAAAATGTAACTTCATTATCCATTTTCAGCTTATTTTTTCAGATATTTTTACCATGACTGTCATTACAATATTTGTAAATAAATATTTACTTTGGCACTTTCTTAGTAATATACTTTTTATTGTAATGTCAGCCTTATTTCAAATATTATGTGCTATGACTCAGAATGTAGTAGAGGCAGATCCCTCCATTTGTGAGTCATGATTACGAGAGCAATTTTAAAAAATTAAATAGATCAGATAATTTCAAAGAATAAGTCAATAATTTTCATACTTCTACAAGTTATAATACAGCAGTATTGATTCTTTGTCATTGTTCCCTTAAATATTACAAGTTAAAAATATAAAACATTATACACAATAAGTTGTTTCCTTTACTATCCTATTCTTCCCCTTCCCTCTTTAGAGGAAACTATTATAAATTCAGTATGTATCCTTCCAGTGTGTGTGTGTATGTATGTGTGTCTCCATAAATATATATATTTTTGAAGAGTATATTCTTTATTGTCATGAGTGACAGATGAAAATATTTTATCTAACTCAGCACTGTTTTTAATACCTAGCCATGAGGATAAATATAGGCCTAATTTCTAGATCTACATTATTCATTATGGAGGAGTATGTTACTCCTCCATAAGCACATACTACAATTTATGTAAACCCTGAAAGTTGGAATCATTCCTGATTTTTCATCATAATAAATAATATTGTAATAAATGGATTCCCTTATGCCCATGCACATGAGTTTCTCTAAAGTAAATAGCCACAAATGGAATCCTGAGTTACAGGGTATATTCATTTTCATACATATTAGATATTGCGGAACTGCAGGGGAGAAAATTTCACTTGGCTTAGCTGTGAGAAAATTATTGCCTTTTCATACTTAATGTCTTTGCTAACATATATAATCACAACATCTAGGGCTCAGGATTTAAAACCTTTTCTGTCAAGAGCAAGGATTCAATAGTTACAATTTGATCATTTAGTGGATAAATAGTAAATAGTTGACACTGTTTCCAAAGCTCAAATCTTGATAAACATGAAGCAAGCAAAAGTGAATAATAATTTCATAATTTTAAATTGCTAAAATAATAGTCTTTTTCTATTATTTTTTGTATAACCCAAATCTTATATTTATATGCCATAATTGTCACCTAAAATTTTATATATTTATACACATATATGTATATTTGGCAGGAACCAAATAAACTAACAATTCATTTTAGCTATAAAGTACAACAACATTCAGGCCACATAAATTATTAATACTTTGGGGTACATCACTGTTCCATATTCCCCAGAATGAGTATAAATGTTTTCACAGAAGAAAAAATAATGCCTCAGTACTCACAGTCATTTTTAAAATATATTACCTATTACCACTTTCCATTTATTTTTATCTACAGCCATTCTACTCCCTCTAGTATTAGAATGTTTCCCAAATACAAGATTGAATTTTTATTTTGTTTTTAAAATCAGGTAATAATATATCTTGAAAATGTGATGTTGCACAGGATGAAATGATTTCCTTGCATACTGACACTGACATGTTTAAATGTAAGTTTCTTTTCCTGCCATGAGCTTCAGATTTGCACCTGATTAAGTTTAACAGGCAAGAAAAATACTTTCTCTTTGGATCCTGATCCTATCATTTTTTGGTTTACTCAAATGGTATATATTTTAAACTAAACTAGTGTTTTTATCCTAATTTGTCATCTGTCTCTCTCATTTTCATGAATATCACCCTCTCCAATTAAGGAATATCAAATTCTTACTTTTTACCAATATACAACCCCCATCATAATTGTCCTCAATATCGTTAGCATAAATTAGGTGATTGACATTACTTGACTTGTGCCCTCTTTCCTTTATTTCAGATGGTGCACATTTCATTGTTCATATGTACATCAAAATGTATGCTGGTTTGGTTTCAGGCAGATTTCATTTTGTGTTCTTTATTACAATGCCCATCACTTTACTCCTACATCCTGATATTCGCTTCCAATATATACCGACTTCTTGACGATAGTGGATTCCTAAAAGCTTTGGAAGAAGTCATTTACTTCCTCTTTGCAGTGGCTGGCCATGCAGTCCCAGTGAAATCAATCTATGTTCTGTAAATAAATTGTTAATAAACACACTCACTTATTGGCATCGGCCACAGGAATAGATAAAATCCCCAGCCAATTATTCAACTGTTCTAGGAATTGCATAGTTGATTTGCAGACAGGTACACCCTCTTGATAACCTATGTAGGTTCTCTGTGGGAATGCTTCCTGAACTGCATACCTATTGCCCGATTATAGAAAAAGCCCTGGAGCAATCCAAAAGTCTCTGGTTCCTGCAAAGTCAAAGAGAGAGCTGCAAGTCATCAAATCTTCCCCCTCCTTCCTAAGAGATGTAGAATTTGTGGCCAATAAAACAGATCTTTTAAAAAATGAAGAAAAAAAGCAACTTGTATAATCAACATGTATAAATTGGATCAAGGGAAACATATGTCTTTCTTTTTGTCTTTTTCTCTGCAACTGTTTCCAGTTCCACCTGAAATAAGATGGAAAATACCAATGGGTTGCTCCCCATGAGAGCAGTGCCAGCCAGCAGTCTAGAGCACCGGCTTCGAGAAGAAGTAGGGGCATGATCAGAAGGGGCAGGTGAGGGAAGAGAGTGGTGTTGGGTGGGCTGTATGCAGAGAAGAAAAAAAGAGAGAAGGAGAAATATTATTTTACTGGGAAGTGTCGTGTAATCTCCCATTTCTGGTATTTAGATATGGATGTGCTAGGTTTTTCTTTTTTTTTTAAAGTATGGTTTAAGAATCTTGTCTTCATGATATTGACTACAGTAATTACAACATTTTGGTCAACAATGGATCACCTAAACAAAGGTAGTCCCATAATATTATAATGCCATCTTTTTATTGTACCTTGTCTATGTTAAGATATGTTTAGGTAGACAAATACTTACCATTGTGTTACAATTGCCTACAGTAGTCAGTACAGTAGTAACATGTTGTACCGGTTTGTAGCCTACAAGCAGTAGGCTATACCGTACAGCCTAGGTGTGCAGTAAGCTATACCATCAAGATTTCTATAAGTGCACACTATGATGTTCACACAATGATGAAATTGCCTAAGGACTATTTTCTCAGAATGTATTCTTTTTGTTAAGTGATGCATGACTGTATTTAAAACATACCATGCTCCCTTTGCAGATAGCCTACCCCATGGCCAATTTTGTGTGTGTTTGTGTGTGTGAGTGTGTGTTTGTGTGTGTGTGTGTGTATGAATAGTGCATGCGATTCCTCCAAAAAAAAACAGCTTTCTTTGTTTTTCGGGTTAATGAGTGAGCGTGTTCATAATATATTAGTCCAAATTTCATTTCTTATTCATACCTATAGCACCTTTACATATTAAAAATAATTGTTATCTTTCAGTGTTTGAGAAGGGCATGTTAGAATCCCCCACTTTGTCGTAGTTCAGGCTTCTCTTCTAGGTTCTAGAATTTTTGCTTTTTCAATTTTGGGCTGCTATTTAAAGGAGTATAAGTTGATTTTTCCATTTATCGACATGTACTGCTATTCTTTGTCTCTTCTAATGTTTTTATCACAAGTTTCTTTGGCACTTAAGGCTTTCTTTTGGTACAGGTTTTTCTACCTTTTTAATTTAAGCTTTTTATGACATGCTTGTTTAAATCATTCCTAGCAAAATAGTATTAGATTATATTGTTGATGCAATGTAAGGGTCCTCTCTCAGGCTAAGTTTGATGTATTTACATTTCTTATCATTTTTGTCATGTTAAAAATTATTTCTGCATCCTGGCTAACATGGTGAAACCCTGTCTCTACTAAAAATACAAAAAATTAGCTTGGCGTGGTGGTGGGCACCTGTAGTCTCAGCTACTGGGGAGGCTGAGGCAAGAGAATGGTGTGAACCTGGGAGGCGGAGCTTGCAGTGAGCCGAGATCGTGTCGCTGCACTCCAGGCTGGGCGACAAAGTGAGACTCTATCTTAAAAAAAAAGAGAAAAAAGAAAAAAAATGACTTCTGCAGTCTTATTTTGTGCTTAATATTGTGTCTTTTCCTACCTTCCACTATATGAATCAGACTTTTGTTTCTAGAACTTAAATCTTATTAAAATGTACCCTTACTTAATTTTCTCTATCATTTTTTATGCTCATCAATATCTACGACTTTCATGAAATACACATAGATGTGCTACAAGAACCTTGGTATGTTCTCCATTTTACTGAATTACCGAACCCACCCTCCATCTTTATTCTATAAAGTTAAATCTATATTGAGAATACATTTATTTGCCACTCAGATTTAGATGATAGTTTATTAAGCTATTTAATTCCTTATGCAAAGTTCTTTTTCCTTATCAATTTGAAAATATTAGTCCATATTCTTGCATTCAGAACATTGTTGAAAAGTCTGATATCAACTAATACCTGTATCTTCCTAGGAAATTTGCATTTTTGAGTGATTTTTAGAATGCATCTTTTTTAATTTTAATTTTTTCTGTAATTCCTTTGTGGTTTGGAGTGGTTTTTTTTCTTTTTCTTATAATATAACTTTGAAACTCTACATAACTTTTCAAGTAAGACCCAATATCTTTATTTAATTCAAGGAAATCTGTAATTATTATTTCATTAAATATGTTTCCTTCTTTACCTTTTTTCCCTTTAAGACATGAATTATGGATACATTAATATTTCTGCTTTTTACTCTGTATTTATCTGTCATCTCACTTTTAAGACTTTGCTCTTTTTAGATATTTTCTAGAAGAGTGCTGGACCTGATCTTTCCCCTAAGTAAATTGTTTTAGGTATAACTATTATGCACTTTAAGTATACACATACATATATACTGATTTATGTAACACACATCATATGCCATTGATTTCAACATGCAAACATTTCCCATATTTCTCTGAAAGTGAGATACATCTAACAATTAACAACTCACACTATCCCACTGTCAGGTAGCAGTCATTAAATAGTTACTACTGCCTATGCTTGCATGAACTAGGTCATAGGTGTTCAAAACATTGTGACTAAAAAAAAATTCTCAGTTCTATTAATACTACACATTTGGGGTTTAATTTCTTTGTAAAATTTAAAAATATTACACTATAACCTGACCTTAAAAGAAAATTTTCTGTATATACAGCAAGGCAAGGGAGCAGTGACATTAGGGTCAAGTTGATGTTAGCGAATCAGGTATTTGTCT
This sequence comes from Homo sapiens, assembly GCF_000001405.40. Lineage (NCBI taxonomy): Eukaryota > Metazoa > Chordata > Mammalia > Primates > Hominidae > Homo > Homo sapiens. The sequence continues at coordinate 29,316,696 of NC_000018.10, read as the reverse complement.
TTGAAGGAATGAACACAATTTAATAATGCTAGCAGCACAATAACCAAATACTTTAAGACACCTAAGAAGGGAAGATGACTTCCAGTAAATGAAGCTATGTTATATTTTGTAACTCAGTTATATACAAAAGGCTTGTAGAACACAGGCTATATTAGTCAGGGTTCTCCAAAGAACCCATAGAATGTATACACAGAGGAAGAAAGAGATGTATTTTAATGAACTGGCTCATGTGATTGTGGGAGCTGGTAAGTCTGAACTTTCCAGAGCAGAGTCACAGGCTGAAAATTCTGGCAGGGGTCAGTGTTTCAGTCTTGAGTTGGAAGGCTGGAAACTCGGGCAGAATTTCTGTTGTTGCAGTCTGGAGGTAGAAATTCTTCCTCTTCAAGGATCCTTGGCTTTGGAATGATTTAATGAAGTCTACCCACATTATGGAGGGTAACCTGCTTTACTCAGTGTATACTGATTGAAATGTTAATCACATTTAAAAACACTTTCAGAGCAATATCTAGACTGGTGTTTGACCAAACAACTGGGCACTATAACCTACTCAAATGGCCACATGAAGTTAACCATCATGCAGGTCAAGCAAGGTAACTGAAGGCAGGATACATTGTCAAATCCCTAATAATTGATCAGAGAAAATTCAAAATAGTGAGAGGCTGGTGTGACCAACTCAGAATTAAGTTTTGAACATCAGTTTTTAAGAAACTTTCTGCTGACTTTAAACAAAAGTTAAACTTTCTGCTGTTTACTTTCCAATGGTGTATTTCAACAGTGGGGGGAAAATAACTATGTGTTTAGTAAAATTTGAATAGTTGCAGATAAAATCTTGGTGTTCGTACATATGCTTTGAGCCAATACTGTGCCTGCTGCATATCCTAAGCAAATCAATATGCAACCACAGATTATGGGCAGTTTACAACATAATATGTCTAGAAGAGTTTTTATCAATAAGTATAATAAAAACTTTAAAAGATAAAAGATAAGTATAACAAAAACTCTAAAGGATAATATGTAGCATTTTTTCTTATGGAAAATAAGATAATAAATGATAAAATAAATAAAACATAATAAATGATGCATTCTGCAATTAAAAGCAACTTGTTCATAACTTTTTATTTCAGCCTCATATTTCCGAGACTGTCATTTAATTCTGATAAAAATTATTTTAAATTTCTGCTTTGTCTGGCCTACTGATTTGTCTTCTTTTTCTATAAATGGTTCAATTTTCTTTCCGGAATTTATCAGCTACATCAGGATTTGTACCTGTAAGTAAAAATAGAAAATCTGTATCTTAACTTTACTCCTCCAGGGGAAGGAACTTACAGCATAGGGGATAGGGTGAGGGAGGTACAGTATATGTCAGAAAAACAGAGCGCCTTGGGGGTAGCAATTTATGTTCATTCACTCCTTGCCTTCCTCACACCTAACAAGGCTACAGTATCCTGCAAAAAACCTCCCCAGAACTCTTCACAGCTACTAATGTTTTAGATGGTTGCCTCTCTCTGTTGTAATTCACTACCTTACTGAGTTGGGGATGAATGGGAGGTTGGGTTGATATAGAGTTGAGGCTCCTGTTCTGATGGTGTGAACCATGACAATTATACCAATTGGGAAAATGTGTTACCTGTTGGTGAGCAGATGCTGTTTTGAGTCTCCTATCTACCCCAGTCACTCAGAATCTCCCTCATTATCCATCAAGCAGAGAAATACTGGCTGGCACAGAAGGGATGTCCATGACCAACTACACCATTTGGATTATTCAGGAGTGGAACACAGTGCATTTCTTCATGGGTCATCACTATAGCCACTGTCCTAGCTAATCAGTGATTACACCTTAACAATTATTAAATATTTTGCTTCTGAAAGTGGAAGAAGCAACCAGGGCTATGTAGCCTTTTATGCTTTTAATTGTATGCTCCTTACCCCATCCAGGCTACAGCATTACTTCTCAGCAGATTAAATCTTAACTCTGGCTCCATATCATTTTCAAGTGATCATCTTCTCTTTACCCCTAATTCTTCATTAAAAAAAAATAGCTGTACAGTAAGCATTGGAATCAGCTGTTTTCCATCCTTAAATATGTTACTTTTATAGTGTAAGTAAATAAATAATTTTAAATGTTTAACATTAACATAAGAAATACAATGTTTTCATTCATCTCAGTCCTTAATCAATTGCACTTTATTTTTATAGCTATTACACAATGAGTGTATTTTGTCATAAAGCTCTTTTGTTATGTTGCAAAGCTCTAAATTCGTAGGTGCTTTACATAAATATAAAAATAAAACAGCTTTCCTATTTGAACAACCCTAATAAATTATGTAAGTTTTGTTACCTCTTCTCATACTGACTTGGGCAAGCAGAAAGTGAGTGTTAATCTGACAGGAGTATTAGATTAGAGTGTGCATATTTGTTCCAGATGGCAATGGCAATACATTTGCTAGTAGAAATAGGAAATTGGAATAAAACATATTGCAAATTTCCAAACCTATCCAATCTAAATCACCACACTTAACATTTTCCAAGTACTTCAAGAAGTGTAGTATATTAAAAAGAAAATATTGTTACCAATAACTCATCCCTCTCTTCTCCTGTCCTTATCTCCAAAATGAAGACAATTACAAACATTTTTAAAAAAATCACCTAAGAAACCATTTAAATTCAATTTTTTATTGTCCATAGCTGCCATTGTTAAAGAGGGATAGATACATTGAAACCAAGGGCCAACAGAAATATCATTTCGATAGTTGCTACTTTCCACAGGTACACTGGTGACTCACAAACACTATTTCCAGCTGAGATCACTTTGCCAAACTTCTCCATTCTAAATCTCACATCAAACTGGATATGTCCACCTGGATTTCTACTAAAATTAACATTTCCAAACCAAAGTGATCTTTCCCTTTTTAAAACAAATTTCCACCTCCATGGACTCACCACTAGCAACCCATGTGCAACCACCTACAAAGGTTAAAAAGCTGAGCATCATTCTTGGACTTTATTTCCTCCTTTTGTTTAATTAACTCTACACTCCTCTGGGTTTTACTGCCTAGCAATGCCTGAAATATGTTTTGTTCTTTCATCCCTTCTGCTACAACACTAATTTAGCTCTTTACACATTTTTGAACCTTTAAAATAATATTATAATCTTTTTGCCCTCCAAATTTATTTATTTATTTATTTATTTATTTATTTATTTATTTATTTATCTTTTTGAGACAGAGTCTCACTGCACACTCAGGCTGAAGTGCAGTGGCACCCTCTTGGCTCACTACAACCTCCATCTCTTGGGTTCAAGCTATTCTCGTGCCTCAGCCTCCCAAGTAGCTGGGATTAAAGGTGTGTGCTACCATGCCTGGCTAATTTCTGCATTTTTAGTGGAGACAGGGTTTCCCGATGTTGACCAGGCTGGCCTTGAACTTGTAACATGAACTGATCCACCTGCCTTGGCCTCCCAAAGTGCTGGGATTACAGGCGTGAGCAACCGCTCTGCCTCCTGCCTCATTTCTACTCTCCAAACATCACCATGGAGATCTATTTACAACTCAGATTTACTCCTTCAGAATTCCTTATTTTTTATATCAGGTTCCCCCCCAAGTCACAGAATACTAAAGTTCTGGAGGGCTGTTGATTAGTGTTCATTAAAGGACAAATACATACGTGAGGACAACAAAATAAGTTTGTGAGTGCTCAATATTAGATATCTCTTTTGAACAGTCACAATACATATTAGCATATTGCAACTTTGGGAAGTCCTGCAGTAAGGACACCTTATTAACGTATTTCCTCCAGCCTGAGAATTTCCTAAAAATCTATGAAAAGAGAGCTTTTAATGAATTCTTATCAGCATTATATTGAGCTCTACAAAGAACACTTGGGAAATCTCTGGACTGTATGATCAAGTCCAAGTTGCTTAAAAAACAAGTTCGAGGCATTCCACGTTATGATGCCCATATATCTCTCTAATGCCATCCCCTGCCACTGACTGCTTCAAGCAAGATAGAAATAATTGCTGTCTACCAAGCTGTCTACATGGTGCTATTTTAATTTTTTATTCTTTCTTGGGCCTTTTCCCATTATCTAGAATGCCCTTTACTTCCTCTCTATCAAATCAACTCAGACTTAACATTAAAAACATTCCCTAATGGCACCACTGCACTCCAGCCTGGGTGACAGAGTGAGACCCTGTCTTGAATAAAACAAAACAAAACAAAACAAAAAACCCAAACCAAACAAACAAACAAAAAACAACACTCCCTGACTCATCCCAGGTAAGAAAGTTGCCTTTAAATTGTTTTTCTATAATTTCCAGTGCATATTTCTATTCTCAGGTTTTTTACATCATTTTCACTAGACTTTGAGTTCCTTAAGGATAGAAACCATCTTATTAATCTTATCCACAATGATTGGATTTATATAGTGACTGGATATAATAATCACCAGATAATTACCAATGAATGACTATATATTTAAAATCATGTAAACAAGAGAAGAATGTATTACCAACCAGTTTATTTTTCTATCCAATTTGAGCAATTCTTTGTTTGAATTAAATAGTTTACTAACTGCAAAGCCCCATTCTAGGTGTGTATGTCATCTTTGATTAGAGTTTGTGATATAGTAGCAGAGACACACATGAAAAGAACCAACTCTAATTCAAAGGAAAATAAAATATGTGTTACAATGGGAGTAAAAATCCAATTTTTATGAATTTAATAAGAGGAAGCACATAATTTTTACTTGTTTCAGAGAAGTAATTTCTGAGTTGAGATTCAAATAAAAAACAAGTTTTTCATACGCAGAGAAGGATATACATGAACAAAATTATGGAGGCCTGAGAATGTGTGATACTAATACTGTGTAGCTCAGTATGCCTGAAATTAGAATCCATTAAGAATGCAATGGGATAAGAGGCTGCAAAGTCCCAGATGATCTGAATGCTATTCTTAGAAGATGATCACGGTTGTTACATTTAGGAAGTACAATGTCAGTTTGGAACAATTTCTTGCTTTCTTTTCCCTCACTGTAAAAATAATTTATGTAGGAGATAGGTTTTTAAAAGGTATTATGTTTGAGAGTATACTGTATCAAATAACTATATTATTTATTCAATTATTTTCCCTAAAAAGAAAATAAAAAAAAAGAAAAACGTAAATGAACCAGGATAATGTACCTTCAAGGAGAAGACCAAAGCTTCCATGATAATTTCATTTTAATTAAAATATTTGCTTGCCTAAGCGGGTCACTTTGAAAGAAACCTGAGAAAAGATATTCTCATTACCAAAAATGACACATCCAGAGATTTCAGAGAGATTTAGCTTGAAAGACAGTTCAAGAAGGATGGAAGGAGTGCAGAAGAATTTAGCATCTAAGAACTAAAGAGTTGCGTGTTTTGAAAACCAGATTTTTAAAAAAGGAAGAAGAGGGAAAAAAGAAAAAAAACTTGCTTTATTGAAATATTGAGGTTAGCTGTAGACAGGAAAGGAATAAAAGACATGAACTAGTTTTCAGCCAAGTATTTAGGACAAAAACTTGAATTTAGATATTGATGATATTTTGGACCTAATTTGCCCCCGTAGTAGGGTAAGAAAATGTGAGTAATTTGGATGGTACCCTTTTTTTTTTTTTTTTTTTTTGAGACGAAGTCTTGCTCTGTCGCCCAGGCTGGAGTGCAGTGGCGCGATCTGGGCTCACTGCAACCTCCGCCTCCCGGGTTCATGCCATTCTCCTGCCTCAGCCTCTGGAGTAGCTGGGACTACAGATGCCCGCCAGCACGCCCAGCTAATTTTTTTGTATTTTCGGTAGAGACGGGGTTTCACTGTGTTAGCCAGGATGGTCTCGATATCCTGACCTCGTGATCCGACTGCCTCGGCCTCCCAAAGTGCTGGGATTACAGGCGTGAGCCACCGTGCCCGGCCGGATTGTGCTCTTTATAGAGGTAATGAATTGAAGTAGTCCCAAACAGCAGGACAAGAAAGAAGAATTAAAGTCATCAGCCAGAATTGTCTACAACGGAGCTAGGCATGGGGCATCAAGAGGTTGCAACTTCAGGTAGCTATCATCAACTTCTCCAGAAGTTGTTTTTTGTTGTTTTCCCACCCCCAGCCCTCAAGCAGGTGTTATTGTAAAGTAGTGGGGGCCAGAGTTGCTGTGGAGAAGAAACTGAGGGTAAATTACATAATGAAGAGACTTTGTGACTCTGTGCTAATCTCACCAGGTAAAATTGAGAACTAAACTGATTATCTGAATAATTCAAGCAAATAAAAATGCCATCTTTTCACACTCGCAGATTTGGGTAAGAAAGATTTGAAAAGAAGTCAAAGAACCATTTCACTTTGCCTTTGCAAAAAATGTACAATGAAAAAATTAATATTTTTAGAAATCTAAGAAATAATTCATATTTACAGATTGATTTTCTATTGTTATAAATATAATTATATTTTATTCTTAAATGAGAATCAGGTTTTTGAAATAAAATTATGGCCATAAATATTGCATATATTTAATACATTTATAGATACCCTTAATTGTTTTGTTTTCAAGCAACCGTAATTAATTCTCCTTGGCATGTATTCAGTTATGTCTCCTAGAAAAAAACTTACAGGCATTAAACAACTACAAGTTATGACTTGGCTAATTTATGAGCATTTTGGGCAGACACAGGAAAAATGCCTGATGGTGAAAGGTGCTAATTGCTATAATTGCTTACCAGGATAGAATTTAATGTTTTATGCAGGAAAATTCGGAGTTTATGTGTGTATTAAACTCATAAAGATTGACTATATAAACACATTACACTGTAAGAATATATAGAAGAGAGTAGGGATGAGAAATATAATGCTACTTAATTGTTTTCATTGAAACTGTTGAACAGACATTATCAGAGAGGCTTTGGGTAGATTTATGTTTACTAGTGCAACTTTCCATGATAGGATCTGTTTTAGCCTCTGTTCCTTGTTCTCTAATTTTCTCTCATTGCCATAAAATTTTATTGTGTAAGTTTTATACGGCCTATGCCTCCAGTGCCTTGCCCTTCAGACACTATTTCAATGTATGTTCTGCTTGACTGGATCTGCATCCTCAGATGCCTCCCTGTCAGATTGTCAGAGGAGACTCTGGCTTTATTGCCCATAACAAATAAAAGTTATCTCCACTCTTTAAAGCTTATCTGTGACTCTGAGACACTACAAGTTCAACAGCACTCAGATGACAGGAAGCTATAGCACCAATAAGTAGATGAGACAATCAGATTGTAACCATTTGTTTAAAGGATTTAGGACCTGTTTATACCCATAGCAAGCCACTATTAATGCTTTATTGTCTTCCTTTAGAAGGACAGATAAGTCAAAAGATAATCTTAAGCAGATAACACTATAGAATCATTACACAAAGGTTGAAAAGTCAGGAAACCATAGTTCTGAATATCAAAGATTAGAGAATAGTTAATTAAAAGTGAACAAAACAATTTATGTTAAAATGTGCAACTTTTTATCACTAAAATCAAATAACTTTAGAGTATTTCAGATACTGCCTCTAAAGTAACTTGTATACTTATTTTGCAATTAATGGTTGTATGTGACTACTGTCTTATCTGGCATAGAAGAGGAAGCTTCCAATTGGGAAATTTTTTGATTTTGAAACATGGTAGGGAAATTTATCTCAGAAAAGAGGAGATACATAAATAAATGTGATGGTGAAACTGCAGTCTGAAGCTCAACTACAGGCTATAGTTCTCAACAGCTTAAAATATAAAGAAAACTATAACTCACGTTTCATATTGAAAATTCATTGCCTTACCTCTGAGTTAGGAAGACAGTTTTTCTGTTATGATAATTTCAACTATGTCTTTGTTTACTATATGCCAAGTTCTGATTACCACTTTATAGTGGCCATCCGATTTAATCCTCATAATTGCTTGTGAATAGGAAAGATTTACTTTTATCATTCATGTTTTATAGGTTAGCTAAATCATGTTTAAGTCGTTTACCTAAAATTACATATTATTTAAGGCTGGTGGATCTGGAAATTTGAACACAAACAACTCTGAAAATTGAAGTCAGCTTCTGTAGAGATAAATACGTTCATATGAAGTAGACAAACTTAAAGCATACTTATCATTGGTTTGGTAGAAATGATTTTTTCAGAAGCCTTGTGTACATTGCCTACAAATTTAACTTTGCTAAAATGAGGGAAAATGAAGAAATAAAATTCTGTAAGTCATGATATGAGAAAGATAATATCAACTATAAAAACCATGGGGATATTATAAGACACCTATTTACAATAGTTGGTTTCAAATTGAAAAACATTCAATATATTCTCCTTAAAAGGTTAATAAAGGAAAATTATGTATTTAGTAGACCTCCATGGCTTGTATAACCACATCTTCCACTGAAGTGGAACACTTACTGATGTACTAAGGCAAAAATACATGTGTCATGTCCAAAATGTGTGTATATACATGTGCATTTTGTGTGTGTATATATATGTGCATTTTGTGTGTGTATAAGTACACACACCCACACACAACAGATATGAATACATGTCCTCATTACAAAAAGTCCCTGCTTATTATGTGCACAGGGAATCCCCAACAAATAAATATTCCTGCCAGGAAGGAGCTGTGAATCTCAAATTAAGAATTTTATTGAAAAAGTCCATGGAGTTTTAAGAGCTTAATCTGGATCGTAGCTCAAATGTAGATGTTTTAACTGTGTTATGCAAAAAACCATGTGCACTCCTGAGGAAAATAGCCAAGTAGTTATAATAATAATAACAAAGAAGCAACATTTTTTCTGCATATGTGTGTGTGTATTTTTTTTCCAAACACTCAGATAAATGTTTTTTGTCATCAGTAATTCTTTTGAACCAGGTACGTGACATATCTCCCAATATTTCTTAATTATATTCCCTAGAGTGACATTATTTCCTTAGCCTAGGCCCTTAAGAGCCTTTCAACACAGAGTTCTACTTGCCATCAATTAATAGAATTGATATATAAAATTTAACCCATTTTTTAGCTCAGGTTTAAATATATTAATTCAGAAATCTGGCACTAGCTTTTCTAGATTAATGCAAACTACTTAGGTTCATAAATGATATAAATAGACTTATTAATAGTAGAACATCTATTAAACTCAGTTTTAATTGAGCAACTGTTTGCACATTACCCAGTAAAAGCACACTATTTACTTTATACTTAATACATTTTTAAAAGTTCAGAAATAACCTTGCTGAGCTGAATTATCCTTCCCAGTGATAAAATGACTTATGATGCAGCAGTTTCTCACTTGTAAAAAGTGAGGCCAGGAAAAGCCTGGAAAGTAAACCTATGTTTATATGAGTCAGGGAAGTTTCACTAATTCTCACAATGAGATGCATCAGCAGCTTTAATTCCTTCTTTAAAAAATTAGTTTATCAATCATGCCTGTAATCCCAGCACTGTGGGAGGCCGAGGCAGGCGGATCACGAGGCCAGGAGTTCGAGACCAGCCTGGCCAACATGGTGAAACCCCATCTCTACTAAAAATACAAAAAGTTAGCCAGGAGTGGTGGCACATGCCTGTAATCCCAGCTACTCAGGAGGCTGAGACAGGAGAATCACTTGAAACCAGGAGGCGGAGGCTGCGGTGAACCGAGATCGCACCATTGCACTCCAGCCTGGGCAACAGAGCAAGGCGCCGTCTCAAAAATAAAAAATAAAAAAATTAGTTTGTCTAAGTATACTGTAAAAATACACCCATGCAGTGATTTCTTCTATTTAAACATGTTGTATAGGACATGGGACAGGGGACACGTTATAATGTATAAAAAATTCTATTAAACATTAATATATTACTGTCTTCTTCAAGATGCCTTAAAATTAAGACAATTTTTATTGCCGGGTTAAAATTCCATCAATTATAATAAATCAAGAAGTAATGTTTCATGCCCAGAATGTAAGATGATTATCATGTTTAGATGATCTGATACTTCTACATCCTGCAGCTGCACTTATGATAAAACTCTGCTCCCTCAAGTTTTTTTGTAGCTACTATTGAATGTAACCAGGGAAGCAATTCACATAATTTTGTGTCTTAATTTCGTTAGTATTATGTAGAGTTTTTAATTGTTTATATTATTTTGAAATATAAAATCACCCTATACTTTTTACGACACATTTATAGAGTTGAATAACCAATCATTTTTATGGCTGGAAGAGATAAAAGTAATATTTTCAAACTGTTTTCACAGATTATCTAGGGCTATATAGAATCTTTTAGGGAGCACTGTGGACACCCAAGGGAGGAGAGCTCCCTGTCACTCTCCAATCAGAGCACTTCTGTATAATTGTGTAAATGTGTGTGACTCTTAATTGCAGTGTCCTAATCGTGAGATATAAATAAGCCAAATTCTCTCTAGCATTCATTATACACTAAAGATTTATAAGTCATGGTTTACAAAGAAGCACCCCATCCCTAAACACACACATATTTGTAAAATAGGAAATCTGCTATATATTTATTGATTCAATATTCATAATGTCACAGATTAATGAAATAAGAAACAAACTACATTATATTGTTGGCAACTCTATATTTTCATTGATTAAATTTTAGATCACTTAAGTATTCACTCATTTGTTAAATCATCGAATAACTATTTTTTAGAATATTTTCATTGATTTCCAGAATACGAGTGTCAAATTTTTTTATGTGAGTCAAATATTGCTTAGTGTGGAAACAAATGAACTATTCATACTTTATCCATCAAAAAACATTCTATTTTATAATAAAAATTAAACTTAAAAACAATTATTTTTGCCAAAATAAATCTCAGTTAAGTTGAAGAAATAATTTTTAAATACTACTAAGAGGCCACGGAGGTGTGTATTGTTTTCAGAAGCATTACCTAACTTACCCGTCACAGAAGCCTTCAGCTCTGTTTAAGATCACACAGACTGCGGTTAGTGGATCCAGGATCCAGTCCAGCCTTGTCTAACTCCAAATCTCATCCAAATTCCACTGTATTTCACTGCCTGTGATTGTGACAAAAGAAAACAGCCAAACCCTAAAGAAGTCTTTGTATCCTACATAGGTATGCAAAAGTGTTCAATAGTGTACTACAGTATTAGAATAAGACAGTCTGGCTGGAAACTTCTAATTATCCTTCATTATATTAATACATGAAATGGATGAAAATATTTCAGAAAACTACTACTATTAACTGTGTATTATAAGAATATTTTATTTCTTAGAACACAGAACAAAGGTGCTCTAGAGAAAAACACTTTGTAAGACGTAAAGAAAAATAATAGTTGTGATGAGAGTGTTAATATTCATTTTTACCTAAACAATGTTTTAGTTATTGTCTCTATGCAGAACAGATGAGACTCACTTTTAGACATCCCAATTAAGTAGCAAGTAGAAACTTTTCTTGAAATGTTTATGAAACCACTATTCTCTCTCTTCTCAGTAATATACCACTGTGGACTGACCGTTCACGCAGAACCACACAAAAGGCAATTAACTCATCCAGCAGAGCACTACACAGAGTCAATTTGTCTGACATGTAAGCATTTGATTTTCAATAGTTGCTATCTGCCAAGAGAGCATACCAAGTTTACCCTTTAGGAATGGGATAGGACAATATGATGGCTGTATGCCCTGAGACTCAAGGATACCATTTAGTTCAGGAACTTATGAGGATGGCATTAGAGGAGTAAAGAGTAAGCAGTTAAATTATATTCTTTTGAATAAAACAGACTGAAATATTGTATTAAACAAAAAATATAATTGGCTATGTAGTCATTGTGCATTTGCAACTTGCCCATGAGAATTGGTGGATATATAAATATAGCTAGCTAGCTAGACAGACATGCTATCCTCCCACTGTCTCCCCTCAGCTATCAAAATCAAGAAGTCTTGACTCATGCAACGTTCCCCATTTGTGGAATGAAGGTAATAGTAACACCCACTTTACAGTGTGTTGTTAGCATTAATTGTAAAACACGTAGAACAGTACCTTGTTTGTAGTAAGCGCTCAATAAATTTAGCTGTAACTATCGGTGTTGTTACTGTATTGATGATTACGAATACAAAGATCAGTTGTTAAATGGGACTTCTTTGCTTCAATTCCTGTGTATTCCACTCATAATTACAATCATATATCAATAATAAATTGATTTCATCGCCTTAAATTGCCACCCTGTCAGTGAACTCTCTAAAGCAAAGATTGTGTCTTGTCTGTGTGATCTTCAACCCTGCAGCTTCCAAACTTTTTGACTGCTCCTGATTTCCAGATCTATGCTTCTATTTGACTTTTGGGAGTTTCCCCATGTGTATTCTGGGTGAATGAGTTTATATGAAAGAGAGAGAGACAGCTAGCTATGCATTTTCAAGGATGTTTGTTATGTAGTGTCCAGCACTTCCGCGTGTTTTTAAGGGGGAGGATTTTTCATAATATCTTGTTCACACTAATCCCACTTCTTCAAATTTCAGTAGAGCACCAAGTCTTACTTGTGTTTTCTTCAAATTTCAGTAGAGAGCTAAGTCTTACATGTTTAGGTCTTACGTGTTTAGAGCCTCCTGTCTTGTGCTTGCATTGAGGATATCTCAACACAATAAGAAACTAGTCTATAGCTTCTTTATTTAATCCCCAGTTGTAGGGAAAAAAAGTTGTCCTTGCCACAACTTTCTATGAAGCCCATGAAACCCTTCTTGAGCCAGGGCCTCCAGCAATGGTCTCAAACTCACTTCCAGCTTTCATCACTGCGAATCAGGAGGTCCATGCCAGCCCCTCTCAGGGCTTTGAATTTCTTGTCAATCTTACAACCTGTTAAATTATTTATCTTTTTTTGAGAGAAGTTATGTCTCAGTGGTTTCTCTTTGTGAATTTTATATATTCCTTCTAAATGCCTGAGGCAGAGTAGGGTATCGAAGTGTGAATTGTTTGTTATATCTTCACTGGACATCAGATATGCCTTTTAGAAAGAACATTCTGGCAGCAGGAGGAGGACCAGATTGCAGGGAGTGTTTCTATTAGACCAGTAAGAGGGCTGTTGCAATAGTTTACACATGATTAAAAAGTTCCCCTAAGCCAAATAATTGACTGTTGTAGTAGAAAAATGGGGATTGATTCAGGAGATTATTCAATGGAAGAACAAGTAAATTGCTGTAAAGCTAGATATTGAAGAAATATAGGAAAAAATCCAGACTTTTAATAACATTCATTGAATGCTTATAGTGTTCACATGTCTAAGTCAAATGTTAAATACGTTGTCTTTTTTACTATAATATTAGAAGCAATTTTATAAAGTACATTCTTGGACAAGGTGACAAAGCTGAGGCTTGCATACCCAGGATTCAAACTTAGGTGGTCTGTTTCCAGAATCATCATTATTAATCTCAAGATTGTACTCAAGATTGTAGCAATCTGTAGTGTAGTTGAGCTATCCATAGGAAGAGACAGCTGTGAATGTGAATGAGTTTAAACTGCCAGACTGAGGAAAATGCATAAAAATTGATAGCATCAAATAAGAAAAATATTTCCCTTTTTAAAAAAACCTTTAAGTTCAGGGGTGCAGGTGAAGGTTTGTTACATAGGTAAACTTGTGTCATGGGGGTTTTCTGTACAAATCATTTCATCGTCCAGGCATTAAGCCTAGTACCCATTAGTTATTTTTTCTGATCCTCTTCCTCCTCCCAGCCTCCACCCTCTGAAAGTACCCAGTGTGTGTTGTTCCCCTCTGTATATCCATGTGTTCTCATTATTTAGCTCCCACTTATAAGTAAGAACATGAGGTATTTGGTTTTCTGTTTCTGTGTTAGTTTGCTAAGGATAATGGCTTCCAGCTCCATCCATGTGCCTGCAAAGGACATAGCCTTGTTCTTTTTCTTGTTCTTTTTTATGGCTGCATATTTTTCCATGGTGTATCTTCTTTATCCAGTCTATCATTAATGGGCATTTAAGTAGATTCCATGTCTTTGCTATTTTGAATAGTGCTGCAATGAACATATGCGCGCATGTGTCTTTACAGTGGAATGATTTATATTCCTTCAGGTATACACCTGGAAATGAGATCACTGGGTCAATGGTATTTCTGTCTATGTCTTTCAGGAATCACTACACTGTCTTCCACAATGGCTGAACTAATTTATACTCCCACCAACAGTGTATGTAAGTGTTCCTTAAGAAAAAATGTGCTTACACGAATAAATTAAAGTCTCCTCTAGCAAACAGAGTCAGAGACCATGGGTTGAGCCAAAACTCATCTGGGTGTAATTTTAGTGAATTCTCTTATTCTTTCCTTGTACTTTATCTAAAAGAGAAGCACTTAATTTATTCCTAAATTTCTTGTGTTTTATGATTTTTTGCTCTAATGATAGATATTTGTAAAATCCTTACTCATATAAACAAAAAATAGTGCCTTTAAAACTATAGTCAATAATGTCAGGCTCATTGCAGATTCAGAAGTGCTATTTCAATGGCCTGTTTACCTAAAAGATGAATAGGAAAAGGTAGCAAAAATAAGCATAAATAATTTAGAAAAACGACAACCTCACCATTTATAACAATTTTCAAGTGATTAACCCCAAAACATAGGTTTTTGTTTCTTAACAAATAAATTCTTCAGTATAAAATATGAAAAGAATATTAATTATAAGGTGTCTTCAGTTTCTCTACTTCTTCCAACTCATTTATGAAGCTATAACTAAGGTGGGAGAGAAAATATTCTCAGTAATTTATGCCAATAGGAAAAAAGAAAACATGTGTAACCTATTTACACAATACAATAACAGTTTTAATTATAAGGTGCATATTGAAAGTCATTTTATGTGCCATTTTCTGTATTTTGACCATCAGATTAAAAAATAACTTTTACTTAACTGGAGTATTCCATTCTATGAAAAAATTATTTATTAAACACTTTTATGTACTGGGAAATGACCAGGTTATAAATAAGAGCAAGTCCTTTTTTTTCCCCATCAACATTTATTTTATGTTCTGGGGTACATGGGTAGGATGTGCAGGTTTGTTACCTAGGTAACAAACCATGTGTGCCATGGTGATTTGCTGCACAGATCTACCCATTACTTAAGCAATAAGCCCAGTATTCATTAGCTATACTTCCTGATGCTCTCCCTCCCCCAATGGCCCTCAGTAGAACCCAGTGTATGATGTTTCCCCCAATGTGTTCATGTGTTCTAGGGCCAAGTTCATATAACAACAGAAGAATAAGATTTCTTCAAAGAGGGAGTAGTTCAAAGTAATTGGAATTTGAGTTTAGCCTCAAAGAACAGAAAGATTTCAACCGTGGAGAAGGTGGAGAACATTCCCTATGAGCATGAAGGTGAAGGTGGAAGTGGGAGTCTACATTGGTTTGCTTTAATTGGTGATAGGGATTTTGCCACTTGGGTTAGGACATAGGTCACTTAGACCTCAGTAGTAGATTAGAGTGGAAATGCCGAGTCAACAGATTATGTAGTAGATTATTTATCAGGCAGGCAAGAATTTGCCAAAATAACACTTCCTTTAAATTTCACATCGGTTGCTTGCCATTTATATTTACCTCTAAATGCTCAGTTATCTCTAATTTTTGCCTTTTTTATAAAATTTTTGAGAATAATTTTTTATTTAAACATCTATTTATTTTTCTTTTCTCTCCAGTATTTAAATATATCTGGAAGTCAATTTTTCTCAGAGGTTGGGGAACATAGATTTTGCATTTTTATTTGTATGCAAGTGGATTGATTTCTGACTTTTTTCAGAAACGATAGGAACTAACATATCAGAAGATGAATTAGGTATAACGAGTAATCTTCCTCTGCACTTACTGTGTTCTTATCCTTTCTCTTCTTGAGAGCCACAAAGCTAGCTTCACACAAGCCAAGACCTAATTTAACTAAAATGAAGAATTTTAATAAGATGTGAGTTATTGTGCAGCAGCTATTTGGAAAACAATGTCATTAATTTAGCTACTGCTATGAAGTATTCTTTCACAATAAAATCAAAACTCCAAACATTCCCAATTATTTCTGCTTAATGAAGCATGAGGGGGTTTTGCCATTTCCTTAGAAATAGTAAGCAATACTGTAAAGCAAATTTATTTAGTAGAAAAAAAGTGATACATTAAAGTTTTGTTAATGGCGGTGTAGTTATCTCGTGAAAGACAGTTGGAAAGGTAATTATAACATGCAAATTAGTTTTCATGGGGCTGCATATTAAAATTATATATTAATGTACAGCATCTCGAGTTCCAACCTGTGCTTAGGCCTTTCCCAGGTAAGCAAGTTACTGAGGCTTTTGTGTTACATTTGTGGTCTCTCTACTCATAATTCCATTGTACTATTTTATTTAAAGTCTTCTAACGTTCTTGTCTAAAATCTGTCTTTTTTCCTGTTTTTATTTCCGGTTTATGAGATAAGTTATTTCTGTAACCCCCTCAATTGTTCACTTTCCTCTTACTTATCCATCTGTATCATTACTACAGTTTTCTTAAATCATCAATATGTTCAATATTGTTGTTAAACAGAGTATAACCAAAACAAAGAAATGAACCATTCTCAGAAAGTTCAATACTATGACATTGTGATGATTAATATTAGGTGCATTTAATGTTGCAGCTTGGGAAGGTAAGAAGATTCTAAGTTTATTTTCTTGGTCAGCTGAAACATGGATCAAAAGATGGCCCACTGTGAGCAAGCTGGAAATGCCCGATCTTCCTTGGTTTAGTGTACAGGAAGGGATCCAAAGGCTTAGGGATATTGGAATGCTAGATTGGATTTGTCATTTGAGATCTACATATCCCAACTGGGAGGGTCCAGAAGACATACCCTTCATCAATACCTTGCAAAATAGATTTGTGAGGGGAGTGCCTGCATCCTTGAAGAGCTCTGTGATTGCTCTTCTCTGGTGGTGGCACTCAACCGTCAGAAGCAAGGTGGTCATAGTTACCATAATAGACAGCAAGGCAAAGCAGCAATCAGAATAGTCTGACTCATGTAGAGCTCTGGCATTGGCTAATTAATCATAGTGTTCCTAGAAATGAAATCGATAGGAAGCCTACTACACTGTTACTTAATTTGTATAAGCAGAAAACTTCCAGGTCCAGTGGACAAAAGACTAATTTGAATTATAAACATAGAGCATCACCGCCCCTCAATCAATTTCCAGATTTGAGCCAGTTTACAGATCCAGGAACCCTTGAATGAAGGGGAGGCCAAGTCCCTTTGAGGAACCCCCACTACACTACCCACAATTATACTGTTAATCTTTCTCCCATCTTTCCCCAAGGAGACCTCCGCCCTTTTACCAGGGTAACTGTGCATTGGGGAAAGGGAAATAATCAGACCTTTCAGGGACTACTGAACACTACTTCTGAGGTGACATTGATTCCAGGGGACCCAAAATGTCACTGTGGCCCTCAAGTTAGAGGAGGGGCTTGTGAATGTCAGGTAATTAATGGAGTTGTAGCTCAAGTCTGACCTACAGTGGGTCCAGTGGGTCCCTGGACTCATCCTGTGGTCATTTCTCCAGTGCCAGAATGCATAATTGGCATGGATATACTTAGTAGTTAGCAGAATCCCCACATAGGCTCCCTGACCAGTACGGTGAGGGCTATTATTGTGGCAAAGGCCAAATGGAAGCTATTAGAGCTGCCTCTACCTAGAAAAATAGTAAATCAAAACCAATATCTCATCCCTGGAGGGATTGCTGAGATCAGTGCCACCATCAAGGACTTAAAGGACGCAAAGGTGGTGATTCCCACCACATCTTAATTCAGCTCTCCCATTTGGCCTGTGCAGAAGACAGATGGACCTTGGAGAATGACAATGGATTATCATAAGCTTAACCAAGTGGTGACTCCAATTGCAGCTGCTGTGCCAGGTGTGGTTTCATTGCTTGAGTAAATTAACAAACCTCCTGGTACTTGGTATGCAGCCATTGATTTGGCAAATGCCTTTTTCACTATTCCTGTTCATAAAGCCTACCAGAAGCAATTTTCCTTCAGCTGGCAAAGCCAGCAACACACCTTCATTGTTCTACCTCAGGGTATATCAACTATTTGGCTTTGTGTCACAATCTTGTTTGCAGCAATCTTGATAGCTTTTTCCTTCCACAAGATATCACACATGTTCATTACATTGATGACATTATGTTGATTGGACCCAGTGAGCAAGAAGTAGCAACCACACTGGACTTATTGGTGAGATATTTGTGTTCCAGAGGATGGGAAATAAATCCAACTAAAATTCAGGGACCTTCTACCTCAGTGAAAATTTTGGGGGTCCAGTGGCAGTGGTTGTTGCATTTGGTTCTTCCTACAACCATGAAAAAGGCACAATGCCTAGTAGGCCTATTTGGATGTTGGAGGCAACACATTCCTCATTTGGGTGTATTACTCCAGTCCAAATATCGAGTTACCTAAAAGGGCAGTGGTTTGTCCTCACTAGAATAGACACTTACTCTGGATATGGATTTGCCTATCCTGCACACAATGCTTCTGCCAAGACTACCGTGCATATACTCACAGAATGCTTTTCCCCTGTCATGGTATTCCATACAGCATTGCCTCTGACCAAGGCACTCACTTCACAGCTAAAGAAGTGTGGCAGTGGGCTCATACTCATGGAATTTACTGGTCTTACCATGTTCTCCTTCATCCTCAAGCAGCTGCCTTGATAAAATGGTGAAGTGGCCTTTTGAAGTCACAATTACAATGCCAATTAGGTGACAATACTTTGCAGGGCTAGGGCAAAGTTCTCCAGGAGGATGTGTATACTCTGAATCAGCGTCCAATATATGGTACTCTTTCTCCCATAGCCAGGATTCATGGGTCCAGGAGTCAAGGAGTGAAAGTGGCACCACTCACCATCACCCCTAGTGACCCACTAGCAAAATTTTTGCTTCCTGTTCCCATGACATTAAATTCTGCTGGCCTAGAGGCCTTAGTTCCAGAGGGAGGAATGCTGCCACCAGGACATAAAATGATTCCATTAAACTGGAAGTTAAGGTTACCACCTGGCCACTTTGGGCTCCTCCTGTCTTTAAATCAACAGGCTAAGAAGGAAGTTACAATGTTGTCTGGGGTGACTGACCCAGACTATCAAGATGAAATCAGACTACTACTCCACAATGGAGGAAAGGCAGAGTATTAATGAAATACAGGAGATCCCTTAGGGTGTCTCTGTACTACCATGCCTTGTGATTAAGGTCAATGAGAAACTACAGCAACCCAATTCAAACAGGGCTACAAATGGCCCATAACCTTCAGCAATGAAAGTTTGGGGCACTTCACCGGGTAAAAAACCACAACCAATACCTGGTTATCAATACCAGTTGCAGAAACGAGGACTGTCGTTGTCATGAATATTTCCTCCCTATTGTGTTAAGAATATGTTTGTGCATGTATATGCTTGTACTAAGAAAATATTTTCATTTTATCTTTTCTTTTTCCTTTATAATGTGGCAGAAGATTTACTGACTTCATATCAACATTTAACTGTTGTTAACTTTATGTGATAGCATTTAGGTTAAGGATTAGTGTGCTTCCCATTGTATAAAGGGTAGCTGTGTTATGTTAGGCATAATTATGATCTTGTTATTGTCTTTATTTGGAGATTAAGTATAATTTCAGGAGACGTGTATGGGTGCCAAGCTGACAGGTGTTGGACTTGTGAGGGTTAGTATTAGGTGTCAACTTGATTGGATTAAAGGATGCCTTGATGGCTAATAAAGTGTTGTTTCTGGGTGTGTCTGTGAGTGTGTTGCCAGAGGAGAGTGGCATTTGAGTCAGTGGACCGGGAGAGGAAGACCCACCCTCAGTGTGGGTGGGCACCATTCAATCAGCTGCCAGCATGGCTAAAAGAAAGCAGGCAGAAGAAGGTGGGATAAACTGGCTTGCTGAGGCTTCTCACTTTCATCTTTTTCTTGTGCTGGATGCTTCTTTCCATTACTCCTGCCCTTGGACATCAGACTCCAGGTTCTTTGGCCTTTGGACTCTTGGACTCTTTTTACGGATCAATATTAAATAACTTTGATGACTTAAACCCCATCACCGGAGATTCTGTGTTAATTGGAATGTCACAGAAGATTGTTGTCTTTTACAAGTTCACCAAGTGGTACTGATATAATTCCAGGACAAAGAACCTCTGCTTTATGTTCTTAGGAATGACATTAATGT
The DNA here is from genome assembly GCF_000001405.40 of Homo sapiens. Lineage (NCBI taxonomy): Eukaryota > Metazoa > Chordata > Mammalia > Primates > Hominidae > Homo > Homo sapiens. The sequence goes on along the minus strand of NC_000018.10, from coordinate 29,296,530 downwards.
ACTCTAAGTACACTCTACTACACTTAGTTTCTAAATTTATTATGTTATAGTCTGATCAAAAGTTTATGAGTGCTTTCATTTTTATGCAGTATCATCTACACTTAGAATTTTCAGTTCTTTAAAAAATTTTCCAAAATGATATTACATTACTATTTTAACTTGAATCAGTATGATTTATCTGTATTATGATTATTAGACATTTGACATAAGAATTTTTGTTCATTACTTCTTATTTATATTTTCCCTTTATTCCCTTAGGCTAAATATTTGTTTTTTTCACTGGGGAGTTATAGCATTTAATTTTTGTAGTCTAAATCTTAATATTCTATCAGTTATGTATGTTACATATATCTCTCTAATTCTGTGGTTTACTTCATTTTAGGCTTTTGTTTTGCTTTATGTTTTAATATACCAAAGTTATCAGTTGCTTCCTTTATAATTTGTCTATTTAGGGAGTTTTAAAATAAGTCTTCTAAACATAAATCTATAAAAATATATTTTCTATACATTCTAAATATTTTGAAGATTTACTTTTCCCATTTAAGTATTCAGCTTATGAGAAATAGGCTGTTTGAGTAATATGGAGTAGGAATTCAGCTGTAGTTTTTATTCATATGGATAACTAATTGTCCCAACACCATTAATTTTATTGTTCACTTTTTCCATGAATGGGTCTGTTATTCTATGACTAACAAACATTTAAAATTATTATTCTGTGTATTCTATCAAGTTTCTGGAATGTAATTCCTATTCTTTTTTTTTTGCTTTGTTTTTGTTTTGCTAATTTTTTTATTAGCCATTCTGAAAATGTCCACAAATGTTTTAAGATAAAACCATAAAAATTTACAAAACACACATTCACACACACACACACACACACACACATACATATACGTACTCCAGAGATTTCAGTTGAATTTAAATTGAATTTATATATGGTAATTTGGAAGCTTTGCATCACTTCTAAAATATTTGTTGTTTTAACTATTGATGAGTATGGTGTACATATTTACTTATTCATGTCTTTATTAATGACTTGAAGTTTTTTTAACTTTTATTTTAAGTTCAGGGGTACATGTACAGGTTTGTTACATAGATAAACTTGAGTCAGGGGCGTTTGTTGTACATATTATTTTATCACCCAGGTATAAAGCCGATATTCTTATTTTTTTTCCTGATACTTTCCCTCCTCCCACCTTTCACCCTCCGAAAAGTCCCACTATGTTTCCATGTGTTCTCATCATTTAGCTGCCACTTATAAGTAAGAACATGCAGTATTTGGTTTTGTTCCTGTGTTAGTTTGCTAAAAATAATGGCCTCCAGTTCCATCCATGTTCTTGCAAAGGATATGATCTTCTTTTTATGGCTGCATAGTATTCCATGGTGTTTATCTATCACATTTTCATTATCCATTCTATCATTAATGGGCATTTAGGTGGATTCCATGTCTTTGCCATTGTGAATAGTACTGCAGTTTTATAATTTACTGAATAAATATTGTATCTTTCCTTGATATATTGTTAGGTACTTTGGAAATTTGATTTTGATTATAAATAATATAATTTTCAACTTTTAAATGAACTTTTAATTTGAGAATAGTTCAAGATTTACAGAAAAATTTCAGAGATAATATAGAGAACTCTCATATATTCCACACCCAGCTTCCTTTATTTCAAGCCAGTTGTTGAATTATATGGTATGGTTATATTTACCATTATGAGAAACTACCAAAGTGTCTTCCAAAGTGACTAAACTATTTTACATTCCCTTCAACAATGAAGAAGAGTTCCTATCAGTTTGTGTCCTCAGCAGACATTTGAATTTCAATTTCGGGATTTAGGCCACTTATAAGTATGCCGTGATGTCTCATTTTTCTTTTGATTTGCATTTTCCTAATAACATGATGTAAACCACCTTTTCACATGCTTATTTGCAATCTATATTTTCCTTGGAATGGTAGCTGTTCAGATATTTGGCTCATACATTTAATTGGGTAGATTGATTTTTTTCTTTTACTTTGACTGGTAAATGTTCTTTCCATGTTTTAATCCGACTTCGTTCATAGATACATGTTTTGCAAATGTGCTCTCCCAGTCTGTGGCTTGTTACTCCATTCTCTTAACAGTGTCTCAGGAAGCAGAAGTTTTTAGTTTTAAGAAATCTAATTGAATAAATTTTGTTATTTAATTATTAATTGTAATGTCCAGATGAACAATTATTTTATGGATCATACTTTTATATTGCATCTGAAAACATGTATCCAAATCCAAGATCACAAAGATTTCCTCATATGCTCACTTCTTCAAATCATATAGCTTTACATTCTACATTTAGGTCCCTTACCCATTTCCATTTTTTTTTTTTATGAGTTGTAGGATCTGTGTCTAGGTTTGTTTATTTATTTGTTTGTAGGTGTCAAATTTTTCAGGTACCACTTGTTTAAAAGGCCACCTTTTCTCCACTGAATAGCCTTTGTGAAGTTGTCAATATTTATAAAATACCTTGTGAAGATTTTGATGGAATTGCATTAAATTGATAGGTCGCGTTTGGAAGCACTGACATCTTAACAATTGAGTTTTCTAATCCATGATCACATGATATATCTCCATTTATTTAAATTTTCCTTGTAGTTTCAGCATGCAGATTCTTACTTATTTTGTTAGATGTATACATGTTGCATATTTCTGGATGCTATTGTAAATGTATTTTTTAACTTCAAATTTTGATTGTTAATTGTTAGTGTATTTGAAATTAGAATAATTGATTTTTGAAAATTGAACCAGCCTTTGTACCTGAAATAAATCCCAGTTGGATGTGGTCTGTAATAAATGTAACACATTGTTATATTAGGGTTGCTAATATTTTGCTGATGGTTTGTGCCTCTGTGTTCATGAGAGGTATTGGTCTATAGTTTTCTTATGCATGTCTGCATATGGTTTAGTATTAGCATAATGCTGGCCTCAAAGAATGACTTAGGAAGTACGTCCTTTGCTTCCTTTTTCTGGAAGAAATTTTGGACAACAGGTAATACTTTTTCCTTAAATGTTTGATCAAAATAAACAGTGAAACTAAAATTGGCAAGGTGTCATTTTTTAGGTTATTATCAGTTTCACTTATTTAAAAAATGAAAATCTATTCAAATTATCTATTTCTTTCATGAATTTTTTGTACTTTGTGTCTTGGAGAAATTGATTCATTCTATCCACATTATAAATTTGCAGAAATAGATTTTTTATAGTGTCTCTCTCCTTAAATATTTAACATTTATAATATTTTTAGTTAAAAATCATAAATGTATTGCATTTATAGAGTATAATGTGATATTTTGATACACACACACACAAAATGCGGAGTGATTAAATCAAGCTAATTAACATATCCACCACCTCACTTACTGGACATTTTTTGTGATGATACATTTGGAATTTACTTTTAGTACTTTTGAAATACACATTGTTATTGACTTTAATCACCCTGCTATGCATTGGATTTCAAAACTTATTCCTCCTGACTAGCTAAAATTTTGTACCCTTTGATCAGTAACTCCCCATTACCTCACTTGTCTTTCCCATCAGACACTGATAACTATCATTCTACTCTCTCTTTCTATGAATTCAACTCTTTCAAGATTCCACATATAAATGAGATCATGCAGTATTTGTCTTTCTGTGCCTGGCTTATTTCATTTAGCATAGTGTCCTCTATACATACCCATGTGGTCTCAAATGACAGAATTTTGTTCTTTCTTAAAGTTGAATAGTATTTTATTTTGTATACAGATGTACATATATTGTAAGTTCAGTTCTGGACAACTGAAATAAAGCAAATGTTGGAATAAAATGAGTCACATTTTTTGTTTTCCCAGTTCCTATAAAAGTTATATTCATATGACACTGCAGTCTATTAAGTGTGCAATAACATTATGTCTTAAAAAACAATGTACATACCTTAATTTAAAAATAATTTATTGTCAAAAATACCAATGATACTCTGAGCCTTCAGCAAGTTATAATCTTTCTGCTGGTAGAGAGTCTTGCTTCAATATTGATGGCTGCTGACTGATCAGGATGGTAGTTGCTGAAGGTGGAGGTGGATGTGGATGTGGCAGTTTCTTAAAACAGAACAAATATGAAGTTTGCCACATCAATCGATTCTTCCTTTCATGAAAGATTTTTTCTGTACTATGTGATGCTGTTTGATAGCATGTTACCCACAGTAGGACTTCTTTCAAAATTGGAGTCAATGCTCTCATACCCTGCTGCTGCTTTATCAACTAAGTTTATGTCATATTCAAAATCTTTGTTTTCATTTCAACAATGTTCACAGCGTCTTTACCAGAAGTAAATTCCATCTCAAGAAACCACTTTCTATGCTCATCCTTAGGAAACAACTCTTCATTTATTAAAATTTTATCATAAGATTGCAGTAATTATTCACATCTTCAGGTTCCACTTATAATTCTAGTTCTTTTGCATTTTCCATTACATCTGCAGTTCCTTCCTCCACTGAAGTCTTGAACCCCGCAAAGTTATCCAGGACGGCTTGAATCAACTTCTTCCAAACTCCTGTTAATGTTGTTATTTTAACCTCCTCCCATGAATCTATGTTAATGGCATCTAAAATGGTAAATCCTTTTCAGAAGGTTTTCAATTTACTTTGCGTAGATCCATTAGAGAAATCACTATCTATGGTAGCTATAGCCTCACAAAATGTATTTCTTAAAAAATAAGATGTAAAAGTCAAAATTACTCCTTGTTCCATGGGCTACAGAATGTATGTTGCTTTAACACACATGAAAAGAACATTTAATCTTATGTACATGTGCATCAGAGCTCTTGGGTGACCTGGTACTTTGTCAATCTTTTCATAATATGAAGACTTTTTTTATATGAGCAGGAGGTCTCAATGTTGGGTTTATAATATTCAGTAACCCATGCTGTAAAACAGAGGTGCTGTCATCCAGTCTTTGGTGTTCCGTTTATAGAGCAGAGTAGATTTTTTTTTTTTTTTTTTTTTTTTTAGACGGAGTCTCTCGCTCTGTCGCCCAGGCCGGAGTGCTGTGGCGCGATCTCAGCTCACTGCAAGCTCCGCCTCCCGGGTTCACGCCATTCTCCTGCCTCAGCCACGGGAGTAGCTGGGACTACAGACGCCCGCCAACATGCCCAGCTAATTTTTTTTTGTATTTTTAGTGGAGATGGGGTTTCACCGTGTTAGCCAGGATGGTCTCGATCTCCTGACCTAGTGATCCGCCCGCCTCGGCCTCCCAAAGTGCTGGGATTACAGGCGTGAGCCACCGCGGCCGGCCTCAGCATAATTCTTAGGGTCCCTAGGATTTCAGAATGGCAAAAGAGCACTCGCTTCCGCTTAAAATCATCATATGCATTAGCCCCTAACAAGAGAGTCAGCTTGTCCTTCCAAGCTTTGAAGCCAGATACTGACTTTCTGTCTAGCTCGGAAAGTCCTAATCACCTTTTCATATAAAGCTGTTTTGTTTCCATGGAAAATCAGTTGTTTAGTGTATTCATCAATTATCATAGCTAGATATTTTCGATAACTTTCTGTAGCTTGTACATCAACACTTACTTCTTCACCTTGCACTTTTATCTTCTAGAGATGGCCTCCTTCCTTGAACCTCATAAGCCAACCTCTGCTAGCTTGAAACTTTTTTTTTTCCTTCCTGCAGCTTCCTCACCTCTCCCAGCCTTCATAGAATTGAAGACAATTAAGAACTTGTTCTGGATTAGGCTTTGGTTCAAGGGAATGTGTGGCTAGTTTGATCGTCTATCTAGACTACTCAAAGTTTCTCCATATCAGCAATATGGCTGTTTAATTTTCCTATTACTTACATCTTCATGGGAGTAGCACTTAGTTTCCCTCAATAACTTTCCTTGGCATTCACAACTTGTCTGTTTGGCCCACCTTGCTTTTGGCCTATCTCAGCTTTTGAAATGCTTTCCTTACTAAATGTAATTATTTCTAGCTGTTGATTTACAGTGAGAGACGTGTGACTCTCCCTTTCACTTGAATACATAGAGGGCATTGTAGGGTTATTAATTGGCCTAATTTCAATATTATTGTGTCTTAGCATATAAGGAGACCTGAGAAGAGGGAGACAGATGGGGGAACAGGAAGTGGTTAGAGCAGTCAGAACACACACAACATTTATGGATTAAGTTTGCCATCTTATATGGGCAAGGTTTCTGGTGCCCTCAAATAATTATTACAATAGTAACATCAAGATCACTGATCATCATAACAAATATAGCAATCATAAAAAGTTTGAAATATTTAAGAATTACCAAAATGTGACCCAGAGATACAAAGTAAACACGGGCTACTAGAAAAAAATGGCACTGATAGACTTGCTTAATGTATGGTTGCCACAAACCTTCAATTTGTAAAAAATGCAATATCTGCAAATTGCAACAAGGCAAAGCATGATAAAACACGGTATCCCTGTATATACCACATTTGATTTATCCATTCTTCTGTTGATAGACACTTTGGTTGATTTCTTATCTTGGGTACTGTGAGTAATACTACAATGAACATTGGAGTGCAGGTATTTCTTTGACATGCTTATATCAGTTTCTTTGGATGTATTTCCAAAATTGGGTTTGTTGGATCATATAGTAGTTCTAGTTTCAGTCTTTTGAGGAATCTCCATATTGTGTTCCATTATGGCAGCACCAATTTAGAATACTGTAAACAGTGGCAAAAGTTCTCTTTTCTCTGCAATCCTTGCCAATACTTTCTTTCTTTTTTTGGAATTTAATTTTTTTTCTTAAGTATTCATTTCCATTTTATAGAAATACAATTTGTTTCATTGTACTGGCCTTATAAACTACAATCTTGCTAAATTTAATTATTTTAACATTTTATTTTAGTAGACAAATAATAATTGATGTATTTATGGATAAATGCCCTTCTAACAAATGTAAGGTGATAAATCATTGTGGTTTTAATTTGAATCTCCCTAATGACTAGTTATATTAAGCATTTTCTCATGAACCCATTGGTCATTTGCATGTCTCAGTTTGAGAAGGGTCTCTTAAGGTCCTTTGCCCAATTTTTGGTATTTTATTTTTTAAATTGACAGGTAAATCTGTGTGTGTTTATTGTGTACAACATGATCTTTTGAAATATATATACATGTGGAATGACTAAATCTAGTTAATTAAAATACATATTATTTCATGTTATTTTTGAGGTGAGAACACTTAACACCTGCTCTCCTAGCATTTTCAAGAATACCATATGTTGGTATTAACTTAGTTACCATCTTGTACAATAGATCTCTTGAATTTATTTTTCCTATCTAACTGAAGTTGTGTATCCTTTGACCATCTCCCCAAATCCCACCCTCACCAAAAATCCTAGCACCTGGTAACCACTATTCTACTTTCTAGTTCTATGACATCACCTTTTTAAGATTTCATTTGTTAATTGGGTTGTCTTGCTATTGAGTTATGTGAATTCCTTATATATTTTGCATATTATCAGATGTATGGGTTGCAAATATTTTGCCCCAATTTGTGGGTGGTCATTTCACTTTGTTCACTGTTTCTTTTGCTGTACGGAAGTTTTTAGTTTGATACAATCCTATTTGTCTATGTTTGCTTTTCTTGGCTGAGCCTTTTGGGGTCATATCCAAAAAAATTTTGCCCGCACCAATGTCGTGGAGTTCTTCCCCTATGTTTTATTCTGGTAGTTTTATAGTTTCAAGTCTTATGTTTAAGTTTTTAATCCATTTTGAGTTGATTTTTGTGCATGATGTAAAATAAAGTTTTAATTTTTTTCTTCTACATCTGGATAACCAAGTTTCCCAGCCTCATTTATTAAGTAGACTATCCTTTCCCCATTGTGTATTCTTGGCATCTTTGTCAAAAATCAATTGACCATAAATGTGTTTTTGTTTCTAGGCCTTCTATCCTGATCCATTGGTCAGTGAGTCTGCTTTTATGCCAGTCCTAGGCATGAGTCTTCTTTCATTTCTGATATTGATCGTTATGTCCTCTCTTATTCTTGATTAGCATGGTCAGAATATTTTTAATTTTATTGATTTGTTTAAAAGAATAAGTTTTTGCCAGCTTCTGCGAAATAGGAAGAACCTGGCTGTATTAAAAAAAAAAAAAAAAGAAATAATTAGCTGGGTGTGGTGGTGCATGCCTGTGATCCCAGCTACTGAGGAGGCTGAGGCAGGAGGATCACTTGAGTCCAGGAGGTCAAGGCTGCAGTGAGCAGTGATTGTGCCACTGCATTCTGACCTGGGCCACAGAGTGAGACCCTGTCTCAGTAATAATAATAATAATAATAATAATAATAATAATAATGTTTTTGGTTTCATATTTTTAAAATCACTTTTGTATTTTTAATTTCATCAATTTCTAGTTTAATTTTTATTATTGCTTGTTTTAGCTTTATTTACTCTTTTTTCCCTAATTTTCTATTGATTATAAATTTTTCTTCTTTAATAATATGAATTAATGCTATACATTTTTCTATAAGCCCTGCTTTCACAGCGTTCTATGCATTTAGTTAAAAATATATTAAATTTATTCTGAAACTTCTTTGATCCATGGGTTATTTAGGAGTGTTATTCTATAATTATTTCATTTTTATTATATATTTATTAGTTGTCTTCTTTGTAGGAATGGAGTCTTGCTTTTTTGTCCAGGCTAGTCTCCAACTCCTGGCTTCAAGTGACCCTCCTGCCTTGGCCTCCCAAAGTGCTGGAATTACAGACATGAGCCAGTGTACCTGGCTTAGAAATGTTGTTTAATTTATAGATATTTGGAGTTTTTCATATATCTTTCTGTTAATGGTTTCTATTTGAATTCCATTATATTCAGATATACTTTTTATGAGCTTTATTTTTAAAAATTTGTTACAGTGTGTGTTATGTAAGTAAATTAATTCACCTTTATGTAAGACTCTGCCTTAGAAATTGTTTCCTAAATAATTCAACCAGTGATATTTTGTTACAAAAAAACAAATTACCTCAAAATAAGACTTGAGAGTTGAAAACATCAGCCTAGTAAAAGTAAGAACTGCATCACAAGTGATAGGCGAAGTATCAGTAGCCGCTGGTGTGATGCAGCAATGCAGTTATTAAAACCTTCACTGGTAGTGAACTGTAATTGTCAACTTTTGGTAGGGGATGCATTGGAGGGTGCAATATCTTCAGCCATTGAGAGATATGGGAAAAGCAGTAATTAGATGTTTATTGTTCAGGGCTGTTTATGGGGGGACGACAAAGACAAGATGAGAATAATTAAACATCACTTTGAGGCAAATAGTAATAGCCAGAAATTCTCCTTAGAGGCATAAACCAAACATTTCATCTCCTGCAGCTGGAGGGCAAATAAAAGAAAGCTGAGGGTCTAGCACAGGACTTAATCAGTGAGTAGCAGAGCTCCAGAGAAAATTAAACTCTCCATCCAGAGAAAGCTGCTTCATTAAGGTCAGAACTGGGAAGGAAGGGGACACTGATATTTAAAAGGGAAACATCTGGATTGATGCATAGAAATTCTAGAACGCCCAGATTTCCCTGAATCTTCCATGCCTACCTAATGGGCTCATTTCTCTCTATTGAAAGGTGGTGTTCCCCCTTGCTTGGAGGAAATGCAGAGACTGCCTTGTGCCTCCTTCGTGAAATTTCTCTCTTCTTGCCCACAAAACCAACAACATGATCTAGCTAGGGAAGTGACAGACTTGCTACAAAAAGACATTATCTGTAATCCAAAGGCGCTGCGTTACATAGTCAGTAAATACTGGCAGGAACCAAGAGAGTACGTACAGGACTGAATCCTGAGGGTGCTGGATCAAAGGAGTTGAAATATACCATTGGATATAGAAAAGTATGTCAACACGTCATTATTGTATAAGATGCAGAATTGTATACCTTGACAATGACCCCATTAGAATGAGTTTGGATTGCTCTCAGAAGCAGTAGCCACAGAATAAGTGAAGTAGAAATATGAAAACTGTATGAAATATGGTAGAAGTAGAGACCAAAGTCTTAGAGAAGTAGGCATGCTAAAGTGAATAAACAATATGTTATGAGAGGGCCTGAAGGATACTTCCCAGAGTGATGTGGAGTGCTCTAGTGAAAAAGTCATCAGAATCTCTGAGAAGCTCCATAGTGCCTGTCATTTGCAGGTCAGGGCTAATAATGTGAGATGCTGTAGAGAATTTGCCTCTCTGGGAATGACAGGGAATGACTGGGACTTAAAAATCAGAGAGGACCGGGGGCAGCACTTAATCATCATAAGTAAGGTCAGTGCAATTATTGTAAAAAGTGGTAAGACTAGAATTCTAGCCAAATTATACTAACCCAAAGAGAGATATAGACATGTTGAGAGAGCAAGGGTTTTTCTAGGAAAAACGTAGACAGGCTACCAATAAGTATATTGATCAATGTATACAATCAAAAAAAAAATCAAGGATGGATGATCACGAATCTGAGGGCAGCCACCCCAGTGAATAGACAAGTTTTGGCTTAGTTGCTGGACCTACTTTTCTGACCTGGAACCCTTTGGAAGGCAAGAGTGTCAAATAAAACACAAATCTGGACAGAAGTTGAAAAAATTAATTCAACAGCTTATTGCCATAAATGGGGGGGATTATTATTATTATAGATTAATAGGAACTTGCAGTAGAGAGAAAGCTTCAAATATAGGAGGTATTAGTGTCTCAATAGGCAAAAAAAAGAGGTTTTCTTTTATAGAGTGATATGGTTTGGCTCTGTGTTCCCAACCAAATCTTATATTGAATTGTAATCCCCAGGGTTGAAGGTGGGACTTGGTGAGAGGTGACTGGATCATGGGGGTGGTTTCTAATGACTCAGCACCCACCCCCGGTGCTGCCTTGTGACAGAGTTCTCACAAGATATGGTTGTTTAAAAGTGTGTAGCACCTACCTCTTCACTCTCTTTCCTGCTCCACCATGTGAAGATGTGCCTGCTTCCCCTCCACCTTCCACCATGATTGTAAGTTCCTAAGGCCTCCACTGCCGTGCTTCCTGTATAGCCTGTGGAACTGTGAATCAGTTATAACTCTTTTCTTCATAAATTACCCAGTCTTGGGTAGTTTTTATTAGGAATGAGAGAATGGAATAATATATAGAGAGAAGTAAAAAAGCAAAAAGAAACTTCATATTGGGAGTAGGATGAGTGGGTGGCATGATCAGACAGTCAGTGATTGTTCCTGAGGGCAGTTAATTCTCAGGAAGGACCATATAAGGAGCAGGTTTTCCAGATCTCAAGCTCACTAAGGATTGGAAATGAGCCAAACTTAATGGTCCCATGAGGAGGAGAGAAGCTTAACTAAAATTTGATCAAGTTAACAAGCACTTTACTTTGAATGATTAATGGGGAAGAATAGTTCAACAATTATTTATGAGACACAGAATGAGAATTTGGAGGGTCTGTTCTGATCTTGTCTTCATTTGGGTTGCTGTAACAAAATGTCATAAACTAGGTGGTTTATAAACAACATAAATTTATTTCTCACAGATCTGGAGACTGAAAAGTCCAAAATCAAGGCACTGGTCAAACTTGATGTCTGGAATCAGCCTGTTTTCTTATTCACAGAAGGTACCTTTCACTGTGTCCTCACAAGGGTGAAGGGGCTACCGTCTCTGGAGGCTCTGAGAAGGGCACTAATTCCATTAATGAGGGCTCTGCCCAAAATGACTTCCCAAAAGTTTCTTCTCTTAATACCATGACATTAGGGATTAGGGTTCAACATACGAATTTTGGCGGGGGCAGGGGGACTCAAATATTCAGACCATAGCACCTTGTCAAAGGTAAATAAGAGTTACCCAGGAGTCTTACCTGAGTCATATGGGAAGGCTGGTTCTTTGCAGTGAACATTTTTCTCCTATAAAAAAGAGTAGAGAGATTTCTTTAACCATCACTGTTATCTAGGATCACGGGGCTCTGACAAAGTTCAGCACTGTCAAGAGAAAGAACCCAGCAACATGACAGTAACTAAATATGGCAGTGATGATCCCCTATAGGGAACTATGGCCATTTACTCAGGTAAGTGTATCCTAGGAAAAAAAAAAGAATACCTGGGAATTTTTAATAAAGGAGTGAGTTGATATTGCTAGTGAGGAAACTAAAGCAACATCATGGGTCCCTTACTAGAGTGGAAGCGTATGTAAGCCAGGTAATACATGAGGTCTTGGCCCATATGTAGTTTACAGAGGATCTACTAGCTCTACAGAGTCATTCAATGGTAATTTCTCCAATCCCTATACCTACAACTGAAGTACATTAGATGTACCTGTTAGTTAGCAGAACTCATTGGTCTTGGAGTAAAAACTATTTATTAGGGAAGGCTGAGTAGGAACCTTTGAAACTTTCCCTACATCCAGGCAAAGAGTAATTAAAAGCAGTACTTTACTCCAGGGGCCATGGTAGGAGTTAGGCTCTCCCTCTAAAGTCTAGATGATGCCTGAGTTGTGGTGATCATCATATCCCAATTTCATTCACCTCTTTGGTACCTACAAAAAGTGAATGGGCCCTGTGGACTACTGCAAGTATAAAGAATTTGTTTTTCCAATCTTATTATTTTCCTATTCCTATGTGGAAAAAGGAACAGAAATAGAAATAGTTCACTTTCACTTAGGATGAATGATTACATACAAATATGGTTTTATTCAAGGGCTATGTTAGTATTCCAATCCAATGTCATATTGTAGTTCAAAGAGATCTAGACTATCTGGAACTTCTGCAGAATATCACATTAGCCCCTTTTATGACACCATGTTAATAACACCATGTTAATTAGGCCACATGAGAAAAGAGTGATAAATACATTGGAAGCCTTAGCAAGACACCAAATGTACTCCAAAAGATGGAAAATAAATTCCACTCATGTTTAAGAGCCAACTGCCTTAACAAAGTTCTTACAGGTGCAGAGGTCTGGGAAGACTCCCCAAAAGTAAAGAACAAATGATTGCACTTTATACCTGCACCCACCAAAAGGAAAGTATAAAATTGAATAGGTCTCTTTGGGTACAGGAAACAACATATTCCAGCTTGGGAGTTATTTCTCTCGGGACATGGAAGTTTGCAAGCCTTGAGTGGAGTCCAGTGGATCTAGGCTCTAGTGCAAGCAACCCTGTCACATTGGCCATACAATCTGGCTGACCCTATGATATTAGATCTATTGATGGTAGAAAAAAAATACTCTGGAATCTGTGGCCAGCTCCTGTAGGATAAATCCAAATTTGGTCCTTAGTAATGGGGAGCAAGGCCATGTCATCTGCAGCAAATAATCAGATGCTATGGTATTAGACCCTAAAAGAGAAGGTGTGCCTGTCTGGGGACACTAATTGACAATAAGGGCAGAACCTACTGTGTCATAAATCAGGCCAGGACTAAGCCACTGTAAGATGTGTGTGGGATATTACTAATTGGGCATAATCAGGGCCAAGGGCACAATTAAGCCACAAGAGCAGCTGGTCCAAACTCCCATGACATCTACCATATCTGCACTGGTGCCTTGTCCTCACACAGCCTATGACCATATGGGAGACCCTTTATGGTCAGATGTCAGATATTGAAAGGTCAACCTTAATTTATGGATAATTCACCTAGTATATAAGTGCAAGCCAAATATTGACTATGACTATCTATGTATCTATCTATCTACCTATCATCTTTTTTTGAGATGGAGTTTCACTCTTGTTGCTCAGGCTGGAGTGCAATGGCGTGATCTTGGCTCACCACAACCTCCGCCTCCCAGGTTCACGTGATTCTCCTGCCTCAGCCTCCCAAGTCGCTGGGATACAGGCATGCACCATCACATCCAGCTAATTTTGTGTTTTTAGTAGAGATGGGGTTTCATCATGTTAGCCAGGCTGGTCTCGAACTCCTGACCTCAAATGATCTACCTGCCTCGGCCTCCCAAAGTGCTGGAATTACAGGCATGAGCCACCACACCTGGCCTGCCTGTGGGTATATTATCTTCATGGGCAGTCTTCAAAACATCAGAAAAAGAAATTCTTCCATTGGGCAGTTTCAAGTGGAAGACTAATCTACTTTGTGTGTAAAGACAAGAAGCAGGTGTAAAGTTCATGACAGTAGGAAGTAATCTGACTGGCTAGTCACAAATAAGAAAGTTTGGAAAATTGGGAACAAGGAGTTCAGAAGAAGCATGTGGATGGATAGATGGTAATGACTATGAAATATGAAAATTTGTTTAAGGAATGTTAAGGAAAACCAGAGACTATTTATTGTGAAAAAGACAATAAGCAATCAATTAAGGCACTAAACTACTAATTAAAGCTTTACAATGGCACTGAGAATTATTCTCTTCCAGTTGATATCAGCCATCTCCATCACTGCTCCTCCATCCCCCCAGTGCTAGCATAACAGGGCCATGAATGGTGTAGTCATATGGCAAGGATGCAGGTTATGCATGACCTAAATTCCTGCTGTTAAATTCCCAAACTGCTAGCAAAAGGGGATTAAAATTGAGCTCTGTATACAGATCTATCTCTCAAAAATATCCACCAACCATTTGATGATATTCTAATCACTTTAGACTCCATTCATCCTTGAAGAGGCAGTAATTTCTCTTGACTAAACTATATCATGCTTATGGTTTTGCCTTCCCTGCTCAGGGAGGCTCTGGCAACACTTCTATTCAAGGGTCTGCATAATGTTTAACCCATAGATCCAGGCTCTCACATAATGCTGCATTGGAACAAGGAATTCACATTACAGTGAAAGAGATGCACATGACCATAGGACCCAGTAGACTAGTCACATTCTGTCTTGATAAAGTGTTGGAATGATGTTTTTAAGGTACAGCCTAATTAGAACTGATACATGAAAAAATGGGAAGTTATTCTCTATATGATAGTTTGTACCTTATGCCAATGATTCGTTTTTTTCTTTGTTTTTTTTTTTTGTTTTGACAGAGTCTTGCTCTGTCACCCAGGCTGGAGTACAGGCACTATCTCGGCTCACTGCAACTCCTGCTTCCCAGGCTCAAGCAATTCTCCTGCCTCAGCCTCCTGAGTAGCTGGGATTACAGTGGATGCTCCCACACCAGGTTCATTTTTGTATTTTAGTAGAGACAGGGTTACACCATGTTGTCCAAGCTGGTCTCAAACTCCTGTCAGTGATTCTTAAGTGATCTACCAAGACTCTATGGGTAAGCCCTACCTAATTTTGAAAGTAAGTGGAAAAGTACAGCAACTATGGCAGGAGAAGGTCATAGTGACCGCGGGCTCAAATCTCTCAGGGATACAGGTCTGGATTGCGACAACAAGTAAGCCACCTAGTCAAACAAAAGTGCTGGCCAAAAGTGGGGAAAATCTAGCAGGGATTTGAGAGGTTTTTCTTCCTCCTGACACCAAATACATAGTGTTTTTTCCAACATTACTTCACCAGCTCTCTGCCACCAAATGAGTATCCAGCAATTTAATTCAATTGTGATAATTCTCCCTGAATTTAATGTCAGATCTCACACATTACAAGACTCGGTCCCACAAGACTGACCTCACTTTGGACACCAGTCACAAGTCCCAGGTCATTCATCCTTACTTCTGATCAACTGGCTATAAGTCAGGGCTTCTCATGACCCCTTTCTCAGGCTTGATATATGCTAGAATGGTTCACAGCACTCAGGAAGTCACTTTAGTTATATTTACCAGTTTATTATAAAGGGCACAGAATAATGGCCAGATGAAATGATACATAGGGCAAAGGATCCTGAGTGCGAAGCATCCGCACCTGCAGACTTGTGGTGTACCACTCTCCTGGCATGCGGATGTGTTCAACAATTGGGAAGCTCTCAGATCCCTGTAATTTAGGAATTTTTATGGAGGTTTCATCACATAGTATGATTGATTACCTTATTGGCCATTAGTGATTATCTCATTCAGCAGCTCCTTGCCCCTCCTCAGGGATTGGACAGTGGGGCTGAAAGTTCTGAGCTTCTAATCAAGGGTTGGTCTTTTGGGCAACAAAGCTCCCCTCCTGAAGCCTGCCAAGAGTGACCTCATTAAGACAAAAGTTTCTTCTATCATCCTTATCACTCAGGGAAGTCCAAAAGTTTTAGGAGCTTTGTACCTAGAATTGGGGGACAAAGACCAAATGCCATTTTGTGATACCACAGTACTGGAAGAGAAAGATAATGATAATCAGTTGTGCTCCAGTTGTGGTACATGTGTGTATACATGTGTGGGGGTCAGTGCAAGGGAGGCTGTATTTATCCCATTAATTTTCTCATAAATATTTACCTGAAGATAACAATAGTGATTCTGTAGAAAATGTTGACAGAAAGAGTAGAATTATTAAGTGGATCAAAGTCATAAAGTTGTGGATTATTACTAGTTAATATGCTATGTGACATAATTCTCACCCCTTAAGACCAAAGTGCCTAGACACCTAGCTATTGCAAGTGTTATTTTTTGATAGATCACAGCTAGCTAAGTTCCTTTTCGGGCTGGGTGCAATGGCTTACACCTGTAGTCCTGGCTACTCAGGAGGCTGAGGCAGGAGGATCGCTGAATCTAAGAGTTAGAGGCTGCAGTGATCTATGATTGTGCCACTGAGCTCCAGCCTGTGCAACAGAGCCAGACTTTGTCTCTAAAAATAAGTAAATAAATATTTTAAACTCCAGTAAGTGTTTTTCTAGAATTGCTTTTGGACAAAGATAGCTGCCTCAGTCGAGGTTATAGCTCCTTCTGGAGGCAGCTCCTATCCAATGTCTTGTTGACATGAGGGATATAAAGGAAACTTGCTCAGAAGCCCTGCCTAAATACATGAAGTTTCTGAAGGGTTTATGTAGCTACAGAGCACCCTGTGGTATTAGCTGAGTCCTCTACTGCATCTGCATTGCAGTTCTACTTCACCCCATCCCTAATTCTGTCTTCATCACTTCTTTACAGATGTGGTTTCCAAAATCATTCCCCAATAAACCAACTCTATGCAAATATCTGCCTCAGAGACTAATTCACAGAGAACAAATTTATAACAGCTTCCTCAAATTTCAAGATTCAACAGTGTATTGTAAAGGAATATCTATATGTATAGTAATAACATTAAAAAAGCACATAATTGTAAGGATTTTCTTTAGACTACTGGTTACCCCTACTAGGAATGGAATGTGGTATGATTTACAGTTTGATCTTAGTAGGGTTTAGGGTTTTTTTTTCAGTAGGTTCAAGTGGAAGGAAAGAGGTACAAAGGAGTTGAGAGTATATTTAAAATAGCGGTTACAGTTTTAGGTCATTAAATGTAATCTGGGTAAGGAGATAACTGATGCCATGATGAGGATGACAGAAATTAAATGTAGCTGGGTTGGAATAGGAATCACAATGGGGCCAAAGCATCATTAGATTAAGGGTAAGGGTTTGAGGTATACAAATAAGAGACAGGGTTCTGTGAGAGTAAAGTTTTAAACTGAATGAGGTAGTCATAAAGCTCTTAGTAATCACAAAAACTAGAGTATAACTCACGCATGGGTGGTAATATATTTTGCATATTTGTACCCTCCAAATCTCATGCTGAAATGTGATCCCCACTGTTGGAGGTGGGGCCTGGTGGGAGATGTTTGGGTCTTTGGAATGGCTCCCTTATTAATGGCTTGGTGCCCTCCCATTGATGATTAATGAGTTCTTACTCATTAGTTTATGCCAGAGCTAGTTGTTTAAAAGAGTCTGGCATCTCTTCCTCTCCCTCTCTCAACTTGTGACATACCTGTTCTCCCTTTGCCTTCTGCGATGAGTAAAAGCTTCCTGAGTTTTCACCAGAAGAAAATGCAAGCACTGTATTTCTTGTACAGTCTGCAGGATGGTAGGCCAAAATAAACCTCTTTTCTTTATAAATTATCTGCCCTCAGGTGTTTCTTTATGACAATGCAAAATGGACTAACAGAGGTGATCACATTGATAGGAGGGATAAAATCATTTGAGGTGAAGAAGTTAAGGAACTGAGGGTCAAGATGCTTGAAGAATAGTCATCATGGATGTTTACATCACTATAAATTATGAAAGAAGTACTGTCTTTAGGAGAAATACCAACATCATCAAGTTTAAGGCTATGGACCTAAATATCAGTATATTACCAAAATAAGAAGGAATATTGGTGGTATAGTTTGATGAAATACATTTTTAGACCTACAAAAAGGATTAACAAGTGGGTGAAGCAAAAGGGTGTAAAGAGGATGCCACCCTAACCTCCATGATCAGTGACTAAGGAAACCCATACTTGAAAGAATTCCAAAGGATGTATGTAGTGTCCTCATAGGACAGCCAGACTTCTTGCAGAGAAAGGTGAAAAGAACCTTCAGAGAAGAGCATAGGAAATTTTGATGATGACAGATCTTGAGGTCCATGGTGGAAATGTTCAAGGATACAGAAGTCGTGAGAGGGAGAATGCATATCAGATGAAGAGATGCACAGAACTGTCTGAATCAGAGTTCAAGAGATGGGTGCGGGTCTTGAAGTCTTGGACTTAGTGGTGACTGAGTTAAACTGGAACATAAAACATCAAAAGATTCACCGTGTTGGTCACTTTCTAGAAAGAGGGTGAATAATTAGTTTTACTAAAGCTTCCCTTTGAGAAGTGAACTCTTTGGCAGATGGTGGACATGAGGAAGGAAATATGTGGGTGGCAGACACTAGCCAGCAACACTTGAAGTTTTCTTGGCATCCTCTTTAATTCTGCCAAGGATAGCATTGAGACGGGGGAAGGGCCATATTGCCAGGAGCACGCAGTGCTCTGTGGATACCCTGTATATTCCTGCTGATAAATATCATCATTTATCATCTTGGTAGTAAGGAGCCACAGCAGGAAGGATTATATCAACACATCAATAAATTAAAAGAGAAATATCACATGATCATTTCAACAGAGGCAGGAAATAATTCATTGTTTCACAAAAATGTGCTTAGAAAACTAGAAATAAAAATTTTCTTAATTATGTATAAAATCAAAAATCCATAGTAGGTAATGTTCTTCATGGTGACAACTTTGTATCATTTTATGAAGAATTGAGATGGATATGTGAATGAATGCATCACTTCTACTTACCATATCAGGGGAGATACAAGTCAAGGAAGTATGACAAAAGAAACCAACAAAACGCACATGGATGAGAAAGGAAGAAACAAAAATATCATTAACGTTTTACATACTTTATAAAATCGTATATGTTTCTATATAAATGAGTGTATTATAAATCTAATGATACAATGCTATTGCTTTAGTCAACTGACTTATAGAATTTAAGAATAAAAATAAAATACTATTTCATATTTACCCACACAAAGAATCATATATGCATGAGGCTATATTGGTTATAAATACATGAATATCATGAATATAATATACATGGGAATAAAAAGTATGCATCAAATTCAGGATTATTGTTACCGTGAAGGAGAGAAGGAAAAAGGATGGGTAATGGTCACATAGGTAGTTTCAAAGTATCTTTAGTATTTTATAACTAAAATAAAAAATAAATCTAAAGCATATATTGCAAGATTTTACATTTTGAAAATACTATGTGGTAGATATATGGATGTTTATTGTTTTAATTGTTATAAATTTATTTATAATTTTTTAAAATACAAAGAGAGATATATGTATATATACATACATAAAATCTTATCATACTATTGCACTTTAAGAATACTTCCTGAATAGAATACCACCCAAACTTTCTAGCAGAGTGTAAAATATTATCCATGATTCATCCCTGACAGTCTTAAGACTTGTTAAATGCACTTCAAGGTTCGGCATAAGAATCGACTCTTTCAATAACTCTACCCTAGCCCCACCATTCTGGGATGGATTCTCTTACGTTGCCCTGTGTTAGCACTCAGTGCTCACATGCATCATACCACATATCACACGGGATTATAACATGTTTACTCCTTTGTGTATCCCACCAAGTAGATTATGAATTCTTTGATGGCAGAAACTATGTCTTTAATCTATGTATACCCAATTCCTAGGTATATAATGGCACATATTAAGAAATAAATGGCTTTTGAATGGATAAAAACCTACTTAAAAGTTAAGCCATATTTACTGGAAGCTAAAATTGAGCAGTGACAATGATATTATCGAAAAAGAAAGATAACTCTCCCTTTGTTGCTCTGAGCACCTGAAAGCAAAGCTCTATTGTCTTCAAATGAGGAATCAACTCTCATTTCTCAAAGCTAACTATTGTAAAAGGTTTATTTTCCTGCTCAGATCAATTACCGGTATTGATAATGGTGAAAGTTTTTAGAATCCCTGTGACTGTTATTTTGTTTGAAAAATGATTTGTAATGTATGTAGACTTATTCATCTCCAACTGTTGATGTAGCAGGAAGCTGAACATTTTAATATAATTAATTTCCCTTGTGATGCACCACTAAGAAACAGCCTGCAATTAGAGATGTATTTTCATAATACTGTGTGTTTCCTGAACTGGTATTTTATATATATTAAAATGTTCACAATATTTCTCAAAATCAGTTTAAATTTCTCCACATTTGTCCTACAGACAAAAAAAATCTAGTGACTTAAAGAATAATTACCTAATGTTACTGCTTCAATGAAATAAAAATATCCATTGCACCTGATATTTAAACTCAAAATGTGTAATTCCTTGTACTCTTTACCAATTTATGACTCATAGAGCACCCTGAATAGTGTATATGGCGAGGCTTAAAATTTTGAAGTCAAACAACCTGCGTCTGGGATTAAACAGCAAGTTACCAAGCCCACTGTGTGGTTTTCAGCAGGTCACCTAATGTATCCAGTCAATTTCTAAATCCCCAATTGGGCAAAATACTACTTTTGTCAAGGTTTTCTAGTACAAACCAAATTATATTATTATTGCTTCTTGAAGGCCAGAAAGCCCATTGTCATGCACTGTACCTAGCCATATCTGATCACCATTCCACGATTCACAAATCTTAACCTATAAAGACATATGAGATGATTGTTATCACAGGCCAGTGTCTTAGGGGCCAACAAAAGAGCTCTTATACATTGAGCTCTCATTCTCTTTCTGTTGTTGATAGTCTAACATAAAGGCGAAAAAAAAGAGAACTGTAGAAACAGTAACAAAGATATCTGTGATAATATATTAGAAATATACAATATTAATCAAAAAGGCAAACAATTTAAGCCAAATAATGACATAGTGATTTGGCCCAATTTTTCATTGGTACTAATGAAAATAAAACTTATGTCATATGTTGGTATATTTGTGGTATAAAGAATGCATTATTATTAAGTGATTAGAGCTCTATACTTCCTTTTAAGAGTTGACTAGCATGAAAATATTAGCTATTATTAAAGCATTACCATATATAAACAGACTTCAACACCAATATATATTGTTTTTGGATAATGATAGCAAATTCATTTGATCATTCGCTTGGCACAATCCATTTTGCAACCAAAAGCATATATTTTCAAGAAAATTAGCTGAGGCTAACTGGAAATCTTAATTAAAATTAACTAAATCAAAGGGGTCAATTGTGGGTCAAAACTGATTGCCTAGGCCTCATTAGTACTGAAGTCTAATCAAATGAATCTGCTAGCCTCAAGTCACCACCCACCAAATTATTGCCTTATGGAATATTTTTATATGCCATGGATGCTACTTTCAAATGATGCCATGTGAGACCAAATATAGACAATCAGGAGGCTTTTTTGTACATGATTACAAACATCTGGACAATCTAAACTACTTTAAAAATTGTAATGAAATGTTTGATATTTTTGGTAATTGGTTATTTCTAAAATAAAAGATGATTCTATGCTTTTAAGAGGTAAGCAATTGTTGGTTTCAACTATTGATTTGTCATTTTTAATGTCTGCCATTTTTGTTTGGCAGCCCTTTACTAAACAAATTTCTAAAAATACTTTTACAAATTTATTTATTAGTCAAATGAAATAGACTTTTATTATCTTTAAACTGTTTATCATGGATATACATATGCAAACAGATATAATATTGAGAGAGTATCTTTTAGTAACTGAATATAACAAAACTTAATCCAGTTCTTGTGGAATCCTTAATATGGTGTACTTTTCAGGAGTTACAAAGTAAAGTGGGAAGTGAAAAACTCATGAGTAAAAATAGGAAAGCTCTCTCCTGTATAAATTTGCTTTCTGAGAGTATTTTTGATCACTCTGGTAAAATTAAATGAATAGAAGAAGAGAGTAAGCAAAGTGGTTCTCATGACCGAAGAGAAAAGGGAAGTTGAAGAGGCAGAAAATGGTGGTAAGAGTGAGGCAGAACAGTTAAGGCATAAAAGTAGAAAAGCCAAGGTAAAGTTTGATTAAATGAAGAATGAAAAGAAATGGAAGTATCTAGAGGCAAACAAATGAGATAGTAGTAACATATTTTGAAAATTGAAGGCATTCTAATCATACAGTAAAAATGAAACAATGAAAGAAAGCCAACAATAATTAGAAACTCTTAAATTTTATAGCTTTTTAGAAAAATATAATTTTAGGAAATAAAAGTAAATTAAAAATGGGAAAACCTTAAAAAAGAGAATAATACCTAAATTAATGTTTTCTATAAATATCAAACGACTGCTTTGTATAGGCATTAGGTAGGCTTTGAGTGCAAAGTTAAGAAGACATGTTTGCTCAAGGAAAAACAATTGTAACATAATTCCATAGGTTCTTTTTAAAGGTATGTACAACCTGCAGTGTGAGAGCTTGGGAAGGAGGATGGCTAAGTTTGCTAAGAAGATAGCAGAGTAGGTAGCATTCGTTTTGAGACTGGAAAGTTGAATAAGCATTTATAAAATACAGTGAGATACAATTTGATCAGAGGGAACAGATTGTGAGATGTTCTAGGGAACTTAAAGGACTCTTAGTACTGCAGTGCTACAGAGAGCAATAGTGATAGTCATGAGGCTGGAGACAAAAGCAGGCCCCAGATCCACAATAGTCCTGTGTGCCTGAGGAGGAGTTCTAGATTTTATTCTGCAGGTGAATTGAAACAACTGGGTCATTTTGAGTCAGAGAGTGACTTAATCAAATTTGTTATAAAAGATTACTTGATGAAAGTACAAAAGAATGAGTTATGGAAATATAAAATGCAGGAATATTATTAAAAAGATGATTGCAACATTACAGGTGAGAAATGATAAAAGCCTTAACTTGGGTGATGTTAATGGACTAGAAAAAGAGGAGATAAATATTTAAGGCACAAAGATGTCAGCACTTAGTGATTCTGAGTCTTCCATATTTATGGGCTTTAGGTGTGCCCAAGATCTCTTTGTCCTCAGGACATCCATGCTGCCTTGCCCATTTACTCTAATCCTACACATAATTATTTCTCATCTTCTATGCAAACCATGATGTGAAAAAAAAAGTAAGTACTGATCATTCTTATTAATGCTTTTTGAAAAGATTTCTAATAATAAAAATGTAGTTCCTAAAAGATTTATTTTCCATTAAAAATAAAATCAATTATTTTTAATTACAGCCAGGATGGCATTACTGCAATGCTATGCATTCCTGTAACATCTGGGCAAGGTAGAAGAGACATATATCAATCTGCTCCCTCCTTGCTCACAAACTTGTAATGCTGTTTTGAACTCACAATGCCCTAGGTTGCCATGAACCCCCAACTGTGTATCAAGCACTGTTTTTAGACACGAAGACAGTACTAAGACGAAGCGAGGTCCATTCTCTTACAGAACTTGAACTTAGTGGGAGAGACAAATACAATACAAATATTCACAGGAATAAGGTCATAGAGTGTTGTCAAGGAAAAACGCAGGACATCATAAAGTTGCTTAATGAAAAGAATCTCTAATACAGGATTTGGTGAATGAGAGGGAGCTGAAAGGAAGTGGTCAGAATAGAGTGAAATAGATAAATATTTTACCAGAAGAAATATGCAGAATATCCTTGAAATGTTTAAGATACTAACAAAAGACCAACATGGTTTGAGCCAAGAGAGGATGAGATAGACCCCTGACATAGACTATAGAGGAAGAAGAGGGAAGGCCAGGTCTTGCAGGCCTGTTAGGATTCTGAGTTTATGCTTTGGTGATAGCAGGACCTTCAAGAATGTTGAGCAGAGGAGTGATTTGCTAAATCACAATGCTTTCAAATACTTGACTTCACAAGTGTGACTTGGACTATCCTACATGACCGAAATAAATGGCCATTTGAATACCAAAAATTATATTATTCTGATGTATTCACAAGTCAAAAGGGGAAAGCAATACATTTTAAAATGTAAAAAAGCAATTGGCCCTCAAGTGCCTTCCCTTTTTTCTAAATTCAGAATAGTAGAAATCTATAATTGAGCATAATTGTAGAGAACAAAGGGGGAAAATATGACCTCAGGCATTTCCTCCGTGCTCTTGCTGCTTGATCGAGAAACCCAGTATAGCTTCCTCAGTTCTGAGTGAGTATTACTTTTAGTATATACAACTATATATATATACTTTTTCCATATATATAACATATATATCATTTTCCATATATAATATATGTATATTATAGGTATATTTATTTATTATAAATATGCACAGGTCTGGAAAAAGTAAATAAAGTTTGAGGGGAGAGAGTCTGAAGGTTTTAGTCTAAGGTTTTTATACTTTCTTTTAACCAGCTTTGTGCTGTGTTTGATTGACCATGTGTGTCTGTGTGTGTGAATACAACTATAAGGAAATACATAAGTAGCTGTATTTGGGGTTCGGTCCTACCTCTCAAACTAAGTAAAAGGCCACACTCCCTATTTTGTGCTTTTATCAGTAGGCATGCTAAATGACTCATCAGCTTTTAGGGACATGGTGTATTATGTTTCTTTGTGGATGTTTGGTTTGGAGCTAGGAATAAAAGCTTGCATGTCATAAATATGGGCTGAATTCTTGGACTTTCAGTGAGTGTGGTAAGCATGAACCTTTAATTAGAGAATAATGTGAGTGATCGGTGAGTTCCTGCTTCTTATACTTTATGTTGTCTTCTTATTCATTTACTGAGGCTCTTGTCTAGATCCAAATATAAGTGTGACAATGCACATTCAATTTTTTTCATGGTGATACTCATTCAACTTTTTGGCACTCTGTAAAGAAATAAGCAAGAAGAAATGGTCAATAGAGAAAGTATGTGGTATCTTTTTGTACTTAATAATAATGATTAGCAAATTCTAACCAGGGTCTACAATAATTTCATTTTAAAACAACAAATTGATGATATGAGGAGGTAACAAAAGTATCCAAACTGAAACATAGCTTAGAGAAAAAAATTACAGAGGTAGATAAATTACCACTTGAATAGCCATTAAATTATAAAGGCTGGGCATGGTGGCTCACAAATATAATTCCAGCACTTTGGGAGACTGAGGTGGGCAGATGGCTTGAGCCCAGGAGTTCAAGACCAGTCTGGGCAACATGGCAAAGCCCTGTCTCTACGAAAAATACAAAAATAATTAGCTGGGTATGGTGGTCTGTGCCTGTAGTCCCAGCTACTCAGGAGGCTGAGGCAGGAGAATTGCTTCAGCTAGGGAGGTGGAGGCTGCAGTGAGCTGTGATTGCACCACTGCACTCCAGCCTGGGTGACAGAGCGAGATCCTGTCTCAGATAGCTAGATAGATAGATAGATAGATAGATAGATAGATAGAGATAATCATACACTGTAGAGGTCATCACCTCCCAATAATCATATTTCTTTCATCACATTTTATTAGGTTATCTTTATAAAATACAGGTTTTTACTTGTATAATTCTTTTGCAGTGAAGTATCTCTCCCTTTCCTTGGACTGATGATCTGTTTCCCACATTCATGAAATTAAGTTTTATCACACTGTTCTCATATCTTTCTCCTTTTCCTGCTTATAACTGTGCTAAAACTTCCGGCTTCTCAGATGGCTATATCTCCCCATATAGATAATTTTTCTGCATCAATACAACAACAGATTGATGAACCAGATGAGCTATGTTTAGAATATAGTAGTATTTTGAAAGGGACAATCACTTCTTTAGACACCAATGGGATGCTAATGACATTTGTAAAACTTTTCTTGATGTAATTCTTCACTATAGATTTGCACTTATTTTGTTTCTATCAGCACAAGTTTCTTTGTGAGTCAATCATGCATAAAATCTTTCCCAGCTGTTAGAAATCAGTGTTTGGCTATTTCTCCATATATATCCAAAATGGTGTTACGAAGTATGAACATTATTTGGTTATTTTGTTCTGGATCTTTTTTTATTATGTTTGTTTTCTCTTGGTGTTCATATCATCACCCAATTTAGTATCATTTGTGATTTGAATGAATGTGCTGTGTACCTCTATGTCCAGACTAAAAATAGAAGTATTAACATTCTTCTGGGATGCTTGAAACTGAATGCAATTTAATACCAATAAAGCAGGGCCATGATGTTTTTCAGAAACGAATTGACAGAATATTTCTACTTAGAGGACGTGCAGCAGCATATTGATCATAAAGGGAGACTTAAAACTTCCTAAAAAAGAATCCCTTAAAGCCTTAAGTTAATCTACAGTATAGCTGCAGTAAAGAAAGATAACAGTATGGTGGCTGAAATTATTTTTCTAAAAAAGCATTTACATTGAAAAGGAAATGACTACAGGAGATAATCTTCTATTTTATCACTGTGAAACTTTAGAGACAGTAATGAGCATAACAAATGTGAAATATGCTTACTGTATTAACATGAGAAGTACTGCAGAGTACAAATTTCCATTTAGAATTTCTACAATTTAAAAGATAAACTGTATCCCCACTATAGCTGTATTCCTTAGAATTTCTGATTTTATTACTCTACACATGGATAGACAGAGAGACTTTGAGTTTCAATAAGAATGCCCTGTATGTACTTCTACATTCAGAGAAGCTTATGAGATCTCAGAAATGGCCCCCTAAAAGGTATGGAATAAAGAACCTAAAGCAGCAACACCTATCCATATGGCAGGAGATTTCATGCCTGGCAACGTTGCTTGCAACTGTGACATACTTTATATTCTGCCAGCAAAATCTCATTGCATTCATGGTTTTTATAGGTATTGCAGTAATATAAATTTTCACTATTTCATTCTTTCTTGGAGGCAATGAAGGGGAAAAAGGTTGGACTATATGGAACTAAGGAAGCATGGCCTTGATTGATTACCCTTCTGAAACACATTTATCAGCTTTATATGGTCAAC
The DNA here is from genome assembly GCF_000001405.40 of Homo sapiens. Lineage (NCBI taxonomy): Eukaryota > Metazoa > Chordata > Mammalia > Primates > Hominidae > Homo > Homo sapiens. The sequence continues at coordinate 29,269,358 of NC_000018.10, read as the reverse complement.
TATAGTATATTGAGCCTTAAGCACTGAAGCATTCTGAAGACACTGTTATATTATTTAAGATACTTTGCAAAACAAAAATCCTGAATTCATATATATATATGAATTCAGTATTGTTTTGATGTTAATAAGCTTGTATGTTATGTCCTTTTCCTGTTAGGATTTAGAAATCCTTTTCTCCTGTAAGTCTCTGCCTATTGCCACCTGCATTTTCTCTATTTCACTAGTTTAATCATATTGCATAGTCCATAGTGCAAACTATGGACTATAATTCGTGTGTGTCTGTGTATTTCTGTACTTTTTTCTGAATGTGGAAAATTTTGGTAAAATCTATTTCCAAAACCCTATCCTCCCTCTTATCTGCTTTATAATAAACAATTCCAAAGGATACAGAATAAATAAGAAAGAGTAGAAGACTGCCTTAATTATTTCCAAAACCAGGGATGCTGTTTCATCTAAAAGCATGCAAGCATATAGAATTAGCTAAGCCAATAACTAGAGCATCCAAGACTTGAAGACAATGGACATTTCCTCTTAGCCCTTCTGAGGGCAATCAGGACAATTTTGAGGGGGCTCATTGTACTTACCATGAGATAAAGTATATACAGGGTAGACTATCTGTAAAGAAAAGAGAAAAGCATGATTTTATGAATAATTTACCTTCCTTCCTAGAAATATTTATCATTATCTAAGGAGATTGTTTGCAGAATGAATCTTCAGGTCCCACGGCCTCTAGAAAACATCCAGTAAACTTGACTGAATAAGAACAATATTACAAATAATGTTTTCAACTATTAGAAAAACACTACATATTTAAAGTAATTAAGATAATTTCAAGAATTCAATAAACTGCTATGGAATTATGAATGGGGAAATGTATGGAAATTGAGATATTTCCTCCATCATACATGTTAAATAAAGTTTTGCAGATTATTGGATAGTTTGTTGATCAGAAAAAACTTGGAAGCCTCAAAAGAATCATGAATAGCAAATAAAATTAAATAGTGTTTCTATAGTTCTTCTTGCTACAAAGCTAATTTACCTTGAATATAATAAAAGTAGAACAGGTGTTGTACAAGAAAGTACTGGACAGGAAGCTCATCTCCTATATATACTAAATACTTTGGTTAAGTTTTCCCCATGCTTAAAGAAATAGCCAATTTGTTTTAGATTAAATTTACAAGAAAAGATTATTTTCAACTTTTCAAACATTCAAATTATTTTGAATGCTATTTAAAGAACTATGTTTATCAGAATTCTGGGTCACTCATAAATACTCCCTAACTCCTGCATTCAGTGCCCCATTGTCTTTGCTATGTGCTCTTAAACACACACATACACATATTCACAGACACACACACACAGAAAAGCACAGAGATACATATTCCAAAGCACACCCATACATTTCAATAATCTCTAGCACCCACCCAACATATTTAGACATCCTACATTAATCTAAAGCGACTGAATTAACCATTACCAACAATATAGTGATTTTTAAAATTTGAGATGGTTTTGAAATCTTTCATAATAATGTTTTTCTTCAAGTCACTGAATTATAATGATTTAATGAAGGAAAAAATCTTTGTCCGAAGCCAGTGGGAAAATGGAAATGTTTCTGTTTGCTTTTATGATCGTTAATTTTGTGTCAACTTGACTGGGAGAGTGGATACCCAGATATTTCATCAAGTGTTTTTCTGGGAGTGTTTGTGTGAGTGTTTGACAGGAGCTTAATATTGGAATTGGTAGACTGAGTAAAGCATATTGCTCTTTCTAAAGTGGTGGCCCTCATCCAATCAATTGAAGGTATGAATAGAAAGCTGACCCTCAGGAGAAAAAGAAGAAAGCCTCTTTCTGCCTTTTTTTTTTAAATTTCTTTTTAGTTTTTTATTTTTTAGACAGGTCCTACTTAGATTCCTGGGCTGGCATGCAGTGGTACGATCTCAGCTCACTGCAGCCTTGACTTCCTGGGCTCAAGCAATCCTCCCACCTCTACCTCCTAAGGAGCTGGGACCACAGGCATGTCATGTACCACCACACCTGGCTGACTTTTAAATTTTTTTGTAGAGACAACATCTACACTATATTGCCTCGTCTGGTCTTGAACTCCTGACCTCAAGCGATCCTCCTGCCTCAGCCTCCCAAAGTGCAGGGATTACAGTATAAGCCACTGAACCCAGTCTCTCTGTCTGTTTTCAAGCTGGAACACTGGTCTTCTACCTTTGGACCCAGGCTTGGACTGGAACTTACAGCAGCAGCTCTTCTGCTTTTTTTATGATACATTTCTTTATCTTCTATTGGTTTTGTTTCTCTGGAGAACCCAGATTAATACAGGCTTATTCCATAGGAAACAGCTATAAATCCTTTAAAATATTTGTTTAAAATTGTGATAAGCAAATAATTGCTTTACATTTAAATATACATGACGTTTTCTACTCAAGTCCTGGTATCGTTTAATTTAGCTAAGCAAATAGAATACTTATGGGCCAAAATAAGTTTGTAGATTATAGGAAAGGAAAATTGTAGACACTATTTTTAAAGTTCATTAAAAAAATGTAAAAAGATTACCAAAAAAAGGAAAAGGAAGATGCAAGAAAATATTTCAAATGGTTTCAAAACAATAGACAAATTTATCCTCAAGTTATCAGTGTTTGACCACTGTCAGCAATGGCTATCTCTGCAGATTCAGGTGAATGCTGCTTTTTCTAATCAGAAAAATATAGTTTGTGCAAGTGCCAAAAAGCAAGACAAATATAACAATAGATCTTTGAACTGAAGTTTATACTCACAAATCAAAGGAAATAATTTTTATTTTTTTAAGCAATGAATATCCCTGTATGTCATAGAATGCAACAATCAGAGGCAGAGTAATGATCTGGAGAACCTACCAATTTGAACCAGAATGGAAAAAAAGAATTTGTAATGAATATCAATATATTAAGTATATGTATTTCTAATCAAAGCACAGAAAACCCTCTCTTTATAACATGGTAAATAAAATTTGAAATTCTTTATAACATGATAAGTAAAATGTACATGTAAATAAAATTTTTAACATGATAAATAAAATTTATCTTTATAACATGATAAATAAAATTTTAAATTTTACCAAAGTCCATGGTCATAACACTGTTTGAGTTCAGGGAACTGACCCCAGATACAATTTGGGGCCACCTGGTGTCAGTTGTCCATTATGGCTAATATACCAAAGCAAAACAGTATTCTGATTTCAGAGGATTTCTGGAATGTGGGAGGAATTCGAATAATTTCCATCTCACTGGCATTTGTTTCATAAACTCAATGGAGGTTTTTTTTTTAATTATGGTAAAATACACACAATGTAAAATTCGCCATCTTAATCATTTTTAAGTGTATAGTTTAGTGGCGTTAAGTACATTAACATTTTATGCAGCCAATCTCCAGAATTCTTTTTATTTCACAAAACTGAAATTCTATAACCATTAAACACAATCACCATTCTCCTTTCTATCTCTAATATTTGACTACTCTTAAGCATCTCATATAAGTGGAATCATGCGATATTTTTCCACTTACATGTAGAAAAATCTTTTTGTTACTGGTTTCTTTTACTTAGCATAATGTTCTTAAGGTTGAACTATATTGTAGCATGTGTCACAATGTTCTTTCCTTTTAAATCTGAATAATATTCCGTTGTATGTCTATATCACATTTTATTTTTCCATTGATCTGAAAATGGACACTTGTGTTGCTTCCCCTTTGTGGCTATTACGAATAAGGCTGCGATGAACACAGGTACACAGATATGTCTTCACGAACATGCTTTCAATTATTTTGGGTATATACACAGAAGAATTGCTGGATTTTGTGGTATTTTTATTTGTATTGTTTTGAGGAATAAGGAGATCTTAGGCTAGAAAAACTCTGGAATTGAGTGCATTCTGTGCTTTATAATACATGTAACTGCTCTTTCTCCACCTGGCTTTACCCTCTTCTCCACACCCAGTATGGGGACTAAGTGGAGGATGAGCAAGAATAGAGATAACCTAATCACGTTACCTAAATCTGTGTTCTTACTGAGTTTTACAATACTGTAAAGTTTTGTGTCCTTCTTGATATATAAAGATGACACTGATAACCCCTTATCATTAAAACAGGCAGTCAGAGTCCTCTAAGAGTACATGGATTTAGATTCATTCATGTATATCTCTCACCCAGTCTTTCTTGTTGCTGTGGTATGAATAAGAAACCTATGCTATCTAAAGAATTGTAAATGTCAAAGATAGATAGAGATTATATATTTTTATTGTATTACTATATGTTATGTATAATGTTACAGTAATATATATGATACAGAGAGATTATAAAGGATAATAAAAATGTTCTTTTTACAAAATTTTATTTTATTTTATTTTAAGTTCTTGGATACATATACAGGGTGTGCAGGTTTGTTACATAGGTAAACGTGTGCCATGATGGTTTGCTGCACCTATCAATCCATCACTTAGGTATTAAGCCCACATTCATTAGCTATTTATCCTAATGCTCTCCCTCCCCTACCTCCTCTGACAGGCTCCAATGTGTGTTGTTCCCCTCCCTGTGACCATGTGTTCTCATTGTTGAACTCCCACTTATAAGTGAGAACATGTGGTGTTTGGTTTTCCGTTCCTGTGTTAATTTGTTGAGGATAATGGCTTCCAGCTCTTCCATGTCCTGCCAAAGGACATGATCTCCTTTCTTTTTATGGCTGCATAGTCAGAGTGAACAGACAACCTGCAGAATGGGAGAAAATGTTTGCAATCTATCCTTCTGACAAAGGTCTAATATCCAGAATCTACAAGAAACTTAAACAAATTTACAAGAAAAAAACAAAAAACCCTATTAAAAAGTGGGCAAAGATATTCCACATTCATGAATAGACACTTCTCAAAAAAAGACATTTATGCATCCAACACACATATGAAATAAAAGCTCAACATCACTTATTATTAGAGAAATGTATATCAAAACCATAATGACATACAATCTCACACCAGTCAGAATGGCGATTATTAAAAAGTCAAGAAATAACAGATGCTGGCGAGGCTGTGGAGAAATAGGAAAGCTTTTGCACTGTTCGTGGGAATGTAAATTGGTTCAATCATTGTGGAAGACAGTGTGGCGATGCCTCAGAAACCTAGAACCAGAAATAGGAAAGTGTTCTTCTTTATTCCTTCCTGATACAGCTTACATCCTTCAAATATACGGAACTATATTGATATAACTACATAAGATACAAATAATTCTGGTCAGTCTAGCCAAAATATTTATTCACTAATGCATGCATTTACTAATTTAACAACTATGTCTCAGGCACCATGTTTTGTACTAGGAAGAACAAAACAAATAACAGAGATGCCCTAACTTGACTCAATTATTTTTTAAATTGAATTTCTTAAGTGTTTGTGTTTATGATTGAATCTAGATTATGTGAATTAAGTATATTCAAGATTTTAAACATTTACATCTCTCTCCAAAATTATTCCAGTAATAATTCTGGCATATTTAAGAATGGCTACTTGTTTCTTTTTATAATAAAGTAAGCTGAACAGATCATTGTGGTAGAATGAAAAGGAAGATGTGTCTTTATCATATTCTGCATGAGTCTAGATGAGCATTCAGAAAGGTAACAGTGTTGGCAAGATTTCTAAAGATTCAAGTAATAATATATTTTGTTAATTGACTCACAGTGTTGATAATCAACATTTTAAATATTCATAATAAATAAATATTTAAATAATTAACATAATTAACACTTAAATATTGATAATTGGTATTAAGCACTTAACTGGTTGTTATAATGAAAGGGTAGATGAATGTAAAAAGGAATTAATGACTGACACATGCAATGAGGAGAGAAGTTTAAAATATAATTTCACCTTATTGATATACTTTTCCCTAAGTATCATATGAGAATAATGGCATGCCAGGATTATTGGTTGGTGAGAAGAGAAAGCGGTTGAAATCTAGACATACTTAGAATAAAGAACATGTAGAAAAATAGGATACCTAGAAATAAACTTAACCAAAGAAGTTAAAGATCTCTACAATGAAAACTATAAATCATTGATAAAAAATTGAAGAGGAAAGTTTAAAATAAAAAGATATTCTAGATTCATGGATTGAAAGAATAAATAATGTTAAAATGTTTACACTGTCCAAAGAAATCTATAGATTCAGTTAAATCCCTATCAAAATACCAGTGACATCCTTCACAGAAATAATAATTCTAAAATATACATGGAACCACAAAAGACTCAGAATAGTCAAAGCCATTCTGAGCAAAAAAAAAAAAAACAAAACTGGAGGAATCACGTTACCTGACTTTGAATTATACTGCAGAGCTATAGTAAACAAAACACCATGGTACTAGCAAAAAAACAGACTCATAGACTGATAGAACACAATAGAGAACCCCAAAATAAATCCACACATCTACAGTGAACTCATTTTTAACAAAGGTGTCAAGACCTTACATTGGGGAAGGGACAGTTTCTTCAATAAATGGTGTGAGGGAAACTAGATATTTATAGCAGAAGTATGAAACTAGACCCATATCTCTCACCATATACAAAAATCGAATTAAAATGGATTAAAGACTTAAATCTAAAACCTGAAACTATAAGAAAACATTGGGGAAACTCTCCAGGTCATTGGGTTCGGCAAAGACTTCTTGAGTAAGACCTAAAGAGCATAGGCAACTAAAGCAAAAATGGACGAATGGGATCACATAAAGCTAAAAAGCCTCTGCACAGCAAAAAAAAAAAAAAAAAAAAAAAAAAAAAAAAAAATTAGAAAGTTAAAAGAGACAACCCAAAGAATGACAGAAAATATTCACAAGCTACCTATCTGACAAGGGATTAATAACCAGAATATAAAATCACCTTAAACAACTCAATAGGAAAAAAATCAAATAATGCAATTAAAAATGGGGAAAAGATCTGAACAGTTATTTCTCAGAAGAAAACATACAAATGGCCAGCAGGTATACAAAAAAATACTCAATATCATTAATCATCAGAGACATGCAGGTTAAAACTACAATGAGATATTATTTTACCCCAGTTAAAATGGCTTTTATTCAAAAGACAGACGATAATGAGTGCTGACAAGGATGTGGAGAAAGGGGATCCCGTGTACACTGTTGGTGGGAATGTAAATTAGCACACCTACTATGGAGAACAGTACAAAAGTTCCTCAGAAAACTAGAAATAAAGCTGCCACATAATCCAGCAATCCTACTGCCAGGGTATATATTCAAAAGAAAGGAAAACAGTGGATTGAAGAGATATCTGCAATTCCATGTTTATTGCATCACTATTTACAATAGCCAAGATTTGGAATCAAATTAAGTGTCCATCAAAGGATGAATGGATAGAGAAAATATAGTACGTATACACAATGAAATATTACTCAGTCATGAAAAAGATTGAAATCCTGTCATTTGCAACAACATAAATAGAACTAGAAGACATTATGCTAAATGAAATAAGCCAGGCATAGAAAGATAAATATCTCGTGTTCTCACTAATATGTGGGAGCTAAAAATTAAAACAATTGATCTCATGGAAATAGAGAGTAGAATGATGGTTACCAGAAGCTGATAAGGGTAGTGGGGATGGAGGAACAAAGTAGGGATGGTTAATGGGTGCAAAAATATAGTTAGATAGAAAAATGCAATTTAGTATTTGATATCATAATAGGTGACTATAGACAACAGTAACTGATTTTGTGATATAAAACAACTCAGAGTGAAATAATGTTCCTAACACAATGAAATGATAAATGCTTGAGATGGTAGATATCCCAGTTAACCTGATTTGATTATTACACATTCTAGGCATGTATCAAAACATCACATGTACCCCATAAACATATACACCTATTGTGAATTCATAACTAAAAATTTAAAAAATAAAGAACATGTAGAAAGATTTAGGAAAACTATTTTTCATGAGCCAATATGGGCAATAATTAGGTAGAGAGATATGAAATACCTATGGTATGAGGGCTACGATAAAATCCACAGTTTTGTTTATTATTATTCAGTAAACATGTATTATTATTATGTAAACATGTATGTACTATTCAATAAACACATATTTAGTGTTTGTTACATGCCCAGCACTGTCGGGGAAAAAAGATTACAAAATAATTTCTTCCACTGACATGTGAAAAGATTTATCTTGCATTCAACAAGGATTTGCTGTATACTTACTATTATGTGACAGGCTGTCATGGGGAATACTACAACAAATAAAAATAGATAAAATTCCCTGCCTCATGGATTCTAGATTCTATTGGTTATGGGTTGGGGGGAGATGGTCTTTCTGGAATAAAAGATTAAAACAAACACAAGAAGAATAGAGTGGGTAGGAGAAACAGAATTATGTGTATAATGGAATTATCCCGTATGTGAGTTTGAGTTCCATTAGGTTTCTGTTAGGTATCATTAAAGAGTATTGAGGAGTACTTATGGAATAACTTAATTTTCCAGAGGTAACTCAAAGTCATGGAAAATCTGAAACTCATCATGGAAATGAGTGAATTAGACATTCATTAAAAAGAGAGATTCTTGGAAGTTGAATAGCACTTAAAAACTGGCTTGCATTCTGCAAGCATAATATGAAACTAAAAGTACTTTAATGGTTTATGTCTGTCAAAAATATCCAAGCCCTCTCATTCCAACATCTTCCCAAAGAAGCATGATCAGGTGACTCAGAAACCCAACGCTTTGATATGTGTTTCTCATCCCAGCTCGAATTTGTATGAAATTCTGACCTTTTTACACCTTCTCCTATTCTCAGAAAAGAAAGAACATTGGCTAAAAACAAAAAATTCTAATAAGTGCAAGATGGGTTGATTAAGGATATAATCTGATTTTTGTTTTATTAAATCATTTTATATTAAAGCCAAATGTGGTTTTCTGTTTTATGTTCTCCACACTTACACTGACTCTAGAAACAAAGAGCTTTATCTCTTCTAGGAAAGACAAATTCTAATTTTGGCTACCTGCTTTTTTGTTAATTTCTTTGTTTTAAAATTTGATTGCATTGATCTTCAGAACTGAAACTCATTAGAAACCATAAAGGAAGATACTACAGATTGTCCCAACTTTCAAATCTCTAGATAGCTAAATGTTACTTTAATGTTAACCATAGTGTTTCTGAATTATTGCTGTAATATTTCAGTAATGGCATAGAAGCTGTCAAGGTCAAAACAGCCTCAGAAGGGAGATGTGCAAAGAGAAAGCATTAGATCTGAAAAGCACAGTTGTAGCTGCTCTAAGGAATCTTTACTAAAGTAATGTGCCAAATGATGTCATATAGAACTGTGAGATCCCAGAAATCGCCATGTGGCAAGTACTCAGAGATGAAAGAGAGTTTTCGTTTCTGTTTCCTTTATATATTAGCATATAAAACACCTGGCACCTTTCATTCCAAGTAAAGCATATATTTAATATATATAAAGCTCAATGAAAGTCTTTTTTATCCCCTATGGAAAGATTGATTGGATTTTTCATGCACTGAACAGAACAATATGATTTGCAACATGCCTGGGGTCTGTGGGAGCACTGGACTGAGCAAATGTTGGTGAGTGCACCCTCTTCCGCCATGGGCTTCCTACCTTTTTCCATTTTGCTCTAGTTGGGAGATCCTGTTGAATGACTGGGTATATAACACCAGGAGCATGATTTGCTCATTACTCTCTCCTTCCTCACCAGGAAACAGAATGTCTTATTTAGTAGCTCTTTCTCATATACAGTTGCTCATACGTGGTCGAATTTCAGATCATGGGATAAATCTGGCACTTCCTTTCTCCTCACCACACTGTTATAAAAGGAACAAACAAACAAACAGAAAAGAAAGCAAGCCTCTTAGCAAAAAAAATTTAATACAGCCCTACTAACCACTTGCATTTGTATGGCATTCAGTTTTCTAAAAGTCTGTTACCTACATTTGTTTTCGCTCCTCCCACTACCCCTCTAAAGTCTATTACCCTCATTTCACATCTGAAAACTCTGAAGTGCAAAAAAAATTCACATACCTGATGGCAATCAGATTAACAGTTATTACACCCAGGACCCAAATCAAAACACTCTTAACTTTACATTCTGCAGTCTTTTATCTGCAAGTAGGCAGTACCATAATGCCAAACAGAAGCAGGTGAGTCAAAGCCTGGAAAATCTATGCAATGCCAGAGAAGAGTGAAGCATCCCACTGCATTTTTTTTTCTTTTTCAAAATAAATTGAATATAAGCTTAAAAACTGAGTATTTTTACTGAATTTTAATTATCATCTCTGGCGAAGTCTTTCTACATACAGGTTTCTATTTTATTTCTGTCTAGTTATGTTAATACTTCTATAGTTATGTTGTAGTTTTACAGTTACACTTACACTATTTCTTACAATTATATGAATACTACCAAAGCAAAGAACTGTCAAATCATATTGCTTATTCTTTCCTTTGCTTACACTAGACTTGAAATAAAGGCTCTTAACCTGACTCATTCATTAAAATATATTTGGAATCCAAAAATAAGGTCATGTTAATATTATGTAATTGCTAAGTTCCTTGTCATGATTTATTAAGTCAATGTATATACCTTGATGCATCAAAATTCTATTTCAATGAAATTACTGGACTATAAAATGATTGTTTTGTTTTTCTCTGTCATTTAACCAACAATAATTTTTGCAGTGTTTTCCGTGTAATTAAATGTATCTGTAAAGCATTAATGCCCTCTAAAAATTAAACATCCATAAAATTGTTGATTCAACAGTAATATAAATGTAAGATAGGAATGTGCTTAGATAGTTTGAGATGCAAAGCCTCTTTTGGGAAATAATAATTTGCCTCTAGGAGATTTTGAACTCTTAACCAAATAAGAGCTAATTATTCTAGTTGAAATGCCATTCAGAGACTTCTGTTTTGGCATAGCATTTCAAAAATTCTTGAGCAAAATATTATTCCATATGATTGTTTGTTAAGAGCAAACCTATCTCCACTTGAAAATAATCATGAACTTATTCCAAGAGGAATTTCAAATGTTAACAATTATTAATTTGAACAAAAATATCTCAAGTAAGATTAACACAAGGCTAAGTAAGCCACAGGTTAGTATTATCACAGAAATCAGAATCAGCCAAGATTTCCTAATTCCCTAAAGAGTTTTGTTTGTTTGTTGTTTTTTCAGGAAAACCAAGATTCCTTCTATGGTGGAGGGGACTGGGCACATCAATATTCTTTCACATACATTCACCTGTATAATTACAGCTTATTAGACAAATTATTCCCCCACTCCCCAAATCTGGTTACAATTGAGTATAATATTAAAATATTTACATAGTTTTTATTAATATAGTACATGAGGAAAGACAGTGTTTTCATCACACTGACTTGACTTTAGATACAAGTTCTGCCATATTTCGTTGTTTGATTGGAAGCAAACAATTTAAACTCTATTAAGCTCTGCTTATCTTTACTTAAAATAAAAAATATGGAAATAGCTGCCTCACAGATTTTACAGACTTTTAGGACGGTCAGATAAGATAGCTTATCCAAAGCATTTTAATAGTTCCTAACATACAATAAATGCTTGATAAATAGTAGCTATTATTTTGCATATTGTTATTACATGAATTTATCTAGATCACTTGCTTATAATGTCCAAATTTATTAAGGAATTAGATGATTACCATACCCATTGGACAGATTCTTTTTTAGTCATTCATTTATTTAATAAACATTTATTAAGCCTTTATTATATGTCAACACTGTACTGAGGATTCAGACATAAATAAAGCAAAATCTTTGCCTCAAGAAATTTGCAGTATTATTAGATCGATGAAAGCTCCTGTTTTTTGAGTGTATTATATGAAAAGAATTGCATTAAACACTTTGAAGACATTATATTATTTAATTATAGCTGTTGTCAAAGTCAGTATTTGAACCTCTGTTACATTCTGACTTTTAAGCCCAGATTCTCAATTGGTACAAAGCACTACTATGAAAAAGAAAACACATTTTGTCACAGGGAGAAAAGTGTAATAACTAATTCGCCTAATAAAAAATATCCACTTTTATCCTTTTTTTAGCAGTGTATTAATTTTAGCAGACAAAAAAGTGGGTTTTATTTCTTTAATTTTTTCTTTTAAAAATAATATTTTGGTCAAAATAAATTATTAAGGTCATTTGTAAATCTCTTTACAAATCAGAAAGCTCTGTGTTTCCCTTTATTTTAAATTATGATGACATAATTTGTGAAGCGTTCCACATTTTAAATTCAAGGACCAATTACCTGCTGATAAGTGCAAAAGCTAAAAGAAGAGATTTCCAAAATGAAGGGGCTTCTGGATAGAAAAGACAGCGAAACGGGAGAAAACATTGGACAAACAGCATCCTCTCTTCAGCAGGCATCACTGAAGCTCTTCGAAATGGCATACAAAAAGATGGCATCTGAGCAAGAAGGCTCTGGAAATTCTGGCACTGGGGAACAAAAGGAAGATCAAAAGGAGGAGAAACAGTAATAATAGCAGAAATTTTGAAGCCAAATTGGACAACATATGAAGCTTAGGAGCAAAGAGACTTCCTGAGCAGAAATGGGCAAACTTCAGTCTTTTTACTGTGTTTTTGCAGTGTTCTATATATAATTTCCTTAATTTGTAAATTTAGTGACCATTAGCTAGTGATCATTTTATGGAAAGTGATTCTAAAGGTATAAAGTTCACAATGTTCTATGTCCCTGGACTGTCATTTTTCAGCTGCATGTAAAAGGGGTAGGATGAATTAACTGGTCATTATAAAGATTTAACTATTGTATGCTGAAGTGGCCATATTTTCAAGGGGTGAAAACATTTCACACACAACAATGAAGGTAATCAGCCATAGACTTGGAATGAGACCACATATGGGGATGAGATCCTTCCCCAGTAACCTAGTACTGCTGTACTGGCCTATGTGTACATGGGGTCCTTCAACTGAGGCCTTGCAAGGCAAGCTGGCTGTGCCATGTTTGTAGATGGGGCAGAGGAAGCTAGAACAATGGAAAACTAAGCTATTTATGTGAGGTACAGCTATTAAAACAAGGCAGGAATGAGGCTAGGCCCTTAATTTCCCTAAGGCATACTTTTCTAGCTACCTTCTGCCCTGTGTCTGGCACCTACATCCTTGATATTTGTTCTCTTTTATCCATTCTGGGTTTTTGTTTAAAAGATGTGAAAAGCATCTAGAAAAATTATCATTATTCTAAATGTTCATTGGGAAGGTAGAAAATGTCAGTGATTTCAAATTTAGAACTTTTGATCACCTTGGGGATTCTCAGTCATTATTGACATTTTATTTGTTAGTTTTGATCCACCAAAGATCCATTTAGTCAATGTTGAATGATAAATTCTTAATGAAACTGTTTTTGATATAAACAGTGTTTAAGAAATAGAAGCATTTTTTCAAGCTAACTGGTCTGCTTCAAATTTCTATGTAATAGATTTATTGTTAATACAGAAAGATCTTTTGAATGTTCTTTCTTTTGTTAGGACAGAGTCTGTCGCCCAGGCTGGAGTACAGTGGTGCAATCTTGGCTCAATGCAACCTCCTCCTCCCTGGTTCAAGTGATCCTCCTGCCTCAGCCCTCCGAGTAGCTAGGAGTACAGGCACGTGCCACCACGCCCGGCTAATTTTTTTTTTTTGTATTTTTTTTAGTAGAGACGGGGTTTCACCGTGTTAGCCAGAATGGTCTCGAACTGCTGACCTAGTGATCTGCCCTCCTCGGCCTCCCAAAGTGCTGGGATTACAGGCGTGAGCCACCATGCCTGGCCCTCCTTTTGAATGTTCTTATTATCACCCATGAAAATGTATTTGATACTTTAAAAAATCTGCTGTACCAAATACATCTAATAAGCTTTCCTAATTTCCACCATATAATATTAATTTATATTTTCCTATTTATGACCCCACTAGGAGAAATCTATCTTATTCTTCAATGTGTTTTATTGTTCTACAGATTTCAAACATTTCATTGAAGGAGATCAAGAAAATTAATTACTGATCAAGAGCCCACCTAAACTTGCAAGTATATTCATATAGTTCATAGATTTGACATTTAAAAATACTGTAAACTGGGTAATTACTGTAAAAGGCTTAAAACAATGAACGTTTATGCTACCAAGGTTGTGGATGATAGATGTCTGAAATTAACTTGGCAGCAGGGCCATGTTCCCTCTGAAGGCTCTACAGAGTAATCTTTACTACATGCTTCTTCCAGCTTCTGGTAGACCCAGGAGTTCCTTGGCTTGTGGCAACTTAACTCCATTTTCTGCATCTTCACATCCTTTTGTTTGTGTCTGTGTCCGCTCTTCTTCTTATAAGGGCTTAGAGTTATTAACTTGGGGTCCACCCTAAATCTAGTATATCATTCATACTAATTACATTTACACATACTATTTTAAAATAAGTTCACATTCTGAAGTTCTAAGTTGACATGAATTTTGGAGGGACACTATGCAACCTGCTTGAATTCATAATTAGTAATTTATTAGAAATGGCAGAAGTTCTCTATTGAAAGTGCAGTCATTGACATGCATTTATTAAGATAACAAACTTATTAAATGTCTGGGGCATATATAATGTAGAATCTGTCTTTAAGTAACGGATACCTTGAAATTTATTCTGCAGGTTTATTACTACATGTAATAGATAAAATAGGTATGGAGTCATAAATTCATGGATACATTTATAGTCTAATAGTCTAGTAAAGAATCTAAGCATCTAAGAGCTAATTACACAAAATTATTAATTATAAATGTAATAAGTGGAACAAGGCAGAAGAACAAGTACAACGAACACATATATCAAGTTCATCTATCGGGTGGACTTGACTCAGTCTTAGAAATTGCATTCCTTGAGAAAGTAATATCTGAATTGAGATTAAAGATGACAGAATTAACTAATTGAAGAGAGGTTTTGTAAGCTTTTATTACATTATCTAAACAATCTGTGGTAGAAAAAGCAGTAATTCCAATTTTCTGAGAAGCATGTTAATTATATCTTTTTCATTTATTCACTCTCATAGTATAATCTAATATGCCCAAAGGAGAAGCAGATGTATTATCCTGTGAGTAGATCCAGCAAACTCACTTTTGCATTATATTTTAGTATTAGGATGCAACTGAACAGAAACAGTGGGAAAGTTTCAAGGTTAGAAAATCCCTAATTTGACCTATTAATTCTGGAATTCTAAACTCTTCTGAAAAATCACATTTTATAAAGGTGGACTTATAAGTAGAACTCATCCCATGTGGCACTAAGCTATAGCCCCTGGTAAATTTCAAAACACTCTCATTTGTACAGAAAAGAGTGTAAATACTATACTGCCCTAACATCATTGTCTGTAATCTACTCTGCATAATAGAGCTGCCACTGATTTAAATATATACAATTAAATGAATATATATTATATCTGTATCTTCAGTAAAGCTTTTATCACTTATAATGTGCAGTAGAACTCCTAGAAGATTACTGCTTCTGCATTTTCTTCTGTTTCCTTGAATACCTTTGGTAATTCTGGGAAAATGGGGATATCCTGAAATTTAACAGAATCTCTACAAGGCTGTTCCCAAGTTAAAAAAAAAAAAAGGACTAAATTGAAAATCTTATTGACCATAACATCCAGGTTAAATAACCATATTAAAAATGTCAAAATTTCTAAGTGAAATTGTCCCATGTGGAAACATGTCTATTTCCTGATAATATAGTTGACCGCTTTCTATGAATCCTTTCTTCAGAATACGCTCAGAACCTAGACAGAAAAGAGGGAATTTCATAAATAAGCCTCTGTAATAAACAAGCAAGTCCATAAGAGACAAAGAAGCTTAAAAGAGCAAGGTGACAATTTAATTTAATTTAATTCAACTTAATCTAATTTAATCAAATCTAATCCTATTCATCTCAACTGTACCAAATAAGACTATCCTTTACCTAGAGACAGTTTGCACCTTTTTTTGGCCTCATCAATTAAATAGTCAATTGAAGCCCTGATTCCAGTATGATTCAATCATAACACTTGATTAAAAAGACTCCAGAAAACTCCTTGTTGATTTAGGAGAGTTTTGCATACATCAGGTGGGAAACGCATGTCATTGAATGCATGATGATAGTGTTATCTTTCTACATTCAGTATTGAAAACCAATTCAAAAAAGACACTTGATTATATCCTCCACTGCTCTTAACTGGACAAATTTTACCCTTTATTTTAGAGTATAACTCATTTGCCTGGAAATGGGTGTATGTTTGCTGTATATGTCCTTACCAGTAGTATCTAAAAACCAAACTTCTTACCTGCAGATTGCAAAACTCATTTAAATTCTGAACACCAGATATACATTGGTAAGCTCGGCTTTAGAGGTACATTTGTCCTTTATCCTAGAGCCATCTGTAACCTAGACAAAACAATTATGCAGAACATTTCCATACAATTTTAAAATTGCTATAAAAATCTGATAATTTACTGGTTTCTCACTCTGTGCCTAGAACTTTTCTGAATTTTCATTATGTACCAACGCATTTAATCCTAACAATAAACCTATGAGCTATATCTTGTCACTGCAGAAAGAGTAACATGACAAATTTAAGTCATTTGCCAAATGTCACAAAACTAAAAAGTGGGAAAACACAAGCTGTTTTGTGCTTTAGACAAATCACTAATTAATATGTTCATAAATTGGCGGGCATAAAAAAAGTATTGTTTCTTCTATCTTCATTTTATATTCTCACTCCTTCAATCTTCTAAAAGACCTTGCTAGGCATTCTTTGTTTCTCTCACATAAAACTTCTTTTAATTGCATTCTTTCCATTAATATTTAAATATGCTCCAATCTCCTACCTTACAACAAACAATACTAAATATAAAAATACATTAATGCCCTACCTCAGGATTTATTTTTCTTTAGTACAATCTCTTTCTAGGAAATTTTACATTATTATAAAGCTTCCATTATCATTATAACTCTAAATTTATATCTTCAGTCCTTAACTCTTCACACCATGTTACCATCATTCCTCACCTCCTAGGCCTCCCACTACAAGTAATGGCTTCTTCATCCATTCATTCGGTAAGCCAGAAGCCTAGAAGTCACGCTGCCTTACAAACCTCTCTCCGATTCCATCACAATGTCTTATAACTTCTACCTTCTAATTTTCAAGTATATCCATTTATATCACATGACCCTAGATCAAGCTATAATTTTTTTTCTAATTGAAAAGAAATGCTCTAAAAAAAAATCCCTTCTTACATTTTTGCTGTGCTATAATTTATTCTCCACTCTGTAACCAGGGTGATTATTTCAAAAGAGACATATAACAAGGACATTTTACCAATTAAGTCTCTTTCAATAGCTTCAAATGTGTCCTATGATAAAAATCCTTAGCCTGACCACAAAGGTTTGAGTGGTCTGGTGCCTTACCACTGCCTGACCACACTGTAGGAGTCTGGCCTGTCCATCTCTGCATGTCAGCTTCAACTCCCTTCCTCAGTTCCTTGCTCCTTCATATTAGAAACTCTGGACCTGCTTCTCCCTCTATGCAGAATTTTCCCATATTGCACCCCAATTTTAACTTCGAATTGAGTTTCATTTCCTCAGAGAAATCACAACCTGAGCCCTCAGAGTAAATTAGATCCCTTTAACATCGTTTAGAAAGGCTATCTATGTTTCTTTTTATAATCCTGATCAGTTCTTTTGACACATTAATATTTACGATTATTATTATGTGTCTCCCTAACTAGAAATTAAACTATGTGAAGACAGCTAAAATGTCTTTTTTTTAAATGCCCATATCTCTATCATTTGACATGCAAATTGCACTTGGTAGATGCTTGATACATATTTGCTGTATAAATGAATAGAAAAAAATGAAGTTAAAGGTTTTTACTTTCCAGTGCTTTTATGGATTTTCCATCATAAATCTTATGTATTATCAGTTTTCTTTCAGTTTAAAATAACTTTTTAGGAAGAATTGCTATTTCTTTAGCTAAAATGTTAACTTGGGGGGGTCTTAGAAAAGAACAGCTGTTCCAAAGTATAAAATAGAACTCAGAAACTGAAAAGAATTTTCAAGGAATTTAGTCTATTATGCCTCCACTTTCTTGGCTTGAGAACAAAATTATTCTTACCTAAAACTTACTGGCACTAGGATTTAATGGGCATAATGCATGTGACAGTCCTTCTCAGGAAATGAACACAAAGAAAATGAAAAAGAGTGATTGACAGAAACATAAATACAATAGAGAATAAACTGGGAAAGCACATGTCTGGATTACTATCTGACACTAAAAGCTATTAAAGGTGACAATAGCTTCATTATTTTCTACACTGTCTTTTATGCAAAACATACTCAAAGTGACCTAGAGTGACCTCTTGCCAAATGGCACAGCTTGGGGGTTTTCAGTGCATGTTGGATTGACACTATATTTTATTCATTTTTGCACTGACAGTGGCAGGAGTATCTAATAATATAAAGACCAGAGAATCTGCCTGTATGATATTCAGGTCACTTCTTCCAGGTCCTTTCTATTCGAGACAACTGTGATGTTGCCTGTGCAAAAGTAGGAATTGAGGACAAGAGGTGAGGTGATGAAGCAGGAGCTTCAACACTTTTCTAGAACCAACTTCTTAGGCCTATGTTAAGTAAATAGTCAATAATCATCATGCAGGATGTGAATATGACTATTGCATTAGTGTGTTTTCACACTGTTGATAAAGACATACCGGAGACTGGGAAGAAAAAGAAGTTTAATTGGACTTAACAGTTTCAATGGCTAGGGAGACCTCAGAATCGTGGCAGGAGGCAAAATGCCCTTCTTACATTGTGGTGGTAAGAGAAAAATGAGGAAGAAGCAAAAGCGGAAACCCCTGATTAACGCATCTGATGTTGTGAGACTTATTCACTACCATGAGAATAACATAGAAAGGACCAGCCCCCATTATTCAATTACCTCCTCCTAGATCCCTCCCATAACATGTGGGAATTCTGGGAGATACTATTCAGGTTGAGATTTGAATGGGGACACAGTCAAACCATGTCAATTATATAATACTTTTTGAATAATAGATCATCCAGTCAAAGAAAATGAACACAAAGGAAAAGGGAACATGCAATTAAAATACTTTCTACAGTGCAGTCTTTCTCCTCCAACTATATATTTTTCTTTACGGTTTTTGGCTATTAATCCTGACCTTCCTGTTTGCCATGTGAAGTCAAGTTGCCCCAGTGATGGAGCTCTGCCAGTTATGGGACTTTCAATCCTGTTCATGCTGCCGTGCTTTCTTTTACTACTAATACTGCTAGGGCTTGTCTATTTTTAGAAGGAGATAAATGCACACAATTTGTCACAGTGCATTCTGTAATGCCACATAGATTTGAGGAACCAATGGTCAGAGTCATATAAAGCTTTAATATAAATATATCCTCAGAGCTAATAATTGACTAAAACTATTACAGACGTTTAGACCTACCTTCTTCCCAGCCATAAGACAGGAAGGATTCAAATGACTATAAGAAAGTGCTGACCCCATAGTCATTGCTTTCTAAAGATGGAAAATCAAGGTCATTTTTGGAGTTTTCTGGTTCTTTATCACAATAGTTTTTACCCTGGCCAACATGGTGCAACCCCATCTCTACTAAAAAAAAAATAGAAAAATTAGCCGGGAGTGATGGTGGGCACCTGTAATCCCAGCTACTTGGGAGGCTGAGGCAGGAGAATTGCTTGAACCCGAGAGGTGAGTTTGCAGTGAGCCAAGATCGCGCCACTGCACTCCAGTCTGGGCGACAGAATGAGACTCTGTCTCAATAATAATAATAATAATAATAACAATAATAATGAATTGGACAACAACATGATCAAACTGATACAGACATCTTTAAGACTCATATGAATGAAATCTTTTGAGTCCATATGTTATTAAAATTGTTCCTACCTACTTAATGCAAATAAGAAAATATAAAATGAGAATTAAGTGCATCTAAATAAATTAGGTCAAAATGATGGAAACACTCTTATTAAAAGCTCACTGTATAAGCAGGAACACCTGGAATGGGAAATGTAGTTTGAGTCATAGGGTATTACTATGTCATAGGCATAGGCAATAATACCTCAGTAGTATTACTAGTCAGAGGAAAGTAAGGAAAAAAGTGTTTCTGGCCATTTCAAGTAGGCATAAAAGCTGCTGAATATATAAAGTGCAAAAACACCCTAGCAGCCAAAAGAGAGAATAACTGAACAAGAGGATGACTTAATCTCTATTGTGAATGCATTACCAATGTGATTTGCAGAAGGTTAGAGAAACAAAGGGATACACAAAGTGGGAACAATGCCTGCGGGATCAGCAGAAAAAATCAATAACAATTTGGTGTGTGTACTATGGGAGAAAACATCTCTCCGTTTTGTTATTAAAATGGGAATAGGTTAAACAGGAGACCCAGGACTTTGTTTAGGTGTGATAGATGGCATGCTCTCAGTAAGTTTATTTAGTTTCTAAGATTAAACTCGTCTGCAGTTCTTGGGAAGAGAGAATGGAGTGGTTGAGCTTTTATGGTGTTCTTAATACTTCCTTTTTTAGGGCAGTTTTTTTCTTAAATACTTACTATAATATTACCAAATAGGAAATCTGATTTAAAAACACACATTTGACTTATGACAGTAAAAATTAACATAGAACAGTTCATGTGCATTAATATTTGAAAAAATAAATCTATGGCCCTCACAAAAGCAGATGGCTACATTATATTCACTATGTCACAGGAGTGGGGTGCTAGATTATAAAAAAAAAAAAGACATCAATATAATTAATTGGATGTTATAGTGAAACAAGAAAGTAAAACAATCAGCATCTTAAATATAATAAATCTTGTAGGATAGAATTCCAGAGCCATTGAGAGGAAATATATTATGATTCCTTGTTATCTATAAATCACCAGACAAAAGATAATGGGAAGCACAGAAAACATTTTATATTTCCACTATAGCCTGGTTTTCACCCTTTATATCAGGACATTCAAATGGGTATTTATGTATAATCACCTTATTGTACTGTGAGAAGACAGTATTATATAAACTGGTAAATTCTTGTTTTCTTCAAAAACACCATTGTCATATAATTTTTGTATATATTGTAATTTGAACACAAGATAAGCTGGCTTTCCATGAATAATTCAGTTTTATTAATTCATCTGTATAAAAGAGAGTAAATTACCTAACATGTACAAGTTAATATGATGGAACACCTTTATATTATTTAACATTCAATTTCTATTTTATTGCCACAAAATGCATGCTGAAAATAAAACATGGTCCTGTATGAAGCAATGTCACTGTAACATAAGCATTTCCATAGAGGTATCGACATGTTATTAAAAAACAAATAATAGAGGAGCCTTTGTTTTCAAGACTGGGGTAAAATCTTGTATCTTGAGTTTGTTCATGTAATTTTTTACTAAGTTTATTTATTCAGTAAAGTTATATTTATTGGAATACTACTCTGTACTAAACATAGTGTTCAGCTTGTAGTTGAACATATAAACCTGAAGCTCAGGAAAGATGTCTTGGCTGGAGATACAGATTTCAAAGTTATCAGCCTATAAATTCTAATTTAAACTATGGGAAAAGATAAGGTGATCTAGAAAGAGCAGGCAGAATAAGGCGAAAGAAGCAGTGTAATAGTGAAACATTGTAGAACACTTACATTTTGGGGTCTAGAAAAAGAAGATTCCATAGGTGTTATGAGAAATGACAAGAAGGTGGAAAATAAGTAGAATGATTGCATGAGAACTGAGTGTCCAGTGAGTACGAACGAAACAATTTGTGGAAGCGTCAGTCTGTAAGGATGCATGATTTTCTCTAGCAACGTTTAACATTATGAGGAGTGGAGGTAGATGGCTTGATTGAGCAAATTATAAGGGTTTTTATAATGCTTATGCCAAAAACCATATAAATGAGGAGGAAAAAACATCCAAACAATCAAATCAAACATGGAAACTGAAAATAAAATGTTGATATGATTAACCACTGATGCTGGAGTTCATAGGAAATAAACTGAAACAATGGGAATAGGAGAAAAGTTAGTGAGAAATTGAATCTCCAAAGACATGATAAAGATAAAATACTATATAGTAAAAGTAATGAAGTAAAAAGCTGAAATGAATGGAGACTGTGATTAGCAATTAGTATTTGGAACTTATTTTATTAGAGGTAATAAAATTATAAGTTATGATAAAATCCAGATTGTGGTCATGGGAAAGGGTGTCTAAAGTAGAGTGGAAGTTGAAAGAACTGAGATCCAAGAAGTCAAACATTTGTGAAAACAAGGCGCCTAGTGGGCTAGCCACATATTCTTTGCAGTCATTATGGAGGCTATCAGTATTTGGAATAAAAAGAAATACTTTCAGCCATGTTCCAAAAGGGCGGCAGCAGAAAACAGTATAAAAGGATAATAAGTAGAAGCAAAACTTCAAAAACAGGAGAGCTTTCCCAGGAGTTCAACAGCAATAATCAGGAATTAGCAATGAGAATTTCAAAAAATGCAGATTGCGGCGGGGCGCGGTGGCTCACGCCTGTAATCCCAGCACTTTGGGAGGCCGAGATGCGCGGATCACGAGGTCAGGAGATTGAGACCATCATGGCTAACACGGTGAAACCCCGTCTCTACTAAAAATACAAAAAAAAATTAGCCAGGCGTGGTGGCGGGCGCCTGTAGTCCCAGCTACTCAGGAGGCTGAGGCAGGAGAATGGCGTGAACCCGGGAGGCGGAGCTTGCAGTGAGCCGAGATCACGCCACTGCACTCTAGCCTGGGAGACTGAGCGAGACTCCGTTTAAAAAAAATAAAAATGCAGATTCCATCTATGTAAATAAAATGTGTACACCAGTTTGAAAATAAAATGTGCACACCAAACTGTGCACAGCGGTTTGTCCTCCACAGTAAATGGAGTGGAAATGTATGAAGGTTATCCTCTGCAGGACGAACTGGTGTGCACAGGAGAGTGTCAGATTGTAGTTGAGTCCAAATGTTGGCAAACATATTTGAATGAAAATTTAAGCATGTAGTTAAAGGACTGGTCTGACATGAAAAAGTGATCAGTGGGGAGGAAATGCAGAGTAAGTTAGGGCTAAGATATACGTGGAAAGTTGGCCAACTTACCTAAATTTTACATGTAGCTATGAATAGCATATTTGATGGATGAATAGCATTATTCATAAGTTGTAGCAACAATCAGGCTGGAAAAGGTAGCAAAGTCCAAACAGTGAAATTTAATTGACTACATATATAAGTTTTTATATTAGCATTGAAAAATTTGGAAAGAAATTAAACATTTTGCTCAAATATGTAGTATAATCAGATTTGGGTTTAAAATGTTTTTCCAACCTCAGTGAGAATAGACTGGGGGCAAATGACACTTGAGGAAGGGAGAACAATTATCTATGTATCACCATTCTCAGCCACCTCAACTACCCTGCTGTGTCACAGTCTGGAAACCTAAAAACTATTTTCCAGAATCCTTTGCCCACAGAGTTCTAGGTTATATTGTAAAAGTGAAGGTAATGGTTTATAACGTAAAGCCAGAAGGGAACAACAACCAATTCCCTTTCCTTAGAGGTTTCAAGGAAGTGAGTGAAAAGGCTACATATCTGAAATCTCATCAATTTCCTAGAAAACACCTTCGATTCTCAAGCTTCAGTACTCCAAGAGTCTAAGATCATCAACAACAATTTCTTGCAATGCTTGCCCTCCTAATTGCATAAAATCCCTGGCCTGTGTTCTACCAGCCCTTTAGATATGTGTATCTAATTCCCTGTATTAAATATTTACCACTGAGAGATCTAGAGTGATTTCTGTGTCTTCCAACCAAACTTGACTGATGTAAAATTTTGTAACATAAATGATTCCGAGGTGGGAAATAAATTGGTTATCTAACTGGTTTCATTTGAAAACAGTAATAACACCACTGCTAATATAAAAGGGATACTAGTAGCCTCCAACATGTCTGTAGTTGCCTGGAAAGAAATATTTCTTAAGGGTATGGCATTGGGAAACCATGATGGTTATTGAGATAGAACTTAGTTGAAATAAGGCCTGTAAGTACTATGGATGGCTACTCTGACCATAGTTAGCTTCTGAAAAAAGTTACCAATTAAAGGCTTTAAATTTTTGACTCAAGATAAAGCTAAAAAAACAAATGTTTCTACTTGTGCTTTCAATGAATATCTACTCAATGTTAAAAATAAGACAAAAGCTAGCCTTTTGGGGTCCAAAATTACAGTTAGTTGATATTCACAAATTCTATAGAGCTATTATGTGAAACTTAGAGCATAAATTGTGGCAAAAAAAGTGATACAGAAATTTCGAATGGTGATAACTAGTGAATTCTGGTGATTCTGAATACTTGGGACTTTTGAATTTCAGTCTTTCTTTCCTGTCAGCAAAATTATCTGTTTGAGATTAGCTTCTTCTCGTTAGAAGACCCTGTGGTGAGATAATTACCTTTAAAATGGTTTCTGATTCACTCAACACCCAAATTTCAGAACCTATAGACTCATAAACAAAAGTCAAATCCCAGCTTATTTAAAAAAAAATAACAGATTTTCCCTCCAGTTTACTCTGTAAGTAGAAAGCTTATAAACTAAAATAATTGTAATACTTTTGCCAATATATATCAAAAGAAAATTAAAGAATATGTGAAGAAATTGATTTTGAAGGCGTTATACCAGGCAAGAAGAAGCATAGCAATAAAATGCAGGGATGTTGATAAATAAGACATATCACTTGTCCACAGTGTTAATTATGCTGATTGGATGAGGTACAGAAGATGTAACAAGTGCCCTGCCCATTTTTTGAGGAAACATGCTTATCATCACAAAAATTCCAAATCTGGGTCATGCCACACTGATGATGTTTTCAGTCATCTAAGGCTTGTCAAAATGTCCCTTTAAAAATAAATGACAACTTACTGCACTTATGACCTATGCCACTAAAAAAGAGACAAAACTCTTGTATTAGTCTGTTTTCACCCTGCTACAAAAAACTATCTGAGTCTGGGTAATTTATGAAGAAAAGAGGTTTAACTTACTCACAGTTCTTCAGGCTGAACAGGAAGCATGATTGGGAGACCTCGAGAAACTTAAAATTACTGCAGAAGGTGAAGGGGAGGCAAGTACCTTCTCCACATGGTGTTAGGAGAGAGAGACTGAGGGGGAAGTGCCACACACTTTTAAACCATCAGATCTTGTGACAACTCACTCACTGTCACATTAATCATGCTCTGTTCTAACACTATAGATCACTTTTTAACCTTCAGTTAATACTTTCTGCTTGCTCTGCACTTATTTAAGTTCTTGGTTTAGACAAAGCCTAGGGGAATTCCATCCCCATGATCAAATCACCTCTCACCAGCTCCCTCCCTCCATATGAGGGGACTGCAATTCCACATGAGATTTGGGTGGGGACACAGAGCCAAACCATATCAACTCTTGTTGAGCCTCCTGGGATTCTGGAGCCAACACATTTCACACTTGAGCATGCATGCTACTTCTAACCATTTACCACAAAGCCCATAGCCATAGAATTTGAGTGATGATCAGAGTATGTAAATATTCTGCAGACAGTGGAGACTTCAGCAAAAGATGCTCAGCCAATTGAAACTTGTCAAATGGAAGATGCAATGATGCTCAAAGTGTTTATCACCATACAGGATGCAATATTCAATCACCATTTGTTTGAAGAAAAGCCATTCTCTCTTCCACAAACAACTATTTTCACTTTAAGAAACAAACTCTTGGCTTGCTATTCGATTTGTACATACTAACTAACATTATATTCTTCTCTTCTTCCCACATTATTTTATATGAGGCATTGTATAATACTTTTTTCTTAGAGTTCTCATTTTTTCTTTAAGTTTCAGGATGTAAAGGTACTTGGTTAATGAACTGGAAGTGTAATAATTAATATTTAATAAATATTGCACAGAGGTGGTTAGAGAGTTTGATGAGAGTCTGTATCTCTTCTTTTTAGGGGTGCACATATCTGTCCTTGTATAAGACTGTTAGACCCTCCCAAAAAAAATGACAAAAACAATCAAACATTATGTTAGGTCGTGTCTTAGTCGGCTTGGGCTTTTATAATAAGATAAAATAAACTTTTTTTTTTTCTTCTTTTCTGAGACGGAGTCTCGCTCTGTCGCCCAGGCTGGAGTGCAGTGGCGCAATCTCGGCTCACTGCAAGCTCCGCCTCCCGGGATCACGCCATTCTCCTGCCTCTGCCTCCTGAGTAGCTGGGACTACAAGCGCCCACCACCATACCCGGCTAATTTTTTTTTTTTTTTTTTTTTTTTTGTATTTTTAGTAGAGATGGGGTTTCACCATGTTAGCCTGAATGGTCTCGATCTCCTGACCTGACCTCGTGATCCGCCCGCCTCAGCCTCCCAAAGTGCTGGGATTACAGGCGTGAGCCACCGCGCCCGACCAAGATAGCATAAATTTTGTAGCTCCCAATGGCCCACCTCTAAATACCATTACTTTGGGGATTAAATTTCAATATAGGAATTTTTCGGGGACCCATACATTCAGCCCATAGCATAGGACTACCTGCTATTGCTTTTATCATTAAGAGTTTAGGTATAAAATAAGTATTTCTTAAATGTCAGGAATTCAAGGATGAGAACTGAATCATATATGGTTTGTGGATATTCAACACTATCCCTATCATTCAAAACTCTCCTTGTATAGCACACATTAGAAATACTAAACACTATAATTTTTAGATTCTTGTCATCAGAATTTCAGTTTAGATTTTGATAATAATAGGCATTTGTATGAAATTACATAGGTAGAAAGCAGAAGTAATTTTTTTCTCTTCCAATAGTGGCTGATGTATGTGTAGCCAGGCAATAGAGCAACTTGCAGAGGCACCCTGGATATTTTCTTCAAATCACCTTGTTCAGTTCAGCAGACAGCTGAGCTCATAGACAGTCTGTACTTTCTCATTCCCTAAAGCCAGCGGTGGTTCCCTCTGACCTTTACTCACCCAGCCTTTCCAATGGTTTTGTAAGAATCTATTTTCCTGTATTAAAGTTTATCTACCAAGATATTTAGATTCCCAATTAAATTCTTACTCATATAATGTAGTAATATGGAAGTAAAAAGGAAACACAAATTAATCTTAACCAAGAGGGAAATAGGTGAATTTTTGCCTACAAATTGTGATACTTCCTTCTGACCTAATATTTAATAATTATGATTTACTATGCTCATTCAATAAAAACACAGAACAAGTGAATAATATAGTTACTTTTGTTTTTGCTAACTCCACATTTGTTCTGAGATTAAATGAAATGCTACTAAGCCAGGTAGGCAAACAAGAAACAAACTGTTTTTGAGCAACTGCTGTAAACACTTTAAAACCATATTGGTCAGGCACCAATTAAGTGATATACAATAATTGTCACAAATCATTCACAACAATCTTTCTGAAACTCAGTTTTCTTATAAGTGAAATAAAAGTAAAATATCTCACAGAGAAGTAGATAGAAATAAGTGCAAGAATATATGCTAACATTGTCAACAGTAATTTGTGGTTCAATTGTTAGTTACCATTTTTGTTACTACTGTAGTGTTGATTTATAATACCTTTCTAAGATTTTAATCATCATTTAAACAGAAATAAGAAAATCTTATTTTCTAGTGATTACTATAAATCTGCCATAATTAAAAGAAAAATGAGGAAGACTTGTTTAGCAGTCTTTCTGAGAAGAGTCTGATTAAAGAAATTCTATTAGTTCCACTGTTGGCAAATAAGAGGTTTCTGACAATGTATTCTGTATTTGTTTCCCAGTGGTTAATAACTCACCACAACCACCACAAGATGCCAGTGACGGTTCCTCTGGTCTCATATTCTCTCCACCTGACTCTTAAAAAGGCCAGCCAAATGGACCAGCCAAATATGACTGGAGCGAAAACTAATTTTACTAAATGCACTCACATTACATTCATGACCGCTCATCTCAAATGGATCCTGGATGTTGCTGAACTTTCCTATTACATTTCTCTAATCTACTTATCCTCTTCACTGGCTTTCTACACTTTCTCCTCTCTTGAAATTTTGCCACCATCTCCTTTATTCTTGAAAGCTTAGATCCTATTTACCTTTAAAATAATAAAAATAAGTCTGCTGTAATAGCCTCAATTCTTATCTACCTATTTTTCACACTACCCACAGTTGCAATTTTAACACTGTTGGTGCAACTGTTGCCCTTCTTGTCCCTCCACCCCCAACCACTCAACTGGAAGCTCCTGGAGGCATGAACTCTTTCTCACTGTGGCAACTCCAGCATTTAACTCAGACTATCTGCTCTCTGTGCAGGTAGGTGTTCAGTAAACATTGATTGAAAACAAACGACAAAAAAAGGAGCTTCAACTCAGTACTTTAAAAGCTAAGAAAAGTCAGTTAAGAGAATAAATAGTAAAAACAAAATTTTATAAACAAAAACCAAAAGAGTAAAAATAAAATCTGAGAATTCCCACTGGCTCTCACCACATCTGTACTTCTACGGGAGGCCTCCCTAATCTCTGTACCAAATACTATATCATTTGACCTCAGTGACTGGAATCTAGTAATTTTACTTTTAATTCTATAAAAATTAATTTATCTTTCCTTACTGGATCATTCGTATCAGTATACAAACATGCTTTTTTTCTTCAATGGTTAAAAAACACTTCCAATTTCAATTCATCTAAGGTTAACCACACCATTTCTTTGATCCTCAGTAAACTCTTAATGAGATTGACAGTGTCAGCTATCTTCAAGTTCCCTCTTCTCATTCTATGCTTCCAGATAGGTGCAGTGGCTCACGCCTGTAAGCCAAGCATTTTGGGAGGCTGAGGCAGGAGGATCACTTGGGCCCATGAGTTTGAGACTAGTTTGAGCAACATGACAAAACCCCATCTCAACAACAACAACAACAACAAATATTAGTCAGGAGTGGTGGCAAACACCTGTAGTCCCAGCTACTTGGGAGGCTGAGATGGAAGGATTACTTGAACCCAGGAGGCAGAGGTTGCAGTGAGCCATGACCATACCACTGCACTCCTGCAAGACTCTCCTAAAATAAATAAATAAATAAATAAATAAATAAATAAATAAATAAACTTTTTCCATGAATGTTCACCTTCAACCACTCCATCAAAAGGCATTTTGTCACATCACCAATGTCTTCACTTTGTTAAATCCAAGGATTAATTCTCAGTTCTGATCAGTTTAGATATGCTTAGCCAGTCCTTCATTCTACAACCCATTACTTGGATTCTAGGGCCTCTTGTTCCACCAGGTTTCTTCCTACCACATTCACCATTTTTTTATTTTTTTGCAGTTGCATTTTCATTTTGCTGACTTCTTAATACTGAACCTTAGTCTTAGACCCTGTATTAGTTTTCTAGAGCTGTTGCAACAAAGTACCACAAACTGAGTTGCTAAAACAACAGAAATTTATTATCTCACAGTTCAAGAGACTAGAACCTCAAGATCAAGGTATTGGCCGGGTTTGTTCCTTCTGGGAACTGTGAAGGAAAATTGATCCCAACTTCTCATAGAGGTTGGTGGTTTGCTGGCAATCTCTGCTGTTCCTAATCTCTACTTTCCTGTTCACATGGCATTCTCCCTGTGTCATGTCTTTGTCCAGATGTCCACTTTTTATAATTACACCAATCATATTGGACTATGACCCACCCTATCCTAGTATGACTTCACCTTGATTAATTATATCTACACTGAATCCATTTCTAAATAAAGTCACATTCTGAAATACTAGGGATTAATACTTTAACATGTATTTGAGGGAACATAATTCAACACATAATAAACTATTTATCTTCCCTTCCCTAACACACACTGTTGTATATGTCATCTAGATTTATAGTTTTACATTATGTCTATACACTGAAGGTGCCCAAATTTATGCTCTGGACTAAACTTCTTCCCTGAATTCCAGATTTGAATATTTTCTTAGTCCATTTGTGTTGCTATAAAGGAATAGCTGAGACTGGGTAATTGATATATAAAATAAGTTTATTTGGCTCACAATTTTGCAAGCTGTACAGGAAGCACAATGCCCATATCTGTGTCTGGTGAGCGCCTGAGGAAGCCTACAATCATGGTGGAAGGGAAGGGGAGCCAGCGTGTCACATGGTGAGAGAGGGAGCAAGAGAGAGAGGGAGGAAGTGCCAGGCTCTTTAAAACAACCAGAGGCTGGGTATGGTGGCTCACGCCTGTAACCCCAGCACTTTGGAAGGCCGATGTGGGGGGAACACTTGAGGCCAGGAGTTCAATACAACCCTAGACAACATGATGGAACCTCGTCTACTAAAAATACAAAAATTAGCTGGGTATAGTGGTACATGCCTGTAACCCAAGCCACTCTGGAGGCTGAGGCAGGAGAATCGCTTGAAACTGGGAGGCAGAGGTTGCAGTGAGCTGAGATGGTGTCACTGCACTCCAGCCTGGGCAGCAAAGCAAAACTCCATCTCAAAATAATTAATTAATTAATTTTAAAAAATAGCCATGACTCAGGTGGGAGGCTACCAAGCCATGACACAAACACCTCCCTCCAGGCTCCACTTCCAACACTGGGGATTACATTTCATCAAGGGATTTGGAGGAGAAAAACATCCAAATCATATGATATATCCAAATATATCTTCTACTTTGGTATATAACTGAAATTCAAACAAGCAAACAGTCTTGTAAAATGAACTCTCACCTAATCCTAAGTGTGGACAATAACATAAACTTAATAAGCACCACAAATATGCCCTACACATCAATATACTCTTCATCCCCTAGGGGTAAGCAACAGTCTTTAACACCATTCATCCTTTGCTTTTTAAACTAAGCATACCTAAAAAATATAGTTTAATATTGCTGTTTTTGAATTGTATCTAGATGAAATTATACATGATTTATTCTACTGTGCCTCAGTTCTTTTGTTCAAAATTGTATGGGTAAGATTTGTTCATGTTGTTACTTTTCATTGTGTTTTATTCATTGCTAGAATACTACTTCATAGAAAGAATATCTCATCATTTTTTATTCATAATATTATGGTAAACTTTGGGGCTGTCTTCATTTTTTTATTGTAAACATTAATGTAACAGACATTTTTGAACATGTATCTCTGTGCAAAAAAGCATGAATTTCTATGGGCTGTAGGCATAGGAATAGCATTACAGTGTCATAGGTATGTACATCTGCACATTCACTCAATACTATTGCTTTAATTTGGATATCTGACCCTCCAAATCTCACGTTGAAATTCGATCCCCAATGTTGGAAGTGGGGTCTAATGGGGACAGATCCTTCATAAATGTTTTGGTGTCCTCCTTGTGGTAATGAGTTAGTTTTCATTCTATTAGTTTCTACAAGAACTGGTTGTTAAAAAGAACCCAGCACCTCCCTCCCCTCACTGTCTTGTTTCCTTTCTCACTATGCGATCCCCTTCATATTCTGTCACAAATGGAAGCTTTCTGAGGCCCTCATCAGAAACAGGTGTTGCCACCATGCTTCTCTTTTTGAGACGGAGTCTCGCTCTGTCACCCAGGCTGGAGTGCAGTGGCACTATCTCGGCTCACTGCAACCTCTGCCTCCTGGGTTCAAGCGAGTCTCTTGCCTTGGCCTCACAAGTAGCTGGGATTACAGGAACACACCACCACGCCTGGCTAATTTTTTATATTTTTAGTAGAAACGGGGTTTCACCATGTTAGCCAGGATGGTCTTGATCTCCTGACTGGTGATCTGCCCACCTCGGCCTCCCAAGCCACCATCCTTCTTGTAGAGCCTGAGGAACTGTGGGACAAATAAACCTCTTTTCTTTATAAAGTCTCAAGTAAGCCACCATCCTTCTTGTAGAGCCTGAGGAACTGTGGGACAAATAAACCTCTTTTCTTTATAAAGTCTCAAGTATTCCTTTACAGAAACATTAAATTAAATAAGACAACCATAAAATATTTTTCAAAGTTATTTTATTAAAATTTGGTCAAGAAAACTGAAGCCACTCTCTATATTCCACATATTAAATGTTGATATCCTAAAAACTGCTTTTTTTTGTATCAATAGTAGAAATAATGAGGAAACTAAAATGTCTGCTCAACCACCCACCCCCATCGAACCCTCATGCTAAGTCAGTTCAGCAAAATCCAGGATATCAAATATCAACAAGACAAATAAAACTACAGTCTTTTTAGCAAAATAATATAAGAAAAGACTTAGAAACTTAAGAATGAATAATGGAGGCATTAAATATCTGGTAGATAAAACAACTCCAGGAAAAAATTACCTTCAAGCAGAAAAAACTCAACAAAGCAGGGTCATGCAGTTTGACATATTTATTGCATTAATGGCACTAAGAATGACCTGTCTCTTTCCATGATCTTTGCTTTCTACCTTTGTGGTCACCTCCCATTCTGGCTCTGAGCTTAGCTGTATGATGTTCTTTAACCAATCAGATGTTTAAAATATATTGGCAAAGGTTCGATAAAAAGTCTTGCATACATTTCTAATTGCTCTATTACCCTCTTGCTTCTGCTAGGAAAACAAGCTTATGTTACTATAGAAGAATGAGAGATCACCTGGGCAAATATAAGACATTTTAGATGATCCATAATAGAATTACTAACCTCCAGTCTGTCTGCCAGCTCCACAAAGACACAAGAGCAAACCCAGGTAAGATTACTTCAACCTGGCCCACATAGCGAAACTAAGTTGCTGACCCAGGGATGTGTTTTAAAGCGCTAAGTTTTGAAATGGTTTGTTATATTGTATTCTTGTTGGAATAAAGGACTAATGTAATCACCGTGAAAAAGAAATGCAAAATCTCAGAGAAGAGATTATGAAATAAAAGCAAGTTGTGGAATAGAAAGAAAATAAATTGGAAAATAAATGACAAAAATTATTTCATAAAAAAGACAATTTCAAGGTGCACAAAGAAGATTATATATGACAAAAAACATAATAAGAGAAATGTAGAATAGCTATGAGAAAATAAAACAGGGAAATAAACAGAAGAGATCTAAAAAAATGGAAGAGAGAAAATTATGGAAATGGTAGAAAGGTGTAGGATCTTAATTCTTAGTTCTGGAATCTAAAAAATAATATTTTAAAAATATTTTCAAATTGCTTTTATGTTTGTGGGTTCTCTATATTTTCCAGGTGTGATTTTTTAAAGTATTGGGCTTTCTGATTATGAAGCTTTATATCCCTCATAAATTCTAGGGAAAATATCATTTACTGCATCTATAAATATTGCCGTCACCTATTGATGCAGGGTTTTTTGCTCCTTAGTTCAGCTAAATCGGAGTTCTTGTCTCACAACCAGGGAAAATTAGGTATGTGGACACATTGGAGGGTGAAGAGGACATAATTTATTAAGTGAAAGGAAAGCTCTCAGCAAAGAGAGGGGTCCTGCATCCAGGTTACCACCTCACAATTGAAGTACCAGGACTTCCACGCAGGGGCTGAAGAGCCAGGCTCCTTCCCAGCAAAAGACACAAATTCCTGGTGGCTACACCCTGTTCCCCCAGGGTACATGTGGGCCCTTAGTCTGAGCCACTCCACATTAATTTATTTCCCTTACTGTGCATGTGTTAAGGCACAGAATTGTTCACCATGGGCATGCTTAGGCGAGCCCTCTGTGCAAAATGACTTGGGTGGGTGAGAGGCTCTCCAGGGACCCTTCCCTATATGCCTAGACATTTGGCTGTCGCCTGCCTCTATCATTATAATTTCTTTATTTCTGGAACTCATCTTGCATATGTGACAGACATTCTCATTTTGTCCCTCATGACTTACATTTCCCTTATATTTTCTATCTCTTTCTTCCCTGTACTGTAATTTCTTCATATATTCTTTCCACTCCACTAAGTTTTTTTTTTCTCTTCAGCTATTTCAGAACCTCTTTTAAAAATACTCATAGATTACTGGGAAATGGCAGAGTAGGGACCGGCAAAAGACCATCCACCATAGAAACAATGTCAAACTGGCCAAAACTTACTACGACTCAAAGATTGAGAACAATTAAGTGAATTCTTAGTCAAGGAAGAGGTAATGAAACATGGTAGGAGAGAGTTCTGTGTCATTTTAACCTCCCCCTTTCTCATTACCCCCTTCAGTTTCATTGGTGGTTTTGAAGAGCACAGTCATGTTCCTTCTGTGGGTCCCTGACTGCAAAGGGACCCCAGCAGACTTTGTTTTTAAAGAATTGTGGTTGTCATCTTTGACTAGTCTGGGCCTTCCTGAAGGACTAACACAAAAATCTTGCCTTTATTTTGCATAACTGGGAATTCTTTCATGGTGAACAATCAGAAATTCTGAGAACCTTCCTTGAAATCATTGAACAGCAAATGAACAAGCTGTTGCCAACCTGGGGTAGAAGACAGCAGGTGAGTCAAACAGCACATATGCTGAAAGAAAGCTGGGGACAGTAAGACTTTGGGGAATTCAGGCTTTGAAAATCTCCCATGTATACCAGGGAATATAGGTTGCCTGCATGCCCTGAGTGGCAAACATGCTCAGAAAAGCCCTGAGAAGTCATTTATTTCTGCATTTTTTCTTCTTTTTTTTAAACAATTTTCACTATTTTTAAATGTATGGATTAGTAGTGTTAAGTACAGTGGGCCCTCTGTATCCACATGTTGCACATCCACAGATTCAATCAACCACAGATTGAACATATTAGAGAAAAAAGACAAAAATAGCAATCCACTACTCAGAAGGCTGAGGCATAAGGATTCACTTGAACCCAGAAGTTTGAGACCAGCCTGAGCAACATAGTAAGACCCCATCTCCAAAAAGGCAATACAACAATAAAAAATACAAATAAAATAATATAATAACCATTTACATAACATTTGCATTGTATTAAGCATTATAAGTAATCAAGCGATGATTTAAAGTATAGAAGGGGATGTGTGTATGTGTGTGTGTGCGTGTGTGTGTGAGAGAGAGTTATATGCAAATACTACCCCATTTTACATCAGGGACAAGTATCCATGAATTTTGATTTCTGCTGGGGTTCCTGGAACAAGATATCAAGGGGCAGCTATACATTCTCATTGTGCAACCAATCTCCAGACTCTTTTTGTCTTGCAGAATTGAAACTATATCCCCATTAAACCACTTACCATTTCTCTCTTCTTTCCAGCTCCTGGCAACAACCATTTTACTTTTGTTTCTGTGGTTTCTACTACTTTAGTACCTCATAAAAGTGGAATCATACAGTGTTTGCTATTTCAGACTAGCTGCTTTCATTTTGCATAATGTCCTCAAGATCCATTCACATTTTAACATATGTCAGAATTTTCTTCTAAGACTGAGTAATATTTCATTGCATGTATATGCCACATGTTGTTTATCTGTTCATCCACTGATGGACATTTGTTTGCTTCCACCTCTTTGTTATCGAGACTAATACTGTTATGATCATGAGTGTGTACATATCTCTTTGAGATGCTGCTTTCAATTCTTTTACATACACAATCAGAGGTGGGATTGCTGGATCATATGGTAATCCCATTTTTAAATTTTTGAGGAACCCTCATACAGTTTCCACAGCAGTTGCGTGATTTTACATTCTAACAGGGTTACAATTTTTCCACATCCTTAGAAATATCTGCTTTTCTCTCTTTTTGTCTTTTGTTGATAGTAGCCATTCTAAGAGGGAGATAATGTCTCATTGTAGTTTTGATTTGCATTTCTCTAATGATTAGTATTGCTGAACATCTTTTCATATGCTTGTTGATCATTTGTATATCATCTTTGGAGAAATGTTTATTCACTCCCCTTTTCCATGCTTTAATTGTTTTGTTTCTTCTGCTGTTGTTGTTTTGTACAAGTTATTTATATACTCTGGATATTAATCCTTTATCAGATAATGCTTTGCAAATATTTTCTCCCTTTCCACAGGTTGCCTTTTCACTTTGTTGGTAGTGTCCTCATTGTACAAAAGAGTTTTATTTGGATAAAATCCCTTGTTCACTATTCTTTTCATGGCTCATGTTTTTGGTATCATATCCAAAGAATCTTCGCCAAATCCAATGCCATGAAAGATTTCCCCTATGTTTTCTCATAGGAGTTTTTATAGCTTTGGATTTACATTAAGTTTTTAATCCACTTTGATTTAACTTTTGTATATGGTATAAGATAAGGATCCAACTTTATTCTTTTGCATATGGATATCCAGTTTTCTCAACAGGACTTATTGTAGAGACTGTCCTTTCCTTCATTGAGTGGACTTGGGGCCCTTATAAAAAATCATTTGACTATATAGGTGATGATTTATTTCTGAGGTCTATATTCCATTCCATTGGCTCATATGTCTGTCTTTATGACAGGACTGCACTATTTTGTTTACTGCAGCTTTGTAATATAATTTGAAATCAGAAACTGTGAGTCCTCTGGCTATTCTTTTCCAAAATTATTTTGGCTATTTGGGTAACCTTGAGATTCTGTATTATGCTTAGCATGGATTTTTATATTTCAGCAAAAATAATTCCACTGAAATTTTGGTAAGGAAGACATTTAATCTGTAGATCACTTTGGGAAGTATTGATATTTTAATAATATTACATCTTCAATCTCCCTAAACATGGGCTATCTTTTCATTTGCTGTGTTTTCTTTAATTTCTTTCAGCAAAGTTTTCTAGTTTTCAGTGTATAAGTCTTTCACCATTTTTGTTAAATTTTTTCCCAAGTATTTTATTCCTTTTGATGCTAATGTAAATGGAATCATCTTCTTAATTTCTTTTTTCAGGCTGTTCACTGTTAGTTTATAGAAATGCAACTGATTTTTGTGGGTTGATTTTGTGTGCTGCCACTTTGCTGAATTTGTTTATTAGTTCTAAGGTGTTTTTTTGAATTGTAAATATTTCTACATATAAGATCATACCACCTGTGAATGGAGATAATTTTATTTCTTCCTCTTAAACTTGCATTCTTTTCACTTATTTTTCTTGCCTGATTCCTCTGGCTAGGACTTTCAGTGCTATGTTGAGTAAAAGTGGTGAGAGAGGATATTCTTTCTCCTGTTCCCTAATTAGGAGGAAAAACTTTCAGACTTTCTCCATTGAGTATGAAGTTAGCAGTGAGCTTTTTATATATGACCTTCATTAAGTTGATGTAGTCTCTTTCTATTCCTTATTGATTGAGTGCTTTTATCATGAAAAGGTATGCAATTTTAAAAAATATTTTCTCATCAATTGAGATGATCATGTGGTTTTTGTTTTTCATTGTTAACATGACATATTACATTCATTGATTTTGTATGTTGAACTATCCTTGCCTTCCAGGGATAAATTCTACTTAGTCATGGTATATAATCCTTTTAGTGTTGTGTTGAATTTGGTTTGGCTGTATTTTGTTGAGGATTTTTACATCAATATTAATCAAGGATATTGGTTTGTAGTTCTCTTTTTGTGTAATATCTTTCCCTGGCTTAGTATCAGAGTGATACTAACCTCATAGAATAAATTGGAAAGTGTTTTCTCCTTTTTAATTTTTACAAGAGTTTGAGAAGGATTAGTGTTAATTCTTTTTTAAATGTTTTGTAGAATTCTACAATGCAGCCATATGATCTTGCGTTTCTCTCTTTTGGGAGGATTTTGATTATAATTTTATTTCCTTACTAGTTACAGGTCCATTTTTCTACTTTCTTCATTCAGTCTTGGAAGGTTGTGTGTTTCTAGAAATTCATCCATACCTTCTAATTTATCCAAGTTGTTGGTACATAGTTGTTTATAATAGTCTTATAATCATTTACATTCCTGTGGCATCATTTGAAATGTCCCATTTTTATTTCCAGCGTGAGTTATTTGAGTCTTCTTTTTTTCTCTTAGTCTAGCTAAAAATTTTTCAATTTTGTTGATTTTTAAAAAATCATAGTTTTGTTTATGTTTTCTATTATTTTTCTATAATCTATTATATTTCTATTTTATCTAATTTTTTTTCTACTGCAAGCTTTGGTTTTAGATTTTCTTTCTTTTATTAGCTTCTTGATGTTTATAACTAGGTTGTTGGTTTCAGGTTTTTTTTAAGTGTAAGTGTTTATAGCTATAAATGTCCCTCTTAGCACTTTCACTGTAACCAGTGAGTTTTGCTATGTTGCATTTTTATTTTTTAAATTTTCCTTATAATTTCTTCTTTGACTTATTAGTCATTTAAGAGAGTGTTGTTTAACTTTCTCATGTTTGTGGATTGCTCAATTTTCCTTCCATTATTGATTTCTAGTTTCATTCTTATTCTGTAGCAAAGGATACCTTGTATAACTTTAAACTTTTTTAACCTAGTAAAACCTCTTTTGTGGCCTAACATATGATTTATCCTGGAAAATGCTTCATGTGAACTTGAGAAGAGTGTATATTTTGCGGTGTTGGGTATAGTGTTCTGTATATGTCTGTTATGTCCAATGTGTCTAAAGTGTTGTTCAAGTCCTCTGTTTCTTTATTGATCATATGTTCATTTGTTCAATCCACTGTTGAAAGTGGGAAATTAAAGTCTCCCACTCTAGTTTTGTGTCTATTTCTCCCTTTAATTCTGTCAATGATTGCTTCACATATTTGGGAGCTCTAATGTTAGGTACATATATATTTCTGCAATGATGAACCACATAACGACGTTTTGGTGAACAATGAACTGCATATACAATGGTGGCCCCATAAGATTATAATACTGTATTTTTTGCCATATATTTTCTGTGTTCAGATACACAAATACTTACCATTGTGTTATAATTACCTACAGTATTCAGCACAGTAGCATATTGTATATGTCTGTAGCCTCAGAACAATAAGCCATATAGCACATAACCTAGATGTGCAGTAGTCTATATCATCTAAGTTTATGGAACTGTACTCTGTGATATTTGTACAATGACGAAATTGCCCAGTGATGCATTTCTCAGAACATATTATTGTCATTAAGGAATGGGTGACTATAATTGTTTTATCTTCCTGGTGAACTGACCCTTTTATTGCTATATAATATCATTTGTCTTTTGTGACAGTTTTGACTTAAAGCAGATATTAGCAGAATGGGTTTTTTAAGAATTATGATTTAGCTCTATGTCAGCTAAAATAGACTAACATTATATTCAAAGACACAAATTAGTTGAAAGTTAAAAAATGGAAAAATATTCCATATAAATATTCCATAAAATATTCCATATGAAAGAGAGATGAAGTGGTCATAATAATATCAGACAAAATAATCTTCAAGTAAAAACCATTACAAGAGAAAATGAAGGACATTATACAATAATAAAGGGGTCAATTCACTAGAAAGGTATAACAATTATAAATGTATATGCACCTAACATTAGAGCTCCCAAATATATGAAGCAAACATTGACAGAATTGAAAAGAGAAATGGACAGCAACACAGTAGTAGTAGGAGACTTCAATTCCCCACTTATAATAATAGGTAGGAAAACAGGACATAAGATCAATAAGAAAACAGATGACTTGAACAAGACTATACATTGATTGGACCTAACAGACATATGCAAAACATTTTATATAACAATAGGATAATACATATTTTTTTCAAGCACACGTGGAACATGTTCTAGAAGTGACCACATGTTAAGCCACAAAATAAGCCTCAGTAAAGTTAAGAAGACTAAAATAATGTAAGTTATCTTCTCTAATTACAATGAAATGAAACTAGAAATCAATATCAGAAGGAAAATTAGGAAATTCACAAATACATGAAAAATAAAACATTTTTAAATAACTAATAGATCAAATATCAATCACAGTAGAAAATAGAAAATAACTTAAAAGAAACTAAAAAGAAATGCAAACTAAATGCAAAGCTGGTAGAAGGAAAGAAATAATAAAGATTAGTAAGAAGTAAATTAACTAGAAAACAGAAAACAATAGAGAAAATAAATAAAAACAAAAGAAGTTGGTTCTTTGAAAATGTTATTAAAATTGACAAGTCTTTATCCATTGACTAAGTAAAAGAAAAAAAATAAAACTACTTAATCAGAAATAAAAGTGGAACAGGCCGGGTGCTGTGTCTCACGCCTGTAACCCCAGTACTTTGGGAGGCCGAGGTGGGCAGATCGAGACCAGCCTGGCCAACATGGTGAAACCCTGTCACTACTAAAAATACAAAAAAATTAGCTGGGCGTGGTGGCATGCACCTGTAGTCCCAGCTACTCGGGAGGCTGAGGAACAAGAATTACCTGAACCAGGTGGCAGGGGTTGCAGTGAGCCAAGATCATGTCACTGCCTTCCAGCCCGGGTGACAGAGTGAGACTCTGTCTCAACCAAAAAATAAAATAAAAGTGGAACAATACAATAAACCCTATAAAATGAAATAAATGTTAAGAGAATACTATGAACAATTTTATTCTAACAAATTGGTTAACCTGGGTGAAATACACAAAGCTTTAGAAACACACAAATTCACATAGCTAACTCAAGAAGAAATGTTTAAAAATCTAAATAGAACTATAGCAAGTAAAGACATTGAATCAGTAATCAAATGCCTTCCAACAAAGAAAAATCTGGGACCAGAAAACTTCACTACTGAATTCTACTAAATATTTAAAGTATAATTAACACCAATTCTTCTCAAATTCTTAAAAGAAAATGGAGAAGGAAATATTTTCTGCTTCACTGGTACAGAGTTTCTTTTTGTGATGATGAAAGAGATATCTGGAACAACCTTGTAAATGTATTTGTTGCCACTGAATTGTACACATTGAATTAGTTGAAATAGTAAACTTTATGTTCTATGTATCTTACCATAATTAGAAATACCATTAGAGCTTTAAATTCTAAATTTTTATATTTTTTATTTCTAAAATTTATATTTGAACATTTTTTCAACTGTGAATAATCAATTTTATATAGTCTTTTTATTTTCCATATTTTGGATTCCTTACTTTATTTTTTCCAATATTAAACACACATTTAAAAAATTTTTACATATAATTCCTATACCTAAAATCTTTTAAATTTGGTTTGGTAGTGTATTACATCAACTATTATTTATAATGCCTTGCTTCTTCATTTGCTTTGTGATTGTTTTTATTGTGAATTCATATTTTCAGAAAAAACTCTGCATTTCTGGGAAATCTATGTGACTAATACTGAAAGTTTCTTCCTTCAGAGAGTATTTGCATATGTTTCTCTTTGGTACCTAGAACGTGTGTAATGCATGATAACTTCATGGGATGATTTTAAGCCATATTCTTCTTCTTGGGGCTTTTGGACCACACAGGTAACATGAAATCGGGCCACAAAACCATGTGAGCACAGCTCGTGGTTATGAATTCTGAAATCCAAAGCTACAACAGATAAGTTTTCAAACAATCTGTCTTTGCAGATGATTATTTTTCTGTTTTATTTATATTTCCAGGTTCACTCTTTCCCTAAGATAGTTACCCTTATATCCCAGCTTTATTTGTGGTCCCTGATCTGATCTTTCACTTTGTGTGGGCCCTATGCACACATATGTTATTAAAATCAAAGCTCTATATTAAGGGCTGTACAAGTTTTCCCAGGAAAGTGAGGGACTTTCACTTGTTACTGTAGATTTATGCTTTCAATTTACTTTCTGCCTCTAAAGATCACTTTTATTTATTGCTAGCTCAGACATGAATTTTTAAATCTTTTAAAAATTGTATACAATTTGTTTGGCATTTTAGCAGTAGGAAGATTTGGAATATCCATTTTGCTGAGTGCTAGAGATCATATACTCTTATATTGTTTTTGTTCAGAGATAGAGAAAAAACTCATGAACTAACAGTTTTCATTCTCCAAATTAGCCTGATGATGAAACAAATCCACCAACTATCCTTGTCAATCTGTGTGTGGTGATTATTAGTGCTTTCAACAAATATTTCCAGCTCTTTAATTTTACACCCAAGTCTAAACTGAAATGTATGAGATAGGTCC
This sequence comes from Homo sapiens, assembly GCF_000001405.40. Classification (NCBI taxonomy): domain Eukaryota; kingdom Metazoa; phylum Chordata; class Mammalia; order Primates; family Hominidae; genus Homo; species Homo sapiens. The sequence continues at coordinate 29,227,355 of NC_000018.10, read as the reverse complement.
CAATCAGTTTGGAAGTTTATTTTGTCAAGGTTAAGGACATGTCCATAACACAGCTTCAGAAGGTCCTGAGAACATGTGTGCAAAGTGGTCATAAGACATCAGTCAATACATGTAATATGTAAAATGGTTTGGAAGATGGGACAACTCAAAGGAGAGTGGTCACACAGGGAAGCTGTCAGGTCATAGGTGGATTCAAAAATTTCCTGATTGGCAATTGGTTGAAAGAGTTTATCTAAAGACTTGAAACCAGCAGAGGAAGTGTCTGTGTTAGGATAAAGCGTTGTTGTGGAGTTCAAAGTTTTAATTATGCAGTTGAAACCTCCAGTTAGCAGGCTTCGGAGAAAATAGATTGTAAATGTTTCTTATCAGACTTAAAAAGTTGCCACACTCTTAGTTCTCTCCTGGATCAGGACAAAGACCCAGAAAGGGAAGGGAAAATCTACAGAATTTGCAGGGCTTTTCAGGGCCATTTCAAAGTATGTAAAATAAATATATTTTGGGGTAAAACACTTTATTTTAGGGCCTGCCATCTGTCATATTATCTTATTTCTACAAAGAGTCTGCTTTGTCAGTCTTAAGGTCTCTATTTTAATGTTAAATACTGGTCAGCCTAGCCTGAATTTCAAAGGGAGGAGGGAATAATGAGATTTGCCCAACCCCAACTTTCCATCATGGCCTGAACTAGTTTTTCAGGTTAACTTAGGAATGAACTTGCCCAAGAGTAGAGGTGGGTTTGGTGGTGGGGGGGCTTAGAATTTTATTTTTGGTTTATACAGGGTAGAATTGCTTTCCATCAACTTGAAGTTACAGTTAGCCATGTAGCTTTATTTGGCTGTTGAAATGTGAGTAAAGGTGAAGTGTGGCAATTCTGTCCAGAAAAATTAAGAGACAATGAGTAATTCAATGCATATCACTCCTAATGTTGCACAAGTCCCACACAGGTCGAGATAAGGCCTTTGTTGGTTTGCCTCCCAGAGGGATTGACCAGGGGCAACCAACCCCACCCACCTGATTGTTGATCTGCATTGGAAGTGCAGGTGGTAAAAGAAAGTTTCCTTGAGTCACTGAGATTTGGCTTAGTTGTTTGTTATCATAGCATAACTTAGCCTGGATGTACTACTGGCCATACTGTCAAATACTATTAGTTTTTAAGCTCAGTCTAGTTCCCACTACTTCATGATGTCTTTCTTAATATTGCTGATAAAATAACCACTCTTTCTACTACACTAATAAGCATAACAATAAAAATGACTAATTGAGTTTATTACTAGTTATTGTGTTATGCTTTTTACTCACATTAACTAACATAGTATTAGCATAGAATTATGAAGATGATTTATTATCTCTTTATCGTATCTGAGGAAAATAGGCTTAAAAAATTAAGGAGCAACCACAATTGGTCATGGGACCTTCACCCTGTATGACTGAGATTATAATTATTGGTGTATATAGATATGTGTGTGTGTGTGTGTGTGTGTTATTCTGACTAAAATTAGGACATCTATTAACTCCATATCCACTGACCCCAGGCTAGCAGTGGACTGCCAATGGTAGGTGCTCAATTTTTAAAATATTTTCAATAATTACTAAAAAATAAAAGAATAATTTAAAAATAAAAGAAAATACAAATAAAACAACAAATGTTGTTATGCTTACCATTCAGGTGAACTCTTAATAGAGAGTTTTGAGTTTTCTTCTTCTATTTTTTCCTTTTTTTTTTTTTTTTAAACAGACAGGATCTTTCTTTGTTGTGTAGTCTGGAGTGCAGTGGTGAAATCATAACTCACTGTAACCTCAAACTCCTTGGCTCAAGTGATCCTCCCACCTCAGTCTTCCAAACAGCTGGGACTACACATGCACACCACAATGCCCAGATAAAATTTAAATTTATTTTTGTAGAAACAGGTTGTCACTATGTTGCCCAGGCTGGTAATTTTTCTATGCACATAATTTGTAGATTGCTGACTCAATATTTTTATGCAAATTAATAACTAAATTTTATATTTTAATTAATATAGTAAGTACCTCTCTATGCCCTTAATATATATTTCAATGACATTAATTCAATTACATAAGTAAAGTAAGTTATTTTGTTTCCCAAGATTGATGTCATTGATTTTATTTATTCTTTAATCGAAAAATACTGAGCTCCTTTTACAAGGAGTGCCAGGCACTCTTGTAAATACTGGATACACAAGGGAAAAAAGGTGTCACTGTAATGAAATTGGTTTTCTAGTGGGTGGAAACAGATAATCAATATATAATCAATATATGACCTAATATAAATTATATGAAGAAAAATAAAGTGAAATAAAAATATGGAGAACTATGGTTCATTCTATGTTTTTGAAAGGGCAGAGATGCATTTTTAATGAGGTAATGTTTGAGGGGAGGGCTGAATGAGGTGAGGGGTTAAGCCATCTGGTTATTTGAGGAAAGAGTATTCTAGACAGATGGAACAGCAAGTAAAGACCTGAAGCCAGGGCTTAGCATGCTCCGGGAGCACCAAGGACTCAGGAACCCAGTGAATAAGGAGGAGATCATTAAGGATCAGATAAAAAAAGGAGCAAGGACCCATATCTTTTTGGCTGCAATAGTATTTGAATTTTACTTTGGTTTGTAAGGAAGTGATTCGAGTATTTTGAGCATGAAAATGATATGATGAAATATGTGTTTTTAAAATAATTCTCTGGTTTCTCTATGGAGAATATATCGGGGGAGGGGGAATCAATAGTGTAAGCAGGATTACCAGCTAGATCATTGGTCCCCGACCGTTTTAGAGCCAGGGACTGGTTTCGAGGAAGACAATTTTTCCAGCGACAGGGCAGGGGGTATGGTTTCAGGATGATTCAAGTACATTACATTTATTGTGCACTTTATTTCTATTATTATTACACTGTAATATATAATGCAATAATTATACAACTCTATAATGTAGAATTCTATAATGTAGAGTCAGTGGGAGACCTGAGCTTGTTTTCCTGCAACTAGATGGTCTCACCTTGGGGTGATGGGAGACAGTGGCGGATCAACTGGCATTAGATTCTCATAAGGAGCACACAACCTAAATCTCTCGTATGTGCAGTTCACAATAGGTTCCTGCTCCTAGGAGAATCTAATGCTGCTGATGATCGGACAGGAGAAAGAGCTCAGGTGGTAATGTGAGGGATGGGGCATGGTTGTAAATACAGATGAAGCTTCACTTGCTTACCTGCTGTGCAACCCAATTCCTAATAGGCCACGGACCAGTACCAGTACATGACCTGGGGGTTGGGGCACTGGGGGTACTAGTCTGTGGCCTGAGGGTTGGGGATCCCTGAGCTGGAGAGTTTCAAGGTTCTAGCAGGAGAAGATGGTGGCTAGGAGCAGAGTGGTAGTGGTTTAAATGGTAAAATATACATGGTCTGATTGTTTGGGATATATTTTGAAGGCAAGGTCAGTATGAGTCCCAAATTACATGTCAGGCATAAGAGAAACAAGACTTCCTCTAGCCTTTGGTTGTCTTTGATTTGTAATATACAATAAGGTTTTCAATGCATCTATAATAATAACTATCTTGTGAATAATTATCTATATTTTAAAAATATGTCCTCTTTCTATAGAACATCTCCCTAGAAGAGGAATTATCTGTCATTAGGAAATTTTTAGCAAATCACTTATAAGACCATTGGCACACAATTGCTTTTCTGGCAGTATTTCTTTGGTAACATTTACTTTTTGTTCTTTATTTACTTGTTTGGATATACTTTCTTTTTCTTGACCAGTTTAGATATTAACTCATAAGTTTTTCCATTTAATTGAGATATTTCACATTTTTTAAACTGTAAATTAGAAACCTATTTTCATCTAGTGTATTATCTGCATTGACATTTGTGGTTATAGTTCATTTGTTGTTCCTAAATTTTCTATCCTTTCTTTGACTTGATTAGAGCTTCCCTCCACCTTTGTTTTCACTAAATCTTCTAAATATATTAACTATTAATCATTATTTTATGTATGTCCTGTAAACTACTTTTCCAAATTTATCTTGAAGTTATTTTTCTAACTTTTTAAGTTATATGTTTTATTCATTATTCATTCATTCTCATTTGTATGCATGTGAATATGGATGTGCAAACACTTGTGTATATCACTAAACTGTGGCTTTGCAAATATTACAATTTCAAACACATTTAAAACTGGTTCACATGTAATTTTCAGGTTTTCTCTTCTTTTCAAATTATATGTACTTGTTTTTGATTTCCTCATTGATTCATTCATTTACAATAATATTTTAAAATTTCCAAATAGTAATGTTGTTTTGTAATTTTTTTTATAACCTAGGGGTTTTACTGTAAATTCAGAGATGAGGCTTATACAGTTTCATAGGTATATTCTCTGTGTCAGTCTTATCTATTTAATATTAAATTATCCAAACACCCTGTTAGCCATAGTGATCTAAGTCTAGCGATAAATATATACAAACCCTAATTCTCCATCAAATATTAACTGCTACTTCTACCCCATAACTCAATGGCTATGAAGAACACTTTCGGCAAACGACAACGGCTTACTTTGGACACACATCTTGATCTCTCAGATGGCAAATATTCTTGGTATTCATTTTATTTATGAAAAGTCTTATTACAATTATTAGGGAAAAAAAACCTTAATTTCTCTCTCTCATGCTCATGATTTCTTAGTTCTCCAGGTTGGATACATGCTGGCCTTAATATATGGAGAAAGAAGCAGGAGAAATGGGAAACAGTTTTTCCCAATAAATGGAATTGTCTTTGCTTTACTATGCGTCGAATAAGATCAAAAAGAAAAGAAGTCAAGATTTTGTGACCTAAGAGTTTTCCATGTGGAAAATGTCACCATTTTGCTTTTTCCAGTGAAGGTTTTATTACCCAGGGCCAAACTAAGTAATTTGTCCTTGATCTGAATCAGAAATTCCCATTCACAACAGTATAGTGGCAACCTTAATGGTTGTCTTTGTTTATGCTTCTGTAACATACCACAAACGGGGTAAATAATTGAAACAACAGAAATTTATTTTTGACATCTCTGAATGTTGGAAGTTCAAGATCAAGGTGCCAGGATCTAGTGAGGGCCTTTTTGCTGATCCACATGGCAGAAGGCAGAAATGTAGGCTACCAAACACTGCATGAAGTCTCTTTCATAACCCTAATCTCATTCATGAAGTAGGAGATCATGTGGCCTTCTTAAAGGCCTCACCTCTCAATATTGTCATATTGGCAATACCTGAATTTTGGAGGGGACACATTCAAACCATAGCAATGGAGATCATGAAAAATAGAAAGCTTTGAACTTCTATATGCTTTTTTTTTTTGTGATAGGAACACCTCCCCAAGTTTAATTCTTTGCCTCTCCCTTTTCTTGCAAAATCTCTGTTTCATAGAGTGGCATTTCACCACAGTATTCTGAAAGGGCACTATCTAATAACTTACAATATCACCAGAAAGGGTGCCAGATGGTGTTATCTATTAACATATTTTAGAAGGTAGCTGCTTGTTGAATATTTCCACTCTAGAAAGAACAGTTATTATACAAGATTATCCTAAGTGGTATTACTCTTGGGATGAGGCCCAGCAGTGGTGGGTATCTGTTTTGTATTCCTACCAACTCTTGGAGGAGTCTCTGTTACTTTGGAGGAGACAACCATTCCTAGACACTGTCCTGTGGCTATGTTGTATTTCTGCTTCATGTGTCCATTCACTCCCTGGGCTACAACATGATCATCTCTCCTTCAGTGAAAGGAATAACTACTTATGCCTGCAAGACTATTGAAAGGATTTCCAAAACATATGGTATTTGAACTGACTTTTTATAGGATGAATTGTAGCTCGCTATATGGCAAAGAGCAAGGGAAGAATTTTCAGGCTATAAAAAAATCAACAAAGTTGAATTCAGAACTGGATATTTTCATATCCAAGCCAACTATGTAATGCTGTCTCTCGAATGCTGAGATTACATGATTTTTTTAAAATTATACTTTAACTTCTAGGGTACATGTGCACAACGTGCAGGTTTGTTACATATGTATACATGTGCCATGTTGGTGTGCTGCACCCATTAAGTCGTCATTTACATTAGGTATATCTCCTAATGCTTTCCCTTCCCCATCCCCCCACCCCACAACAGGCCCCAGTGTTATGTTCCCCTTCCTGTGTCCAAGTGTTCTCATTGTTCAGTTCCCACCTATGAGTGAAAACATACAGTGTTTGGTATTTTGTTCTTCAGATAGTTTGCTGAGAATGATGGTTTCCAGCTTCATCCATGTCCCTACAAAGGACATGAACTCATCCTTTTTTATGGCTGCATAGAATTCCATGGTGTATATGTGCCACATTTTCTTAATCCAGTCTATCCTTGATGGACATTTGGGTTGGTTCCAAGTCTTTGCTATTGTGAATAGTGCCACAATAAACATATGTGTGCATATGCCTTTATAGCAGCATGATTTGTAATCCTTTGGTTATATACCCAGTAATGGGATGGCTGGGTCAAATGGTATTTCTAGTTCTAGATCCTTGAGGAATCGCCGCATTGTCTTCCACAATGGTTGCACTAGTTTACAGTCCCACCAACAGTGTAAAAGTGTTCCTATTTCTCCACATCCTCTCCAGCACCTGTTGTTTCCTGACTTTTTAATGATCGCCATTCTAACTGGTGTGAGATGGTATCTCATTGTGGTTTCGATTTGCATTTCTCTGATGGCCAGTGATGATGAGCATTTTTTCATGTGTCTGTTGGCTGCAAAAATGTCTTCTTTTGAGAAGTATCTGTTCATATCCTTCACCCACTTTTTGATGTAGTTGTTTTTTTCTTGTAAATTTGTTTGAGTTCACTGTAGATTCTGGATATTAGCCCTTTGTCAGATGACTAGGTTGCAAAAATTTTCTCCCATTCTCTAGGTTGCCTGTTCACTCTGATCGTAGTTTGCCATTGCTTTTGGTGTTTTAGACATGAAGTCCTTGCCCATGCCTATGTCCTGAATGGTATTGCTTAGGTTTTCTTCTAGGGTTTTTATCATTTTAGGTGTAACATTTAAGTCTTTAATCCATCTTGAATTAGTTTTTGTATAAGGTGTAAGGAAGGGATCCAGTTTCAGCTTCCTAAATATGGCTAGCCAGTTTTCCCAGCACCATTTATTAAATAGGGAATCCTTTCCCCATTTCTTTTTTTGTCAGGTTTGTCAAAGATCAGATGGTTGTAGATGTGTGGTATTATTTCTGAGAGCTCTGTTCTGTTCCATTGGTCTATATCTCTGTTTTAGTACCAGTACCATGCTGTTTTGGTTACTGTAGCCTTGTAGTATAGTTTGAAGTCAGGTAGTGTGATGCCTCCAGCTTTGTTCTTTTGGCTCAGGATTGTCTTGGTGATGCAGGCTCTTTTTTGGTTCTATATGAACTTTTAAGTAGTTTTTTCCAATTCTGTGAAGAAAGTCATTGGTAGCTTGATGGGGATGGCATTGAATCTATAAATTACCTTGGGCAGTATGGGCATTTTCACGATATTGATTCTTCCTATCCATGAGCATGGAATGTTCTTTCATTTGTTTGTATCCTCTTTTATTTCCTTGAGCAGTGGTTTGTAGTTCTCCTTGAAGAGGTCCTTCACATCCCTTGTAAGTTGGATTCCTAGGTATTTTATTCTCTTTGAAGCAATTGTGAATGGGAGTTCACTCATGATTTGGCTCTCTGTCTGTTATTGGTGTATAAGAATGCTTGTGATTTTAGCACATTGATTTTGTATCCTGAGACTTTGCTGAAGTTGCTTATCAGCTTAAGGAGATTTTGGGCTGAGATGATGGGGTTTTCTAAATATACAATCATGTCATCTGCAAACAGGGACAATTTGACTTCTTCTTTTCCGAATTGAATACCCTTTATTTCTTTCTCCTGCCTGACTGCCCTGGCCAGAACTTCCAACACTATGTTGAACAGGAGTGGTGAGAGAGGGCATCCCTGTCTTGTGCCAGTTTTCAAAGGGAATGCTTCCAGATTTTGCCCATTCAGTATGATATTGGCTGTGGGTTTGTCATAAATAGCTCTTATTATTTTGAGATACGTCCCATCAATACCTAATTTATTGAGAGTTTTTAGCATGAAGGGCTGTTGAATTTTGTCAAAGGCCTTTTCTGCATCTATTGAGATAATCATGTGGTTTTTGTCTTTGGTTCTGTTTATATGCTGGATTACGTTTATTGATTTGCATATGTTGAACCAGCCTTGCATCCCAGGGATGAAGCCCACTTGATCATGGTGGATAAGATTTTTGATGTGCTGCTGGATTCGGAGACAGGGTTTCGCTCTTGCTGCTGGGCTGGAGTGTAAAGGCGGGATCTTGACTCACCTCAACCTCCACCTCCCAGGTTCAAGCGACTCTCCTGTCTCAGCCTCCCGAGTAGCTAGGATTACAGGCATGCACCACCAAGCCCAGCTAATTTTGTAGTTTTAGTAGAGATGGGGTTTCTCCATGTTGGTCAGGCTGTTCTCGAACTCCCGACCTCAGGTGATCTTCCTGGCTTTGCCTCCCAAAGTGCTGGGATTACAGGCATGAGCCACCACGTCTAGCCAATATATGACTTTCTAAGTAGAAAATTATATGTCATGCCAAAGAGCTTTGATCTTATGACACGATGATGTCAAAACAAGTTTACACAATTGGGTTTTTTTAGAATGATATTTGTGGTACCCTAACCATTGAAATAATTACAAAGCTTTCTGCCACATTCCCTATGCCTCCCTAGAATCAACAAAGTTTACTCTGACTAATGATAATATTGATCTCACTAAAAGTATATTTTAGAAGCAGGTTTTTTTGTCCTTCTTTATGAGAATTGAGTCCCCGAATGATTCAGCAATGAAGATAAATACAAACGTCCTGACTATTCTGGCCTTTCTGGCCTAGCACCCACTCACACTCCAGGGGCAGATGACTTGGGATTCTTTCCAGCTTTACTCTTCTTAGTCTTATTTTGGAATATTCTTTCAATGACCATGTTCTTCCTGAAAATCCCACCAATTCTGCTCTGCATTCTGTCATCCTGTAGAGGTAGTAAATTTCCTTTTTTTTTCTATACAGGGCCATAACCTAAATATTTTAGGTTTTGTAGGTTCATCGGACTCAAATGATTTATTATACTTGATTTCTTTGGCTTGATTCCTATGTGCTGATTTCATTCTTGAGACTATTTTCTGGATTCCATTATATTGTGCTCACAAAAAACTCTCCTCTTGCTATTCCTGTATTCAGCAGTATGGCTAACTTTGCTCCCTAAACTGTGAAGCTAATCCTAATTTCCATGTGTTATTGACAACAGTTAATGTTGCACGAGCTCAGATAACTGACTATGACAGCCAGAAGTATTATAAAGGTGATGGGAATTGATAGATAATAATATTATCTAATACTCACAAGTGTTTACCATGTGTCAGACACTAATTAAGTGTTTACATATAAAAACTCATTTAATCCTCACAATAATGCTATGAGTTATTATCCCTTATAAGAGAAGAAGGAACTGAGACATTGATTAAGTAGCTTGCCCAAGACCAAACAGCTGGTAAGAGGTGGAGGCAGCATACAAAGTCGAGCAGTCCAGCTTTAGAACCAATGTTCTTAACTACTACACTCTCCTGAGAGGTGCTGCCAGACTGAGAAAATGTTCTGGGAGGGAGGGATCGGCACCAGTAGCTAATTAGATGCAATGAGAATGGAAGAAGAAACTGAGAACATATTGCAAATAATTTGACTTGGGGAGTAGTTGGGGAATACAGGAGGATATTATATTTGTTGACTATGCTAATTTTTCAATTATTTTATAAACAGTTTGTAAGAATTTTAAAGTAGATTTCTCATAGATGGAAGTAATTACTTGGCCTTTGTTAGAGAACTCCTATCCAGAAATACAGTTTTAAAATTATTTTAGTCTATCAGTACTTTTCAAAACATATGTACATATGAACCATCCAGGGACCTTACTGATATGCAGATTATGATTCAATAGGTCAGAGACAAGGCCTGCATTTTTAACAAGCTCCCAGGCAGGGCTGGATTCACAGATGTGTGACTTGTAAGTCTGCAAAAGAAACCCACATTTGAAATCATGCTCTGCTGTCAGCATTTTAATATTCTTAGTTATTTTTAAACAAGGGGCTCTGCATTTTCATTTTGTATTAGGTCACACAATTTATGTAGCTTTTCCTGCTCTCAGGTGGTCTATGGACTATACTTTGAGTTTGAAAGGATCTAGTACAGAGGTTTGCAAATTGTAGTTCACTGGGCAAATTCTGCCAGTTGCCTGTTTTTATAATTAACATTTTACTGGAAAACAGCCACACTCACTTTTTCACATATCATCTATGATGGTTTTTGTGCTCTAACATGAGTAGAGTAGCTGTGACTAACAAATATGATATGGCTCTCAAACCTGAAAATATTTACTATCTGGTACTTTATAGAAAAGGTTTGCTAATCCCTGCTCTAGTAGATGATATTAGAAACCATAGGAACAATAACAGCATATTCAGCAAATAGTTTCCCCAATACTTAGTATACTATTGCCTTACATGTGTAAGTATGTATTTGTAATAGGATACTATTGCATTACATTTGTTAAGTATGTATTCTTAAAAACAAAGCATTTTTAACCTACATTAATTCAATTCCCCTTATAACACCCCTTTGAAGTAGATATCATATTCTTAATTGCATGTGTTGAAAACTTAAATTCAGAGAACTTAACGTAATTGTTCGGGATAATGCGACAGTATGCTAAAGAGACCATGCTATTTCCACTTTTTCACATATGTACACATCCATATATGTGTCTTCTCTATTTCCCTCTAATGGTCTTCTCAGAGATTTTTTTTCCAAGCAGGGGCTGTAACTACTTCTAAACTTTTCCTACAATGACACCACTTTTATACAGTAATTCAGTGGTTTTCAAACTGCATTCCACATAGCACTAGGGGCTCCCAAAGCTGCTGCAGAGTCCTCTGAAAATGGACAACTTACAGATAATCAGCAAACAGGTCCAGAATACTTGACTGACTTTCCATATTTGACCTCTGTTACATTTAATGCAAATAAATATTTTCATGCAAAATTGTCTTGAATATTTGTCCACTTCAAATCTCATGTTAAAATTTGATCCCTAATTTGGAGTTAGGGCCTAATGGGAGGTCATGGGGCAGTCCCCTCATGCATAGATGAATGCCTTCCCTGGAGAGTAAGTTCTCACTCTATTAGTTTCCATGAGAACTGGTTGTTAAAAAGAGTCTGGAACCCCCACCTTGCTTCCTCTCTCACCACATAATCTCAGCACACACTGGCTCCCCTTTACCTTCCACCATGAATAGAAGCAGCCTGAGGCCCCCACCCAGATTCCCAATCTTGAACCTTTGAGTCAGCAGAATTGTGAGCCAAATAGATAGTTTTTCTTTATAAATTACCCATCCTCAGGCATGCCTTTATAGCAACACAAAACAGACTCAAAACAGACTAAGATATTATGTCTTCTTTTTTTTTTTTTTTTTTTTTTTGCTTAAACCACTCAAATTCCTTGGAAACATCTGCTTTTCTGCCCTCTCCCTCACCTCAAACAATGTTACACAGCACTGTCTTACAAATTAGTACATCATTATTTTTAACAAAGTTGATTATTGAATCATGTTGCTTAGCATGACTACAGCAAAGCATTCTGCAAATTGGGTCTATTTTGTCTTCCTTTTGTATATAAAGGAAGGATTGTTTAGGTAGGAGTAACAGTGAACATTGATTAGACATTATTGTTTAGGGAGGAGTAACAGTGAACATTGATTAGACATTATATCCTATTATAAAACAACAATAATTGAGACAAGGGTTGAAATTTTCACAGATATATGACAAAAAGGAGTATTTAAGAAATGCTGTTGAAATTCTCAAAAAATAAAAATATATGAACATTACATGGTATTAGCACTTTTAGCTAAAAATAGTATAAAGACCAAATATAACTGTAAAAAGGTAGCATGTCTGGTTTCAGTGAAGACAGTAGAGTAATTTTCACTTTTGTTCATAAGAAACAAATAGCCAAGAAAAAACAAATTTTATTAGTATTTCAAGGCTATATTGATATTACAGATTGAAATGTGTCTTCTGTCTTTTTACCCCCAAATGTAGGTTTATCAGAAATTATTTTAATAATTTTCTCAAATAATTTTCCACAAATCTATTGCCTACTGAAACTAGCATTCAGCCAGTAAATTCATGAAGTTTATTATCTCTTGTTCACCCTCTTTTTGTTTTCTTTCTCATGAATTTCAATGCATAGAACAATTTCAGCCTAGAAATACTGTTCACCTCACACACTGAAGCATTCTTTACCAGATACCCCACCTATCCTCAATAAACAGAAATGCAGTTGTTAAAAGTGAGTAAATTTCAAAGACATGTATTTGATGGAAAGTGGGTTAAGGTCAAATGACCTTGAATAAATGAAATTTAAAGTTGAAATCAAAATGAAAAATGTCTAATTTTGCTACTTTTTAGTATGTATATGTATATTTGTGTATGGTAAGTAAAGTGTCACTCTTTCTTTATATCTTACTTCCATTTGGGGAATTTTGGATACCTAAAAGATGATATACAGAAAAAATATATATAATTTATTAAACAGAGCACCCTTAAAGGTAATAATCTTTTAAAAAGTTTATAATTTGGATTACGTAAAAATCAGGTTTCTGTTGATTAGAGTCCAAAAAAATCCATAGATTTGTTTATATAGCTAATTATATAATGAACAAAAGGTTCATGTTCAGAATACAGTTAAAAACCCTATAAATAAAATTTAAGAAAAGGTAATTCAAAAGAAAAATTGGCAGGAGACTTGAACAGGGCTCTCAAATGTGAGAGTATCCAAATGGATAATAAATATAGTAACTGCTTCATCAGTCATTAGGAAATGACTAATTAAAATCTCAATGGGAATTCTACCAGCAGAATAAAAATCTTTTAAAAAGTAGAATTACACCTTACCAAGAGGTGTAAGCAATGATTTGGGGCAGCAAGAACTCTCAATCCCTACTGGTCAAAGTCAAAGTTTAATGACCACTCTAGAAAATTATTTGGCATTATTTATTAAAATTATAAATATGGACTGATTATATAATTACGAGTTACAAAGAAAACATAATGGTATGTACTCAGAGATATGTATGGCAGTATTATCTGTAATTGACAAAATTAGAAATAATCAAACTGCCCATAGACTAAATACATAAATTATGGTATATTTATTTAATAACATTTTAAAAGATTAAAAATGTATTAATTGCTATTAAATAGAATAATATGGAAAAATGATGAGCAAAAACAATAGGAAAATAGAAGCACTCTTAGAGGGTTATTGCATGGATATAAAGAATAAAGACAGTAAAAAATCTTAACATAGTGTTAATGTCATGATAGTGATCACCTCACAAAAGAAACTAGGTAATAATTGTGAGGGTCATAAGAATGGCTTTTGAGATTCTGGTAATGTTCTTTCTGGACCTTGAGGTGGTTACTTGGGTTTTCATTTTGTAATAAAACATCAAGCTTTATATTTATGTTTTATGCACTTCTGTAGAAGTTATATTTCTTTTTTACAAAAGAGAGAAAGTTGCAGTGATAAGATATCATCTACATATTAAAAAATACTTTTCCAATTAATTTCTTCCAGATAAATGCAAAATTGTGATACCTACAATCTTATCACGGTTCAGCAGAGGTGGTTATTTTTCTTCCCACTCTAGGAATATATAATTGTCTAACATCAATTTGATTGAGCTAGTAATGTTACAAATAGCTTGCAAACAATTATTGATATAGATAATTAAAACAATGGTAGAATGGCTTTTACTATTCACAAAACAGATATTTATGCTGATAAAGTTATACATTAAATAATTCCAACTTAAAAGTAGGGAGACATCACTTGAGTTAGAATTAATATGTCTTTCTTCAAATGATTAAGAGATAAATTTAAACTTATTTAGAGAAGAGGAGAGAGTTTCCTTTTACAAAATCTTGAAAGAATACTGGAAACTAAGCAGATATATTTAAAACTGTAAAAGAGAAGCAAAGATGAATATTCCCTTTACCCAAATAACTTTTTATAAATCCAAAAAGGAAAGTCCAAAAAGGCTTAACTGTGATGCAATTACACTGTTAAATGAAATAGTTTAAAGTGGATTTCAAACAGTGGCTTTCAGTATATTTAGCAACCAGGCAAGAGGGTATTTCATTTGTCCTTTGCTATGATTTGGATATAATTTTCCCCTGCTAAAACTCATGTTAAAATCTGATCCCCAATGTGGCAGTGTTGGGAGGTGGGGACTGGTGGGAGGTGTTTTGGTCATGAAGGTGGATTCTTCATAAATAGACTAATGCCATCTCAAGGGAGTAAGTTTTGCTGCTGAAGAATATATCCATTCTCTTGAGAATGGGTTGTTATAAAGCCAGGTTGCCTCTCAGGTTTTGCCTCTTTGCACCTGTCCACTCTCCTTTAACATTCCGCTGTGTTATAATGCAGCCTGAAAGCCCTCACCAGAAGCCTGCGCCATACAACATAAAACTTCCAAGCCTGCAGAACTGTGAGCAAAATAAACCTCTTTTTGTTTTTTTTTTAAATTACCCAGCCTCAGGTATTCATTTATAGCAACAAAAAATGGACTAAGACATCCTCCACATAAATTGAGAGTCACATGAAGAATAGGATTAATTCCTAGCAATGTGTTTTTCAGAGTAATTAACATGTTGGAAGTTCAAGAACTGCAAAAGGTATGTCAACAAAAGAAAAGCAGAAATGGTATGGCCAAATCAAGTAACTGTCGCAAGATGAGAAAATTGATATAGTTAGCAAATGGCAGGATCTAAGAAAACAAAATGATAATTTAATTATTACTTTAAAGAAATGAAACTATGTTTATGTAGGCCAGTCAAACACCAAAGTGTACTATAAGAGCTAATAAAGCAATCTAAGCAATTCCTACAAAGACCACAGGAAATAATGTTATGAGAAATGGATAGTAAATGCATGTAGGACAAAGTGGGGAATATGAAGCATGGTTTGGAGCTATTGCTATCAAAATAGAAACATAATAAAATATACTTTGAACTATAATTTTCAGGAAAGAAAGATCTGGTCTATTGCCTAATCTTATGTAAGTATTTTTAGAGTCTCTTATTTTCCCTGAGAGAAAAAAATAAATACAAACCAGTGGGTTTTCACAGCAAGCCCCAATCTATGGTCAAAATGGGAGTCAATCAGAGAGATTTTAAGTGAATCTTAAGTGACAGCTGGGAGGCAACAAAATAAAATTTCTCAACAGGGGTGAGATTATTTTTCTTATGATCCTTGAAAGTACCTAAACAAAGATATTGCTTATTTGAAATTGTGAAATCAGTACGCTTTAAGTTTTTAGAGATACTAGTTTGACTCTACTTCCTAAAATTTCAATTACATAAGTCCAAAAATAAGCACAAAAAATAACGAGGTGGAGGGGAATGGAAATGACTCTTTGAGGGTGTCATGTGTGCAAGTAACTATGCTTATTGTAGGTATGTTATGTGTTTTCCACAAGTTCTTAGTATTTAACTACACATTACATGCGTGCAAATGAACTGAGGCTCACAAAGATCTTATAAACTGCTGCGGGTCACTTGATGTTAAATGCTGAAGCAAAAAGAAGTTGAAGACATCTGTCTGATATTCCTTTTACTGCATACTGCTTCATTCTTCCCACCTCAAGCCCAAAGAATGAGCAAACCTAATATACTTCGCATGGTTAACAATTATGCCAGTCATTTATGAGGTCTAAAATATTCTCTCTCAGGCTCTAACATTTTCTGAAATTCCTACTGTTCTCATCTGGATTGATCTCAGTTATAGTGCAAACATTTTTTAGATGAAATAGCTATCACAGTAATTTCTCAGGCACTCAGCGTCTGAGATATTCAGGTAGCCTAAGGGAATAGCTAAGAAAAAGACCTGGAGGGCACTTCCATCTATTTCTGTTGTTTTCTGGAGGTAGTTATTCAGTCTCTGCAACTATAGCTTTTATAAAGTGTAAACATTATCAAGAACATGCACCTCTTAATAGTGGCTCTGAAAGTAAAAACTTGATAATTTTATTTTTTTATTTTTTTTTGAGACGGAGTCTAGCTCTGTCACCCAGGCTGGAGTGCAATGGTGCCATCTTGGCTCACTGCAAGCTCCGCCTCCCGGGTTCACAACATTCTCCTGCCTCAGCCTCCCGAGTAGCTGGGACTACAGGCGCCCACCACCATGCCCGGCTAATTTTTTTGTATTTTTAGTACAGACAGGGTTTCACCGTGTTAGCCAGGATGGTCTCGATCTCCTGACCTTGTGATCCACCCGCCTCGGCCTCCCAAAGTGCTGGGATTACAGGCGTGAGCCACCGGGCCCAGCTGATAAAACATTTTTGAAAAACACTGTGATTTGATATGTTAAGCCTATACTACTATTATTTAGGAGTGGATTTCAACTTGTTATTATTATAGTGGTAAAAATGGGGTGATCCCTTTCTCCAGATCATAAAGGTCATAGTTGATGCACCTATACCAAAGAGGTTAACACATTTATTTGGTCATAGTTTCACATAATGCAGAAACCTTCAGAATGAAAGCCCAAAGTTACAGGCAAAACTGTCTATTTTTATGCATAAGTTCAATGAAGAAGTAACAGCCATGTAGAATTGTAATTGAACAAAAAGATATGATCTAATGCTAATAGACTGAGGCCTATCTGTTCATATTCTTCTTGGCTTCTCTGTGGAGGCTTTCTTCCTCCCAAGTATGGGGCAGCACCTTTTTTGGAATGGGGGCCTTATGACCTACAATCAAACGAGGTAAGTCAGTAATTTCTTCATGGTCAATTCTTACACAGAAAAATAAGGGAAGGTTAGAGTAATATTTTATGTTTTATGACTGGCTTCGGGCAAAAGATATTCTGGTTTCTATGACCTGCTTTGGGAAAGAGGAATTCTAGTTTCTACTGCTAACCTTGTGGGAAAATGAGAGGTGAGATATAGGAGGGCAGAGAAGGTCAGTGAGAAACTTTGCTTCTGAGGCTTCCACTTTGGAGTATTATCTTTAAGTCCCAACATTCCTCAGTCTAAAATCTCCCAAGAAGTTTCACAGTTCAGAAATTGAGTAGATGGAATGTCTCCTAAGCTACTGAACCAATCTCAGTCCCAACAAGAGGCCATTCTAGTTAAACAGCTAACCATTATGTCTCATTTTAGGCAGTAGTGTTGCAGATGGGCTTCCACCATAGTCAAGTCTTTGTATCATTTGAAGAATCAGAGACATTTTTATGGAAATAAAAGAAAAATATTGATGGTTAGAATAAACTATAAACTCAATGTTTTAGTCCAGAGGGCAGCCAGTTAAGATTTTCAGATCTTTGGTGCTCAAAGTGTTTTCAGATGAGTGACAGTAGGCAGTGGCAATGTGACAGACTTTTCCTGGTTGCAGTTTGCATCAGGTGTCTCAGTGAAACTTCTGAGTAGTCCGTCCAGCAAAAGACACAAATACTTTTTATATATAAGCTGCTGTGCTGACTTCTCTGAAGTCTATATCAAATGGCATAATTTCATCTTGCAGAGCAAGATGAAAAGCAGTTTTAATCACAGTGATTCCAAGCCAGAAGGATCAGAGAAAATTGGAAATGTTAGTTTGGAGACTCACAGCCAGATATTGGATCTAGTCCACATTGTAGGGAGATAATAAACCCTCAACAACATGTAGGTAGAGTCTTATACAAGTGCTTAATAGTTTTTCTCTCCACTCACCCTCATTTTGATAAAGATAATCACAGTAAGGCCAATTTGTGTATAAAATAAGTTTAGTTTTATTAATTTGGCCTGACTGCAGCAAGAATAATTACTGATCACATAAGCTCTTTTTAAGTTGGCATTGATGGAACATTTTTACAAAGGCTTTTGCATTAGACTTTTAAAAACCCTCTTGAGGCCAAGAAGCCAAGGTAAGATTCACCATCAGACTGTGCCTGTAACACCTTTACGAACTGGGTAAATTCCTCTCTTCTCCAGGTTTCCAAAATATCCTGAGATTTCTGAGTTTGTCAGAAAGTGAAATTATTTATTGCAAGGCTAGGAACCCTATAAGGGGACTGTGTAGACAAGGTACCAGGCCAATTTTTCCAAGTTCTTTTATTGGCTTTACAAACTCAACCTTAGTTCCTCAAAGTTATCTGGTCATACTGGAAGATACAAAATTTCAGGCAAAGCCTTGGTAATACAACCAGTGTTACCAGTTGTGCTGTTACAAGAACAGATTATTATTGAACCTACACAAATAACTGTATTGCCATAAAATAAGAATACTCTGAATAGTTTCCAAATTTTGAAGGGATCAAGCAGGGTGAAATAAGAAAATGTTTCAATTCTGTTTGTAAAAATTAACATCACTAAATTACTGTAAGCTATAGATTAACTTAAAATTAAAAAAAAGTTTTATCGAATCTGGAAAACAAATCGTAAAAAGAATCAGCAATGTTTCAAACAAAAAGAAGTAGAAAATATCATAATACTTCATTGGTTCAGCCCTGGGCAATTAATTTTTGTTCTGCTTGAAATTGGGTGAGAAATTTTATGATTCCAGTTTTTTCCTTAGAGTTTTTCAACTCTTACCTAGTCCAAAGATATGGCCTCAAAGTTGTCAGAAACCTGTGTTTGTTAGAGTTCTTTCTATGCCTTCCCTGAATGTCCTTGAAGACATACTTTAGGATTATAAATGTTTGCAAAGAGTTTTCAGAAGAGGCATCAGAAGAAAACACTTAACTATGGACAACGAAAACTAAAACAGTTAAAGAGGCCAGGCAAGGTGGGTAGCTCACGTCTGTAATCCCAGTACTTTGGGAGGCAGAGGCAGGTAGATTGCTTGAGCTTCAGAGTTTGAGACCAGCCTGGCCAACATGGTGAAACTCCATCTTTATAACAAAATACAAAAACTAGCCAGGTATGGTAGTGTGCATCTGTGGTCTCAGCTACTTGGGAAGCTGAGGTGGGAGGATCCCTTGAGCCCAGTGAATGGAGCTTGCAGTGAGCTGTGATCACACCACTGCACTCCAGCCTCGGTGATAGAGTGAGACTCCATCCCAAAATAAAATAATAAAATAAAAAATATATATAATGGTTAAAGATCTGATTGGAGTTCATTATAATAATGATGACATTTGCGTTTTCTTTTGTGGCAGAAAACACTTTCATATAATAACCAAACTTATAACTGGTAACATGTTAGGTTTCTAGGAATTTTATACAAATTTGGAACACATATGTCAGTAACATAACCACAGAAATATAACTCCAAGAAAGTTGAACATATTTCTTAATTGACAGTGCTTCCTAGATAATTTTAACATAACAAATAAGCTTAATTAGTTTATCATCTTTCTCTCTTGGACTTCCAGGGGCCCCTCTAAAATGTCCAAAAGATGGTTTGAGGTCAAAAGGACTCAATTTTGATTTTGGATAGTTTGTCAAAAAAAAAAAAGTCAAAAGTTTTAAAAATACTTGATCAAAATAAAATCACAGGTCTCTGGGAAATAATATTCATCATACCAGTGTGATAATTAAAATACTTTTAAAGTAAACACAAGAAGCTACATAGTTATAGAAACACATTAACCTTTTAATATTTAGTTTTCCTAGGTAATCAAAGACCCAATAAAGAAGACAAGAAGCACAGGAAGCTATTCTGATAACATAGACTCTCTCTGTCTCTCTCTCTCTCTTTTTCTCTGTCTCGCAGTTCAATCAAAGTATTTTTTAAACAATTATTGTCTCTTATCATTATTACATAAAAACCTTGTTTAAAAGATAAAACCACATTCTAGTTTTTTGTCAGTGTACTTTTGATATTAAGGTGCATTTAAAAATCTTAATAATAAATTTGTGTAAGTTTAATCAGTTTGATCAAAAAAATCAGTTTGATTAGATTCATTATTTATAACTCTTTTACAACTTTTTTATCCATTCAGTTTTACGTTATTTCTTCTTTCATTCCTTCACTCCTAAATACCCTTTAAATAATCTCTAGACAAAGTTCTAGTTCTTTTTCTTAACAAAAGAAAAATTCTAGTACTTTAATTTCCTTACCAAAAACACCTATCTTTTTGTATACTTCGCATGTATGTTCTTTTTCTTATATGTAGTACTTTAATTACACATATTAATTTGAATTTCTAACTTTTAGTAACCTTAATTTCCATGAAAATCTAATAAATAAGTAATTTTTAACTTTTATATCGCATTTATAGACTAAAAGCCATTTCATAATTTTTAGAAAGATACATTTCTCAATTTTTTGTTTACTAACAGATCCAGATATATGTAGCTATTTTATACTGTATAAAAATAAGATGTTGAAGTATGTATACTTAGTATGTATACTTAAACTTATGCTTAATAATTAATGTTTCAGTACTTACTTGGCTCAGATAATTTATTATTATTTATCATTTAACAAACCATGAATTTAAGACTTCAAATTACTAAAAAAAATTTGAAACTTTGATAAATGTATATATAAATGTTATTTTATTTACATTTATCTCATTTACTTATTTAATAATTATATTTAAATTGCTCATGGAAAACAAAGCAAGTCATTTTTTAAAGTTTATTTTTCTGTTTTTAAGTAAAACCAAGCTTACCAAGTATCAGTCAGCCTTGTTTTAACCAAATCTTTTGAGACACTGGACACAGGATGCAACCATACTGGGCTTGGCCCTGTCCTGCAGCTGGTAGCCCAAGTGCTACAGACACATACATGTTCCCAGCCTTCACCTTGGCTACCTGCTTAGATCCCAGAATACAGAAGTTTAAAACCAAACACAGAAGCTCACAGCAAGATGTGTGGAAGGTTTTGGGAGAGCCCAATAGCTGACTCTTATAGTGTTAGCTCACCAACAGATTAGACAAGT
Source organism: Homo sapiens (assembly GCF_000001405.40). NCBI lineage: Eukaryota > Metazoa > Chordata > Mammalia > Primates > Hominidae > Homo > Homo sapiens. The sequence goes on along the minus strand of NC_000018.10, from coordinate 29,206,348 downwards.
ATCAAAAATATCACAGGAACAAAAATTGTTAAAAGTTAAACTTTTTTTCCCTCTTCTTAAACATCTAGGAAGCAACAAGTTTATTTGACTAAAACTCTTGCGAAAAAAAGTATGTTTGCATTACAATCAATGCTGACAATTTTAAAAACATTTCTATTTTTATCTTACCAAAAATTATAAACTAACTTTATTTACCAAAGATTATCTAAGATCACATGAACTAAAAGACATTTAAGTTAATTGTTATATTTTTCCTTTTGATAAAACACTTAAGTGCTTATTATTTATTTTCTTTAAGTTAATTAAATGTAAAGAATATATTTTGGTACTAAAACTGCAGGAAAAAAATACCACACATTCTCAATACACACATATACAGACATTCACAAATACACAGAAAGAAGCAGGTTTCTCAGCTTTTTAAAGGAAGAAATTCAACTTTTATTTTCGATTCAGGTGATACACATGCAGGATGGTTACATGGCTACATTGCTTGATGCTGAGGTTTGCAATATGAACTACCCTGTCATCTAGATACTGTACATAATATCCAACGGTTAGTTTTTCAACCCTTATGCCCCTCCCTTTTTCCTTCCTCTATTGCTCTCCAGTGTCTATTGTTGCCATCTTCATGTCCATGAGTATCCAATGTCTAGCTCACACTTATAAGTGAGAACATAAGATATTTGGTTTTCTGTTCCTGCACTAGTTTAGTTAGTTTAATGGCCTCAAGCTGCATTCATATTGCTGCAAAGGACAGGATTTCATTCTCTTTTATTGCTGTGTAGGATTCTATGGTGTATATGTGCCACATTTTCTTTATCCAGTCCACCGCTGATGAGCACCTAGGTTGATTCTATGTCTTTGCTATTGTGAATAGTGCTGCAATGAACATGTGAGTCATCATATGTGATGGACATATGTCTTTTTGGTAGAATAATTTATTTGTGTTGGGATATATTCTCAGTAATGAGATTGCTGGTTGAATGCTAATTGTTTTAAGTTCTTTGAGAAATCTCCAAACTGCTTTCTACAGTTACTGATCTAATTGGCATTCACACCAGCACTGTATAAGCATTCCCTTTTCTCCACAGTCTCACCAGCATCTGTTTTTTTTTTTATGACTTTTTAATAATAGCCATTCTGACTGGCATGAGATAGCATCTCATTGTGTTTTTGATTTGCATTTCTCTGATGATTAGTGATGTTGAGCATTTTTTCATATGTTTGTTGGTATGTCTTCTTTTGAGCAGTGTCTGTTCATATCCTTTGCCCACTTCTTAATGTGGTTATTTGTGTTCTGCTTGTTGAACTGTTTAAGTTCCTTATAGATTCTAGATATTAGACCTTTGTCAGATGTATAGCTTGTGAGTATTTTCTCCCACTCTGTATGTTGCCTGTTTACCTTTTGATCGTTTATTTTGCTATGCAGAAGCCCTTTAATTAGGTCCTATGACAATTTTTGTTTTTGTTGCAATTGTTCTTGAAGACTTAGTCATAAATTCTTTCTCAAGGCTATTGTCCAGAATGATGTTTCCTAGGTTTATTTCTAGGATGCTTATAATTTGAGGACTTTCATTTAAGTCTTTAATCAACCTTGAGTTACTTTTTGTATATGGTGAAAAGTAGGGCTTCAGTTTCATCCTTCTATTCTACAACTTTTGTTAAGGTTTTTCATTTGTCAGTTTTTAAAGAGTTTCCCTTTCCCTTCAGATTATATGTCTTTAACTACCAGTTCCATTGCCCTAGGTAATAGTTAGGCAACCCTAAGTTTGGACTTCTAAGGAGATGACTCTTAGGAGGAACAAAAGAGAAAATTTATATCTCAAGGTACAGAGAAGGAATTAATGTTTGTTTTTATTAACAAAAGAGAAAATTTATATCTCAAGGTACAGAGAAGGAATGAATGTTTGTTTTTATTTGATTTTTGCTTGTTTGATTGTTTTTTCCTCAAGAAAGACCTTTTGGCATATAGCTATTATCAGAGGTCAATTTTGTAGGGACTGTGGGCTAAATTTTAAGTCTGAATGTGTCCAAAGCTTATCTGGATGGACAAAGTATCCCTTTCTGCTAAAACTGAATTTATTGCATTTTTCTCTAATTTGGTCTTGAGATGTCTCTCTGGGGAGTCGCTATAAAATCTATCCATGCCTTGACAGGTAGATCAAGATAGCCACTCTCTATGAGAGCCTTGGCTCGGAAGGGAATTAGGTTCACATGTGTCAGTTAGATGAGACATAGAGAAAAATTTAAAAATTGATGCCCAGGCAACATAAAATCATAGGAATTTACTATTTATTACTTTGTAAAATGGGATTTTACAAAGTAATAGACAAGCCTGGGAGAAAATCAAAAGCTTGTTTAAAATCATCATTTGAATGCCAGAAAGTCATATTTTGGAGGCCTGGAGGCCAACTTAGTTAGATCAGAAACTTTTCAATTTAGCCTCAATTTCTTAACCAGATTATTGAGATTAGGGTGGAGCCCATTAATGAATAGGGCAAACAAAGCATCTGTAACTTCCAGGACTAATACTTACATATTCAGAAGACAGGAGTAGTTAGAAGATGGAGCACCTAGATTTCCAGAAATCCAAAATCTCATTTTTATGTTTGAATCCTGGATTTTCCAGAGAGGAAGCAAAAGCTAAGAAGGGAAATGCCATGAGGCTGGGCCGTGCAGCACTCCCACAGGGTATCCAGCAGTAAGAATGTTCCCTCAAGGCCGGTGAGTGACAGTGCCAACTAGCCCATTCCGTGACTAACTCACTACTTGATGGGAGACTTGTCCATTGGTTTCAAGGGCTTTGAGACCTTCCAATTGCCAAAAATAATCCCATTATCAACCCATGGCCCCATCTCTAAGATCCTCCCCCTATCAATGAAGCCAGTGACTTTTCTTGTAGGAAATTACCTTTTATTGTCAGTTTCTGTCTGGCCCCTGCAGTAATAACCATTTATTGCAGTCACTGTCAGTTACCTTAAAAATTAGAGCTTCTGTCAGTGACTAATCAGTTTCCACCCACCCGAAGTTCAAGTGCCCTTTCAAAGCATACAGTAACCATTGGTGCCCCACAAAATCAAAGGGATCTCACTGTAAAAGACAGTAGAGTTTCATACCTGAGGGTAACCCACCCACAGCTCTTGGGGATCCATGAGGAAGACAGAGGACCACCAAAAAGAGAGTCACTGGTGCCTTTTTTGTGTTCCTCAAGGGGTTTTAGGGTCACTAGAAGTCTCCCTTAGATCCTATCTTTTGGTTGTCAGCACTCTGATATTCCCATGGGAGAACCAGGATCCAACAGGCAGAAGAGGAGACTATAAAAAAAAAAAAGGGACAGTCTGAATATCAGCTAGTTAAGCCAACTTCTGACCATAGGACTCTTTAAAGAAAAAGTCCTTTCAGTCCTTTCAAATCCCTTATCAGATTTTAGCCAGGACGAAAACATCAAATATTTCTGACTTCTTCTTATTTATTTATTTATTTTTCTTTTAAACCAATCTTACCTAACATATGACTCAGAACCAAAATCAATAAACCTTTTATGACTTAACCAAGGATGCATAAAGCTTCTCCAAGGAGATATAAACATGCAGTCTTCACAAGATCCAGAGTCATCCCCAAAGACAGCAAAAACGGAAAAGATACATAGATAACTTATTTAGAGCTGGTGGCTGTTGGCTCACTAACCACAAATGGGGCCAACCCACATTTCTATTCAGCTGCATTCTTTTTATGGGGTCCACAGGCTTTTGGTTTATCATCTGTACACACCAACGTGATAACCCATGTGCCCCAACAGGAGGCAAGCCAAGCCGAGTTCTCAGAACACAAAATGAGATAAACAGAAAAATAATAGCTGTCAATGAGAGGGAAAAGGATCATTAATAATTGGGGGCCCATAGCCAAATTTACAAAAGAGTCATAATTCAAACAAATGATTTTCTCCTGCTAAGCTGAGTTTGGAAGGGGAAGGATATGAAGGTAATTTTTACCTTCCATTCTTAACTGGGTACTATATGTAGAGATTCAGGGGAGATGACATTGGTAAAAATTATTACTTTTCTTTGTTATCTTTTTGTCAGTTATCCCAGGACCTCATCTGCAGGCTCTGGGGCAAGTCAGGTGTCCCAGCCATCCCATTCTTGTTACCAAAACTATATAGGTGGAGAGGGGTGAGCCTTTTTCCCCACCGTAAGAATCACAGCCACCACGCTTATAACAAAGACAGATTAACAAGAGAAAAGCGTAATAGATGTATGTGATCATAGTTTTACATGACACAGAAAACTTCAGAATAAGACCCAAAGATACGGGGAAAGCCATCCATTTTCACGCACTGACTCAATGAAGAATGAAAGCCATGCAGCACCGTTTAACAAAAACAATATGAACTAATGTTAGTAGAGTAAGTGAGGAAACTCAGTGTGTTAGTCCATCCTTGCATTACTATAAAGAAATACCTGAGACTGGGTAATTTATAAAGAAAAGATGTTTAATTGGCTTATGGTTCCACAGGCTGTACAGGGAACATAATGCTGGTATCTGTTTGGCTTCTGGGGAGGTCTCAGGAAACTTACGAACATGGCCAAAGGTGAACAGGGAGCAGACACATCTAACATGGCAGAAACAGGAGTAAGAGAGAGTGAGAGAGGGGCTAAATACTTCTAAACAAACAGACCTCATGAGAACTCACTCACTATCATGAGAACACCACCAAGAAGATGGGAATAAAGCACTCCGAAGAAACACCTCCATGATCCAATCACCTCCCAGAGGCCCCACCTCCAAAATTGGGAATTATAATTCAACATGAGATTTGGACAAAGACACAGATCCTAACCATATCACTTAGTAAGGCCTATCCAGATTCTTCTTGGCCTCTCTGTGCAGCATTTGCTTATTCTGCGTATGGGGCAGGACGTTTGCTGAAAGGAGGGGACCTTAGGGCCTTCAATCAAACCAACTAGGTCAGAGAATTTCTTTATAGCCAGTTCTTACACAGATAAATGGGAGAAAGTGATGAGTATATTTTATGTTTTGTGGCTGGCTTTGGGGAAAAGGGTTCTGTTTTCTATGACCTGCTTTGGGGAAGAGGAATTCTAGTTTCTATGGCTAGCCTTGGGGGAGAATGATGGATGAAAGAGAGGAGGGAGAAGTTCAGAGAGAAACTTTTTTTCTGTGGCTATTTCTGAGGCCTTCACATTAGGGTATTGCATTCTGAGTGGCAACATTATGCATATTAGTTTACTTAACAAATATGCATTAAGATCCTACTCTATGTCAGGCATTCTGGCATGTTTGAGGGCCATGTGAAGGAAAATGACTTTGTCTCTGGAGTCTGAACTTAAGAATCTTAAATCGTTCAAGCAGACAGACTAATCTCTGCATGCCACTCTTCCTGCCCTTGTTTCAATTCCATAATCATGCCATGTTCCCTAAAGCCACATTCCCTAATGAACATTATATGCCATTCACCCCCTCCTGCTTCTCCCCACCAAAGACCTACTCATCCTTAAAATATCACTTCCTAAGAGAAGCCTTTCTTTATCTGCTAGTCTAGGTCATGAGAATAAATAAATATTTCTTTATTACTTGAATGATTGATTGAAATAACAAATGAAAGATGCTGAAGGAGAATTCAAAGTTTTTTGGTGGTGAAGACTTTGAATTGGGGAATCTCTTTACATCCATTGGGAACCTCATATGTCCAGATGTGAATGTACAAGTTCTTTGTTTTTCTGCAAGTTTATTTAATCAACAGAAAATAGTCTCACTGACTTTAACTGTCGATTTCTAAGTCATTCTTAAATATTTTATTAAAATATAAATATTTAAGGTTCACCATGATAGAGTTACAGACACACTACCTCAAAATATGGCACTTGGCATTTGGAAAAAACAGAAGTAGAAAACTCACTCTCCTCTTCCCCTTGCTCTTTTCCTGAAGAGGTGTATAAAACCTAGCAGACCCTAGCAGACTTTTCTCTGAAGTAGGCCATAAGATTCTCGTTCCAGGAGGGTCCCTTCTATGTCCAGAGAAAAGGACTATCACACAGAAAAACAGAGAAGAATCTGAATAGGCCTTGCTAAGTTCCCCCCAAGTCATTGCTATTAGGTCATAACCTGTTAAGCTCCAATCATACTGCAACACAACTGTCCAAAAAAATGTACAGTTTTTCCTATTTCTTTGGGTCTTCATTTCTGAAGGCTCTTGTGTTACATAAAATTTATATTAAATAAATTTCTATGCTTTTCTCTTATTAATCTGTCTTTTCTTATAGGAGTATCAGCCATGAGCCTAGCAATGGGCAAATAAAGAAATCTTTTCTCCCTTACAACCATTAGAAATAGTGATTTTAAAATTTGCCTCCTGTCATCTCCCTATGAAGCCTTCCTTGACTCCTAAATCTTCTGTCATTGAAAATAAAACTCATGATCTAAGAAATCTTTTTGTCCAGGTCAGTTCTGTATCACTAGTGCTTAGAACAATACTCAGAAGAGTTGATGAATAAATGGTAAAGAGCATGAATACTCTTTTTATTTCCCCATATTACTTATATCTGCTCAGAGTCATTTACAATTTTGTCTTGCTTGTAAGTGTGGGTTCTTTGAGGACATAGACAGCACGTTCCATTCATTTTCATATCCTGAGTAATCAAAAATATATATGCATCATCCATGTTGGTAAAGTGCACACTCCTACTTGCCTATTAGGGAAGAACACATACAATACCTGGCATGTAGAGAATGGATTGGAGGACTTGAAGATTGGAGTTTCTCAAAGCAGTAGAGATGTAATTACAACAGTACATGAAAAAAATATGGATGTGTGAAATATATTAGCAGTAAAAAGACGAATGTGAGAAGGAAATAGTTTGTGATTCCTTTGGTGCTTGAATGTAGATAAAAGAAGAAGAATGTATTAATAAATATTTAAACATATTTACAAATTTCTAAAATAGGCAACATGGGTATGTTGGGGCAAAGGAAACTTCCCCTTCGCCCTTAGAAGTTTCACTGAAAAATAATCTCACAATAAGGCAGATTAAATTAGAGAAAAGACTAAAAATTTCTTACTACTGTGCACGGGGAGAATCACAGAGTGATTGTCCAATATTCCAATGGGGTACAGATGCTTATATACTTCTTAGAGGAAAGAGTGATAGAGAAGTGTGGATGATGTTCAGGAGATGGTAGATGAATTTAAGGGCAATTCAATTGACTTGCAAAACGTACAATGATCTGGCACAAAGGCTGTTGAGCACACAGAACATCAGACAATGGTTTGAGACTAAAGTCTGTTCAGGTTTGTTGACAGACTTTAGTCTTCCCGTGATATGAGTTCAGTTAATGAAAACCCAGGGAAGAGACTGGAGGTAATTGTTTTCTTCTTTGGTAGGTCCGGGCTTGCAGATAATGGAACTTCAAAGTACAACTGTATTTTGTGCTTAGGAAGAGATTGTGGGGTAGGGGGTGAAACAAAGAGACCTTGAGGCCTCTTCTTTAGTTCAGTATATAAAAAGGATTGTAATTTTGGGTTATCAATTGCTGAGCCCCAACAAGTACCATTAACTAAAAAAGGAGACACAAGAGAAAATTCTAGTTTATAGCAGAAAATACAGAAAACAAAAATTGAATTTTAAACAGAACTGGGATATATAGCTCAGGTGTCCCCACACCTTGGGCCACGCACTGGTACTGGTACATGGCCTGTTAGGAACAGACCCACACAGCAGTAGGTGTGTGGCAGGCAGGTAAGAGAAGCTTCATCAGTATTTTTTGTTTGTTTGTTTGTTTAATTTTTTATTTCCATAGGTTATTGGGTAACAGGTGGTGTTTGGTTACATGAGTAAGTTGTTCAATGTTGATTTGTGAGATTTTGGTATACCCATCACCCGAGCATTATACACTGCACCCAATTTGTAGTTTTTTTTATCCCTCACCTCCTCCCACCCTTTCCCCCTGAGTCCCCAAAGTGCATTGTGTCATTCTTATGCCTTTGCATCCTCATAGCTTAGCTCCCACTTATGAGTGAGAACATAATGATGTTTGGTATTCCATTCCTGAGTTACTTCACTTACAATAATAGTCTCCAATCTCATTCAGGTTGCTGCGAATGCCACTAATTCATTCCTTTTTATGGCTGAGTAGTATTTCATTGTATTTATGTGTACATATATATATGTATATATATGTACACACACACACACACACACACACACACCCCAGTTTTTTTATCCACTTGTTGATTGATGGGCATTTGGGTTGGTTCCACATTTTTGCAATTGTGAATTGTGCTATGATAAACATGTGTGTGCAAGTATCTTTTTTGTATAATGACTTCTTTTCATTTGGGTAGATAACCAGTAGTGAAATTGCTGGATCAAATGGTAGTTCTACTTTTAGTTCTTTAAGGAATCTCCACACTGTTTTCCATAGTGGTTGTACTAGTTTACATTCCCACCAGCAGTGCAGAAGTGTTCCCTGTTCACCGCATCCATGTCAGCATCTATTATTTTTTGATGTTTTGATTATGGCCATTCTTGCAGGAGTAAGGTGATATTGCATTGTGGTTTTGATTTGCGTTTCCCTGATCATTAGTAATGTTGAGCATTTTTTCGTATGTTTGTTGGCCATTTGTATATCTTCTTTGGAGAATTGTCTATTCATGTTCTTAGCCTACTTTTTGATAGGATTGTTTGTTTTTTTTCTTGCTAATTTGTTTGAGTTCATTGTAGATTCTGGATATTAGTCCTTTGTCAGATGTATAGATTCTGAAGATTTTCTTCAACTCTGTGGGTTTTCTGTTTGCTCTGCTGATTGTTCCTTTTGCTGTGCAAAAGCTCTGGATCTTCATCTCTCATCTTATACATAAATTACCTCAATATGGACCAAGGTCTTAAATCTAAGCCCTGAAACTATAAAAATTCTAGAAGATAAAATTGAAAAGCCTCTTCTAGGTATTGGCTTAGGCAAGGATTTCATTTATTCAACCCAAAAGCAAATGCTTCATTGATATTTACAGCCACTCCCCATCACTCACGTTACCACCTGAGCTCCATCTCCTGTCAGATCAGTGGCAGCATTAGATTCCTGTAGGAGCATGAACCCTATTGTGAACTGTGCGTGTGAGGGATCTAGGTTGTGTGCTCCTTATGAGAATTTAATGCCTGATGATTTGTCACTGTCTCCCATCACCCCCATGTGGGACCATCTAGTTGCAGAAAAACAAGCTCAGGGCTCCCTCTGATTCTACATTATGGTGAATTGTATAATTATTTCATTATATATATATATATATATATATATATATACACACACACACACACATACACACACATACATATATATATATATATATCTCAATGTAATAAAGTACGTAATAAATGTAATGTGCTTGAATCATCCCAAAACCATCCCCTTCCCCCAGTTTATGAAAAAATTGTCTTCCACGAAACTGGTCCCTTGTGATAAAATGGTTGGAGATTGCTTGGTGTAGGGAATTATATAAGTAGGTGATTGGATAAATGGGGTTTAAGCGCATTTCTCGGGAAAGAAGACTGAGTTTCATATACGGTTTGGGGACATGATGGTCGATGCTACAGCACAGCATACAGAGTTGGAAGGCTGAAGTCCAAATGCTGGAAAATATTTAAATGGAGGGAATGTGATTGCAGAGTAATCAGTATAGAATTGTATACACAGTGAAGTACATAACAAATAGAGAAAATGGAACAGTTAAAATAATTGTAAAAAATTAGTTTCGAGGAAGGAAGGATTGTCATCAAAGTCAAAGAGGAAACCAATTGAATAGTTGCTATTATGTTGGTGCAAAAGTAATTGCGGTTTTTGCCATTGAAAGTAATGGCAAAAACCGTAATTACTTTTGTACCAATCTAATAGATTTGACAGTTAGATAGTTTTGATGACTGAAAGCTTAGAGAGAAGGGAGAAAATTTTAATTCAGGTAAGCATAGCCATGTTTGTAAATAGTTCAAGAGCAGGTTAGATTCTGTACATACAAAAGTAAATATAATACCAGAAGCATTTGGTGTCAGAAAACATGGGCTAAAATATGTGTGGAAAGAATGTAGAGAAAGCAATCTGGAATAGTAATTTGCTGTTTATCCACTGAAAGATAGACTGTTTTGCTCATATTTGAGATTCAAAAAATTAAATTTTGGGGTTTGAACGTTGTTTATTTCTTACAAGATATTACATATTTTAAAATGGTTGTTTCTGACTAAATTATTTGTAAAATAAAAAAATACTTTTAAAATTAGGTTTACAACGTGCTTGAGGATGGGTTTTTTTTTTTTTTTTTTTTCCTTGAGAGGGAGTTTTGCTCTTGTTGCCTAGGCTGGAGTGCAATGGCATGATCTCGGCTCACTGCAACCTCTCCTTCCCAGGTTCAAGCGATTCTCCTGCCTTAGCCTCCCAAGTAGCTGGGATTACATGTACCCACCACCACACCAGGTTAATTTTTTTATTTTTAGTAGAAACGGGGTTTCACCATGTCGGCCAGGCTGGTCTCGAACTCCTGACCTCAAGTGATTCATGTGTGTTTTAAGATTGTGTACAGTCTACATAACAGAGACTTAAAATATCATTGAGAATTTGTAAACTACATATATACATGGAAACTACTATAGGTATAAGAGTACAGTATATATGAAAATGTATATGAGAATTTTAAAAGTGTCATTGGGAGTAAAGAAGTATACATGCAAGGCGACAAGGCTGATCAGATATTTTGTGAGGTTTTCTGAAGTGAGAAAGTCTGTTTCTAAACAGTGTCATATACACTTGACAAAATGGTGTCTTCGATATTATATAGGCAAATGGCAAAGTGTCATTCCTAATTCTATTCCCATGAGCATGTTAAGTCCTGACATAATTAGAAAATAAATCATATTTATGAATATCATACATTCCTACTGTTAACCAGAATTTTTATTGGTAAATATGTGACTACAGTTCTGAAAAATAATAACAGCCTTAAAATTTAAAAATGAAATGCATTAGGAATGTTAACTATTAGCTAACATGTTTCTTCAAAAGTGGAAATATTCCAAGGAATCTAATTAGAGATTAACAAATACATGTATATATATATAATATGTATATATATATATCTTTTAATACAACAACCAACAAGTTGAATTTTCTAAGACCAAATCCCCTTTGCTTTTTTTGTTTTGAAAACTAACCCAATACAGAAGAGATTGTACTACAATAGCTATTCCAACTTAACATTCTGCACATCTTATGACTTAGACTTTCACACCTAAGTGAACACTCAGCAGATATGTGTTCTTATGATCACCAAAAGACATGCAAGAATGTTAATAGCAGAGCTACTCATAATAGCCAAAAACTGAGTACAATGCAAATATCCACTAATAGTAGAAGAGATAAATAAATTGTGGTGTATTTCTACAAAAGACTGCCACAAATCAATGAGAATAAACAAACTACAACCACATACATGAATGAATCTTCTAAATATTACTGAGTGAAAGAAACCAGGCACTACACAGTACATACTGGGTGCTTCTATTCATCCAAAGTTCATATGTAGGTAAAAAGAATCTATAGCAATCAAGTAAGAATATTAATTACTCTTAGGAAGGATGATGACCATAAAAAGACTGAAGAGGGGCTCCTGGGTTGTTGGTGGTATTCCCTATTTTGATCTTGGAACCATTTATGGTATATTCACTTAGGGAGAATTCATCGAGCTGTACCATTATGACATATGCACTTTTTATTTGTGTAATACCTTAATTAAAATTTGCATTAAAAATGACCTGTTTGGGGAACTAAGAAAAAAGTATATTGGCAAGTCCCTCAGGAAGGATCCTAGTTCTGACTTAACTACTTTACACTTCTTCAGCTACACTGTGACTAAATCTTCACCATCAATGGGAGGTGCGAGGCGTAAATTCAATAACTATAATATCTACATTTGTTTGGGTAATTTCAGGGAATTTTTCAAGCTGGTGCATGTGTATAACCATAGCCAATGTCTGCTAATAGGGATGTTTAGGAAGAAGATAATTTTAGGTGCTTTTGATGAACAGATTGTGAATCCAGATGAGCTCTGTTGGATATTTATTCACAGCTCCCCAGAACATATGAAAACCAAGCTTTTTTGACCTCCTCAGGAACAGATAGACTTAAATTTTATTTATTCTCTTCCATTTTCCCCAGCAAGGCATTGTTCTAATAAAACATCAAGTCTAAATTTACTGAGTTAAATTTTGCATGAGTTTTCCCTTTCTAGATGACTTAAAATGTTTCGCTTAGAAAAAAAAAAGACTGTAAAATTATATCTGTTGTAAATAAAACAATATCATGTTTTTAAAAATGTGACAGCAAACTATAAACTGAAAAACCAACCGGCTTGCATAGTCAGAGATGCCATATGGAAATAACAAGTCAGTCAATCTGTCAACAAACATTTGTTGAGCATCTACTTTGAGCCAATCACCACTCCAGCACTGAAAATATAGAGGCAAGCTAAACAAATGTGATACCTGCCCTCATGGGGCTTGCTGTAGAATGTATGTATAGATTATATATATAGAGAGAGAGATAGATAGATAGATATCATTATACCCACCAGTTTGTGGGTATAATGTCAATATCTATTATATATCCTTATATTGGAGTTTTACATTTTATTTTAGTTTTCATTAAACACAACCATATGATCACTGTGTGATACCCAGATTCATTTTCTTTAAATGGAGCACGAACTTGCTAACACTTGCAAAGTGGTCTGAATGCAGAATACCTCCAGCTATTGATTATTTTCCACATTTTTTTCAGTTTTCTCTACTACATCCACTTTTTATAAATTAATGTCTCTTTATTGATCCTTCCCAAAGCATTTAGCTTAATTTTTATAGAACTGACAATTCTATTTCCTTCCATACTGCTATGTCAATGGTTTATAAACAAATATATTAAATTATTATAATAACCAATATAACTGGCATAAACAGGTTTGAAAAAGATACAGATGATACTTCTTAAGTATATAATTCGAATGGTGGGAGCAGATATTCATGGATGTACAATAGTCTCCCGTTACCTGAGGTTTTGCTTTGCACAGTTTCAGTTACCCATGGTCAACAGCAGTCCCAAAATATGACAGAGAGAGAGAGGGAGAGAGGCTACATTTATATAACTTTTATTACAGTATATTGTTATGATTATTCTATTTTATCACTAGCTATTGTTCTTAACCTCTTACTGTGCCTAATTTATAAGTTACATTTTATCATAGGTGTGTATGTATAGGGAAAGATAGTATTTAGAGAGAGTTTGGTACAATCTGTGGTTTTAAGCATTCACTTGGGTCTTGGAAGTATCTCCCATAGGTAAGCAGGGACTACTGAATAAAAATGTTGCCTGTGAACTCTGGATACTCAGCATCCTATAAGCACATTTTGGTTAACAGAAAGAATAAAGAGAAGTGATTAATCAGGTAAGTTGTTTAAGTAAATGTAGAGGCCAAGGGAGAAAGCTTCCCCTTTCACTTTCTGAAGGTTCACTGAAAATGAACTGACAAAAAGTGGACTAATAGCGAAAAAAAGGCATATACATTTATTTTAATGTACATATCACAGGAGAATTACAGGGCAATGGTTACTTAATAACCCAGTAGGGTACAGATGCTCATATATTCTTTTTCAGAGGGAAAGAGGAGATGGGGAAAATGTAGCAATTTGAGAAATGGAAAAACAATTTTTAGGGGAAATGAATGGCGTTAAAACTTAGACAATTATTAGTAAATATTTTTCTTTGAAAATTAAATGAGACAGAAAAGACAAAGGTTTGACACAAAGTTTGCCTGGGCTCCAGGTGTGGTGCTTAATTTTTAGCCTCTCTTCCTCTGTGATATAAGTTTTAATTTTCACTGGCTAATGAAATTTCAGGGAGGCAATCGTATTTCTCTTTGGCAAGTCTGGTTTCTACGTAGATCAGGGAACTTCAGAGAACAGTTTCATCCTGTGCTTTGGGAGAGTCAGAGGATTGAGAGATGGAGGGAAGTTGGAAAGGTCAGAGAGATCTTGAGGCTGCTTCAAGTTAAGCACGATATTTCGGAGTAAGGTTTTCTGATCCCCAATATAAAAGTGTAGGTTCAAAGAGCTACTAAAGCTGTAGTATCCAATAGGGAGCCACTAGCCATGTGTCGGCCTTGAGATTTTGAAATGTGGGTAGTCCATACTGAGATATGCTGTAAGTGTAAAACATATACTACATTTTTGCTACATCTTTGTTTGTAAAAAATGTAAAATACCTCTTTATTCCATGTTTATACTGAGTACGTTTTGAAATGTTAATATTTTAAATATATCGGGTTAAGTAAACATTTATATTGGGTTAAGTTAATATTATTTTTGTCTGTTTCTCTTACTCTTTTTAAAGTGGCTACTAAAAAATATAAAATGTGTGGCTCACATTTATTGTTCTCATATCTCTATTGGACACCGATGTTCTAATATGCGCATATATATATATTTATATTTCACTTATATATTCATGAAATAGGTGTATTTCTTTTACGAATAAGAAAACTGAGGAACGAAAGCATTAGGAAATGTGCTCAACATCACCGTGTAGAGAGCCAGGCTAGAAATCGGGCTATTATTCCCAACGCCGTCCTCTTAAATACTACCATGCGGCCTCCTGCTAGCACGTGCCACACACTAGCATGACAACTTTCATGTGTTCCACCAATAAAATGACAATTCTAAATAGTCATGTTCAAACTGGATCAATTGGAAAGACTTAAATAAAGGATCAATGTATAAAAATGTGGACAGAGTTTAGGGATAGAAGTAAGGGAAAATGTAATAAACTCAAGTTAGCAGCATCAGGGAGCCTAACTCCCCCTAGTGCTGAAAGGACAGAGTAGTTTCCAGAACAGAGAGGTCACCCAGAGGGATACAGCTAACAGATGGTAACAGCAAAACGGTGCCAGGGGAACATATATCCAGTCTTCATTCTCCTGCCTCTCATCTGCTAGTGTCTTCTATTGATCAAAGCCAACAGGAAGCCAGAGGGCAAGGGCATCATTAAGCAAGCTAAATGGATCAGCTCCACAGACCACAGAGCAGGGTGGAAAGAGGGTGAAGGGTAAATCTAAGCAGACAAATGAAAGATATTTAGCATTCTATCAAAATAAATTATGAGCTTATTTCTAACCATAAACTCCTATGTCGGATGGGTGTACTTCAGTGCAACAAAAGACAATCAGAAATGTTACTGCATGTAAATTTCATGAATACTCAAAGGAAACTACTTTTTTAAGGGAGAGATAATGAATATAATGTGGCAATAGCTAAAATCATTAGGCTGAAAAATAGGAATATATCAGTTTTGAACTCAGATCCACAGCTCAATAAAATCTTCTGTTTTATATATTAAAGATTAATTTTACAAAGCAAAAAAAAAATGTTACCCCAACTATCTATTGGGATTATGGTAGGGAATTCACTGCTTGAAAGGTATAAAACTGTGAAGTACTACAGAATGTAAGACATGCTAGTTAGAGCTAGAGGTCTTTAAGAACAGAAAGTAAACAGTCCAACCTCTGATCTAAACTCTGACATGACCAAAGCTCTCCTGAGTGTTGCTGCAGATTCATGGGATATCATGTTCTCATCTCCATCCTCGTCCCACCCCAGGTTCTAGGCTTCTGCTTCTGCTGAATTGGAGTTACGAATTGTCTCATTGACCAACATTCACTTCTTCTGTGCTACAATGTGAAACAAAACATCTTTCTCAATTTCCATTAAAAACATTCAGTGCCACTCAGAAAATTGTGGGTGAAATAGGCCTGATTTTTGAAAGGAGAAAGTGTTTATGCTAGAAAGCCAAATATAGTTGTAATCGATTTTGTAACTTTGGGCACGTTATTAACATCTTTATCTCTCAGTGACTTCATCTATGAACATAAGCTGGTTAAAAGATTTTCACAATTTTTGAGTGTTTTTTGGTCTAAAAATAAAAATAATATATAACAGTATAATAATTTACAAGATAACGATATAATCACTAGTTTGAT
Organism: Homo sapiens; assembly: GCF_000001405.40. Taxonomy (NCBI): domain Eukaryota; kingdom Metazoa; phylum Chordata; class Mammalia; order Primates; family Hominidae; genus Homo; species Homo sapiens. Next base: position 29,190,264 of record NC_000018.10, on the reverse strand, counting down.
CAAACATTTTCACTTCTTAGTGGTTATGTTCATGTTACACAGCCACAATAATAAATTTACTCAACAATTAAATTCTCTTACATTTATTAAGAAGGTAAACCAAAAAGTTTATAAAACCTTAATACGACTTCCAAATCATTCCAATACTAAAACCAGACCTTTCTTCTAAATCCTAAATAGGATTATGCCAGTAAGTTTCTAACTACAGAATATCTCAACAGCACTCTCACATGCAAGATCAAGTTTAAACTCCCTAATGTGAAACTTCCTGTTTACCTTTCCAGCACTCCTCCTCTTCATCACCTTCTACCAATATCTTCAGCACTTATTCTGCTCTCCAGTGGTACCCATTTGAGGGATGCTTCCTCCCACAAACCCGCATGTATCCACTACTTCCCCCATCACCACCATCAAGGCTGAGATTATTTGTCCAGTATATGTTTTTCTCTAGTCAGTCCAAAATAACTCCATACAACTTACTATACTATATTACTGTTAGCTGTTTACTTATTTCTCTCCCCACTATACTTTTAAGAAATTTCAGGACAGAAATTCTTTCTTAATCATTGTCTTTTATGAATCATTTATCTTCTTTATGTCTCTAATACCTAGCAAATAAATGAAATAAAAAACTAGACATTGAAAGGAAAAGTCATTTGTAGTATATATGAAAGTTGGCCAAACTGATTAAATAGGTAACAAAAGAAAAAAATCCAAAATGAAAGATTAATTGATAGCAAAACCGAGGTAGAGAGCTATTCTTTAGGCACAGAGGTGTGTTAGTGAAACCTAACAAAGCTGTTTAAATTTAGGATGAAAATTAAGAAGCAAAGTACAAGAAATTTTGAAAACAATGAAGCTGTCTCAAGAATAGTGTCCTACTAAGTATAATTCAATATTTCTGTCAAACTCTTCTTTTGTCAGAGTGACAAAAATAATTTTTATGTTCAGAGAGTCAGTATCTGTTTTTTTTTCATTAAACACACACTAAAGCAGTTATTACATATCAATTTAAAATGAATACTTTCTCTATGCCCACATATTTAAGGTACCCCAAGGGCCACTTATAAATGCATAATTGTTCTTGGAGAGTATTATTTACCTTATCCTACCATCAATAAAGTTAATTTGTAAAATTTGCACAGCAAGTTGATATTTAAAGGTCTCTGTTAAAGAATAATTGTACCAGGTGGATTTAAACTGCAAGGAATACTTGAAAGGAGGAACTCAACTCTCTTGAAACAAAAGGTGAAAGAGTTTTTAGGTGCTGAGATGACTAATAAAGAAATACTGAAAGAGGTTGAGTGGGGTGGGGAAGGGTGGTTAGTCAATGCAATGAGATCATCTGTATTTGCTAATTGGTGCTTATGGAAGCTAAGCCCCTACTCCCCCACAGAAATTGGGAGAAAAGGGCACTATGGCCTTCAGTGATTACATTTCAAAGAGGTGGCTCCCAGGTCCTTGAGAAGGACATTTCTGGGTTGCAGAAGATGTACCTCTCAAAGGGACAGATACAAATTTACAATGAAGTGGTTTCTAAAGTGAATGCTCTAAGAAAAGTGAGGTCAGGAACCTACAGTTAGAAAGAAATCTCTCTAAAGTTTAGTCAAGCTTAGGGGAACTTCAAGGCCATATTGACTACCTCAAAATTATGGCTGTCACACCTCAAAATCCCTCCCAAGGGAAGAGGAATATGAACTACCTCATTCCATGTCAGCTTATTTGTCTTTGCCCTATTCTCTCCCCCATAAAATGCAGGTGTCAGTAGGAAAAAAAACACACAAAATACTCATCTTCCAATATCTCTACAGATAGATAATTTTCAAACTAGGGCATAATATTGCCTGATTCATGGATAAAATAGATGTTTGCTAGAAAGCAACTTTTCTTCTTCTATCAAATATGTATGCGTTAATACTCAGAATCACAAATATTGACTGAGTGCCTCCCATAGCTGAATCTTTTACTTAGAACAATGCTAACTACTAAAGTGTGCTAGAAAAATATGATTATACTCACTTCTCCTATGAGGACAATGCAGTTGGGAAAGTGCTTAGTCCCATTACAGATACAATTGATGTCAATCATGTTCTTGTATTACCAGATTCTAATGCATTATGAGTTTTTGAAGAAACTTATATTCTAAGCAGCAAGACCAGTTTCTTTTTTTCTAAATTGAAACTGGTTTAGTACCAGTATTTTTCTATTTACAAGGAGACTAATTGGAAGATATATATGTATGTATTCTTCCCAAGACCCACTGGCAGGTAAGTGGCTATCATTTGTTCAATCAAAAGTTGTATTTTTCATAATTTTTTAAATGATAAACTATTTAGAAATAAATTTAATAAAAATAAGCAAAATTTTAATGAGGAAAGCCATACAACACTCCTGAAAGAACAATTGATCTGAATAAATAGATATCCTTTATGTTTGGTTGAGAAAGCTCAACATAATCAAGATGTTAGCCCTTCCTAAGTTTAATTTATCTGTAAAGGAATTTCAACAAAAATACCAAGAAGCTTTTTTAATGAAGCTAGAAGATTTGACACACAGTGAGAGCCAAAAACCACTGAAAAAGAAAAGATATGGGGTAGAGATGGGGAACTAGTCCCAGAAGACACGAAAACAAACTAGAAAGATGCTATAATTAAAAGAGTGTTCTGGCACACGGAAAGACAGAGAGACTAATGAAAAAGATTAGAAAGACCAGAAATAGATAAAACTACTCATAGAAATCGAGTGAAGGTGGAATCATAAATCAATGGAGTAAAGTTCTGCTTTCTGTGTGTTTGTTAAAGTAAATGATTTTGGTTAAACTGTTCAGCTATTGTGAAAAAGATAAAATTAAATCATTTCTTCTTAGCATACACACAAATAAACTCCAAACATATAACCATGTATATGTGGTTATATACATAGATGCTGTTATATATATGTACATATGTACATACACACATATGTATATAATTTAAGTGTTAGAAGAAAATTAGAGTGAATTTCTTTTTAATCTGCATAGAAGGAAAAGTTTTATAGCTATGACTAAAATGCCAGATGTAAAAAAATAAAGATTAATACATTTTACATGATTAAAAAAAGCCAATTCATGGTTTTAAAAAATCCTAAACAATGTCAAAAGGCAGATGACAAAATAAGAGAAAATATTTGCCACATATATTATAGAAAAAGCACTAATACCACTAATGTACAAAGAACTTTTTACAACTGAGAGGAAAAACCCAAGAATCCTATTGTAATAAAATAGCTAAAATTAAAGACAGTTTTTAAAAGTATAAAAACAACCTTAAACATAAAATGTTGTCCAGTTTCACTCATAGTAAGGGAAATGTGGAATGAAAACACACAGAGTTACAATGTTTCACCTGTGAGATGGGCAAAATCTCTAATAATTGATAATACACGTTTCAACAAGGCTTTGGGCAAAGAGCATCCCCACAGGCACATTGCTAGTGAGGATGCAATTAAGCCAGTTCCAGTGGAGGAGAATTTAGCAAAATCTGAGAAAATTATACACGCATTTATCCTCCAATTCAGTAATTCTGCTTTCAGGGATGTACCCTTTTGATACACCTCCAACATTATTAAAAATTCAAATGGGCAAGGTTATTCACTGTATAACTGCAAAATAATGGAAGCTACCTAAATATCTAAGCATAAGAAATTGGTAAATACAGAGTGGTATGTACACAATGGCATAATATGATGCTGATAAAACAAAATTAGAAAGATAAAATAAAAAGGGGACCTCTATAATTGATAGGGATTGATTTCCAGGTGATAGTATTGGTAAGAGGAAAAAGCAAAGTACAAGTAATTATATATGTATATACACATATATATGTGTATATGTATATATATACACACACAGACATATATACATACATATATGTATATATATGGTTATACCTTCATGTAAAAAAGGGAAAAATTAAAACTCTACATATATCTGCTTATCATTTCAAAAAGAAACAGAAAGCACATCAGTAAACAAATAAATTTGTTACTTCAACAGATTGGAGGGAAGGTGATGGGATGGAAAACACATGAGAGAGAGAGTGACCCCTCTCTGAATATAACTTTGTATTTTCTGACTTTGGGAACATGTTAACATGGTACATATTCAAAAAATAAAGTATTGCCCTTTAAGGCTCAATTATAGTATCTGCTAGGTGGCAACACCTTTTAGCAACACCTACTGGCTCAGTGGCAACACTGATAACACATTTGTGTGGTGTGAAGTCAACGTAGGACCTTGCTATGTCCACAGGAAGTTTCTAAATGAGTGACCAATATATTGCACTGCTTCTTTCACAGTAAAGGTTTGGTCTGGGTGTCAAGGGGTAGAAATGAGAATTTCTTTTGTGTCACTATTTATCCACTGTCAAAATTTGGCTTCCCATTCAGCAACTTTGGGTTCTGTTGGTCTTGAAGTATTGGTTCCCAAGAAAAAACACTTACACAGGACACCCAACAGTCGCTCCATTATGCTGGGAGCTGAGACTGCCACATGTCCAATTTGGCTGCTTGTGTTACTGAATCAAAAGGCAAAGAAGGGGGTTATTTATTATGTCTAGAGTGGTTGGTCTGATTATTAAGTGGTAATTGGGTTGAATTTACACAACGAGGATAAGAAGATATATATTTGGAATGCAAGAGATGCCAGGGAAGTTCTTAGTATTCCAACAGTTTGTGATTTAAGTCAGAGGAAAAGCAGAACAACCCAATACCAAAAGGATTTTTGAACAATGAAAACTTGGCTAACTCCATCCATCAAAAACCATAACCCAAAGAGAAGCTTGCTGAGAATAGAAAGAATATGGAATGGGTTGTGGGAAAAGGTAGTTATCAACACCAACTACAGCCACTTGTCCAGCCACAGACAAGGACTCTAATAGTTATAACTATTTATTTGATATATTTGTGCATATACTATTTTTATTCTTTTCCTTTCTGTCATTCCCTTGTCATCTAAAATATTATGTGTCATAGTAATTCATCTTATATTTATTATGAAAGTCCCAGGATGTCAAAAGGGAGATGTCACCCTTCTAGAAAAGAAATTAACATGGCTCAAAGGTGGTTAGTTTGAATATTGTATGGAGAGTTTTGCATATATTTTTGCCATAGAAGTGGTAGCTACATTAATTTATGCAAAATGAGATATTCTTTTACTATAGTTCTATATGAAGTTATATATAAATATTATATATACATAAAAATATATATGGATGCCAAGTTGACAAGTCATAAATTGTGGTAGATTTGTATTGTGTCATGTTAGCTAAGTTGGGACTATATTTCTCAGAATTCCCTTCCATATGTGGTTGGAGTTCGTGTGAGTCACAAAGACTTTCCCACCAGAATGAGAAGGCGGCAGTAAAAGCAGCTATATTCTTTTTACGCTTGGGAGGTCAGCTCAGGGCCTGACACTGTTGCAGATCATGCCTGTTGTCACTTACGTACTGCTCCTGATTGACATGGGGGCAGTAACTAGGGCAACGCTCCTCCCGGTTCTGAAGATCCTCTGCTTCAGCTTTTCCAGGCCTGTGTCCAGTAGAAGTTTAGCTTCGTGATGAAGGACACCAATGCAGGCCACCCTGTCATGGATCTAGATTCTATTCCATCTATATGGATTACCACTCAGCCTCACAGGTGTTAGATTTTCCGTGTTTTCACCATTTTATATCTTTCTTGCCTTTTTTACAGCCTGGCCTGTGAACTTCAGCATAGAGCAGCTAACAGAAATATCAGCCTTCAAATAGATAATTTAATCAGTCCCCACAATTATATAAGTCCAAATCCTAATATATAGTGGCTCTGCATTGTTGATCAAATTATACTGATAGAGTCACCTGCATAAGTTACAAGGAAATAGGTTGGAGGATATTTAGAAAGGAGCACTTTTCTGAGTATATTTTTCATGCAGTTTTGGTGATGGGAGCATGTAAATATTCTATATGTTTGAAAAATAAAATTAAATCAACAAGGATGGAAAGGAGAGAAGAAAAAGTAAAATTGAAAGCAAACAGAAGCAAGTAAGCTCAACTGTGCTTCAAATTAAAATTATAATACTACTGAAGGGGAAAAGGAAAGCAACAATTCAAGTTATATATGAACACAAAATTTAACTGTGTGCTTTGTCTTGGGCCATGTTGAAGGGAACACTTTTTAGCAGATTGGGGTATTTTTTGAAGTAGGAATATGTACAGATCAATTTTGAAACACTTTAGGTATTTTATAACATTGTCAAATGTGGATTCTCACTGTGAAAGAGAAACACACAAATATGGAAGAAGGAAGGCAGAAAAGAAACCTGCAGAGATGGATGGAAATTGACAATATTGGTGGAAACATATTTGTAAAATACGTATATGCATGCATATGTTCATAGGTATGTATGTATGGGTATATGTAGGTGCAGCTGCATATGTGTCTATGTATATATATGTATTATTTCTTAACTCTGTCTGCTAAAAGGTTCTAGAAAAAATTCTAAATGAACATACCTTACACCAAAGTCTTTATTTCTAGTACCATCTACACTAATTATAACCTAGGCTATTTAAGTAAATAAATAGCTGATTCCAGAGCTGGAAAAGAGTAGACATAAGAGAATCCTAGAACATGTTATGCCAAAAAGTACACAAAAAGTTAATGAGGGCATGTAACAAGAATTCAGAAGCCAGCTTGAAGGGTAATTTGAGTACCCAAAGGATTCAGTATAGTAATGAAATATTAACCATTGAAAATAAATTCTATGTCCATGTTGCTAATAAATGGTGAAATAAGTGGTAGAGAATGGCAAGTCTCTTGGTGAACGTGGAGGGAGTTTTGGAGGTGGAAAATAAATAAGCACTTTGCAATGATCACAGTAAAGACTGATAGTAGCATGAATCTATTGTTGTTACATTTTGATGAGGAGCAGGGTATTTGTACCATCAGGCATCACTTAATGACAGGAATACATTCTGAGAAATGCATCTTGGGCAATTTTGTTGTATGAATATCACAGAGTGTACTTACACACATTTAGATGGTATAGCCTACTACACACCTGGCCTGTATGGTAGAGCCTACTTATCCTAGGCTACAAATCTGTGCAGTATATTACTGTCTGAATACTGTAGGCATTTGTAACACAATGGTAAGTATTTCTGTATCTAAACATAGAAAAGGTACAGTCAAAGGATGGTATTATAATATAGAACCCTGTTAGTATATGCAATCCATTATTGACTGAAATGTCATTAGACCATCCATGGCTGTATTATCTTGAAGTATCTATATCAGACTTACTGGTTGCAAGAGAAAAAGTTTTAATTATCAGTGAAGAAATCAACAACTCTTTGACAAGGTAATTAAAATTAAAATCAGCAATGAAGAGCAGATGGGTATCTAGTATCTGGTAGACATCTCCAGATGTGAAAGCTAAGAATGACACAGACTTACATGGTGTTGTGTCTGGAAACGCATAACCTGAGATGAATATGAGGACTCATCAGAGAAACACGAAATAACACTTTTAATATTTTTAAAAGATGTTTTTCAAAAATATTGTCAAAAAATACAAAGGAAGACTATGTGAATGTTCCGTATAAATTGAGTCTAAAGATAAATGACAACTAACCACAATATCTCTTCCTAGACTGGATCCTGTACTGGAGAAGGTGAAATGCTATTTAGGGCACTATTGAATCAACTGGCAAAACTGGGATGTAGATGTTAAATGAGTTAAAAGTGTTATTTCACTGATAAATTTACTGAATTTAGAATTGCACTTAGGTTATGCAGAGAATTAATAAAGGCAATTTCTTCTCTAATAATTCACAAAAATATTGTGTATATAAATACACACACATACATCTACACTTATACACACATACACATACACACATGGATATGGGACACAAATGACCAAGAAAATGAGTTGAAATAGTAACAATAGTTGAACCTGGTACTATTTGTACTATGTTCATTCTTACATGTTTGTAACTTTATAAAAATCTTTCTAAATTAAAAGGTTTTTTTTTTTAAAGCATACTTGAAACTATGCCATGGTAGTTGTCTGAACAAAAGCTGAAATGTCCTTAACTCAATGGCATAAATCTTATCTCAACAGATGAGTACACAGGAAGCTTCTTTAACTTATTGTCCTAAGAAATGGAGAATTGTAAGAATTATACATAATGAAAGCTGGATAAGCTATTTTCTGTTTGTGATCAAGCATGTATTAGAACAGTTTTCTTTTTCGTCTTTTTTTTTTTCTTGGGAGACCTGAGCCTGAAGTATGCAGAAGTTAATGAGTAGTTTTTTCACAAATGTTGACTGTTTTTTTTCCTTTTATACTAGAATTCCAGCAAGTTTCCTGAATGGATTCCCATTCACTGCTCTTGGTAAGAATGTCTTGAATGAGTTAGTGCAGAGCCATAGTCTAAGATGATCTCAGAATTCTTTTCATTCCGTGCTTGAGGAGAATACATCAAATTCTGTTTGGAAGTCATTTTCCACTAAGAGTGGATTTTGAAATAAACTGAGTTGTTTCTAGATAAATGGTTGTTTAGAAGAGGCAATGACTCAGTGCTTGAAATGGCCAGCCAAGATTCACAGTGACTAAAACTATTTAAGAATAGGGCATTGCCTCAGAAAAGCTGCATGGTTAATGACAAACAGCTCATCTTAAAATTCTTTATTTTTCACTTTGCCATATTAGGAGCTATCTGAATGTGGATTAAACAACGTTTAATTTTTCTGAATATCCACAAGAAATAAAATAATTCTTGCCTGCTTTTAAATGAAAACTAACTTTGGACAAACTTGCTGTATTTTAGTTAAGCTGTGGAATCCATGTGGCCAGACCTATGATTGCTGTTTTTCTTCTCTTTGGCCAGGACTTGGGAGAGCTCTGGTAAGAGACAGGGAAACCTTTCCTTTCCCCTTCCCAGGGACTCAGTAAATATGCAGGCACCACAGCCAGGGTATTCATTGATCAGATGTACATCCCTCCTCCACAACAGACAAATTGATCACTCTGGATCACCAAGAAGATCTACGTTGTTTACATAATAACAATAGTGGGGTTTATTACAGTGTAATATTGTAATGACTTTTTGTCCAGGAAACTTGTGAACATCCCATTTTTATCCACAAACTGTTATTCTTTCCTGCAAGGTCCCCAAGGGAAGTATACACACAATATAATTAAAACACAACAAAGAAGCATTCTACTGTGCGTTTACCATACACTCTAAAGTGGAATTTCAAGACACTAAGCGAAAGCATACTTTATTTTAAATGTTAGATATGCTGGTATGTTTTGTACAATCAAATACTTATGAGACCTGTTCTCTCCATTTGTCCTAGTGAGGCAGGAAATTAAAGAAAAATAAAATTAAAAAGAGAAATAAGTTTTCCTGTATTAGGCTAACTTGTCCCAGGCAGCAACAGGCACAGCCCAGACCCAGGAAAATTCTTGCTAATATTATCTAATGTGCTCTGGAGGCTCTCCCAGCATTCCCTCAACATACGGAGAAGAAAAACCAAATTTTCCTTTATTTTATGGAATGAGTTTATAGATTCCTGTTCTCTGTAACTAGTGACTTCAAGTATTGTTTTATCTAAGAAGTACAACGAAGGTCATGAGAAGCCTGAGTAGGCCTGAACTACAGCTGCCTGGGCACCATAGTGAAGGTTATGGGATAAGCCCGTGCCTAGGCAAACCTAGATAACGGACATCTGGGTTGCATAGCAATGGTTATGTGCAATCCTACGTTATACACCTGTTACAATTTGATTAACTGTCTTTGTCCTGCCTCTGTATCCCTGCTTTCACACCACTGTAAGCTTGCTTCAAGCTAGCCGACCCCCTTTTCTAAAGTGTATATAAAAGTCAAGTGCTGTCTTTGTTCTGGGCCCAGTCTTTGGACGTGAGTCTGCTGGGCCTGAGTGCACTCAATAAAAGGTTCTCCTGTTTTAACCCGAGACCTCTCTTGTCCTCCTGGATCCCGCAACAATAGAGCCAAAATCTTGGTCGTTGAATTTTCTCCTTTAATGGGACAAAGTCTTCAGGGGCCACCACTTCTCAAACTTGCATAGAAACTGCTCTGTTTTTGGCCTATACAGACTTGATTCCACCATCTATAAAACGTAATTTAAAAGTAGTCTCAAATCTGACCAACTTATATAATTTTTCCTTGTCTTTGAGCATGGAGTAAAATGTGATTCAGGGCCAGGCATGGTAGTTTATGCCTGTAATCCTAGTACTTTGGGAGGCTGAGGTGTGTGGATCACCTGAGGTCAGGAGTTCGAGACCAGCATGGCCAACATGGTGAAACCCCATCTCTACTAAAAAATACAAAAATTAGCTAGGCATGGTGGCAGGTGCCTGTAATTCCAGCTACTCAGGAGGCTGAGGCAGGAGAATCGCTTGAACCCAGGAGGCGGAGGTTGCCGTGAGCCAAGATCAGGCCATTGCACTCCAGCCTGGGCAACAGAGTGAGACTCCGTCTCAAAAAAATATATATATATTTCAAAAGGACTTCCTTCTTCTGGTGATCAACCAAGCAGGTATTGTAAGAAAACAGTTATTTGTGACTATGCATAAATTTAGACACAGAGTATGCCAGACAGATGCAAACCTGTGTTCTACAGGCATTATAGTCTATATGGTCTTGGATCTCTACTTTGGAGAGAGTTCTGGATTCAAATGTTGGCTCCATTATTTAACTCCAGGCGAATCTCAGCAATTGTTTTAAACCTAATTTTCATAACTAAAATATGAATAATAATAAAGTTGATTTCAAAGGGTTATTATGAGGCTCATTCTATGTAACAGACATCTACTGCATACCAGGCACTACTCTGAACATAATGGATTCAATAATGAATAAGATTTAACTCTTTACCTTGCGACAATACATGTGAGGCAAACATTCATGTGAAATATAGATACATTTATGTAGCATAATAAGCACCATGATGCTGGTATTCATAGGGCAATGGGTGCATAGAAGAGAAACACTGAGCCCAACTTAGAGACTCAACAAACACTAAATAAAGAAGAGGATTGCTGGCCGGGCGCCGTAGCTCATGCCCATAATCCCAGCACTTTGGGAGGCCGAGGTGGGCGAATCATGAGGTCAGGAGATTGAGACCATCCTGGCTAACACGGTGAAACCCTGTCTCTACTAAAAAAATTTTAAAAAATTAGCCGGGCGTGGTGGCGGACGCCTGTAGTCCCAGCTACTCTGGAGGTTGAGGCAGGAGAATGTCGTGAACCTGGAGGTGGAGCTTGCAGTGAGCCAAGATCGCGCTACTGCATTCTCCAGCCTAGGTGACAGAGTGAGACTCCATCTCAAAAAAAAAGAAAAAGAAGAGGATTGCTATCCTGAGTCGTGACAGATTTGTGGGAATTACACAGGAGAAGAAAGTGAAATATGTATTCAGATGTTAAGCAGGAAGACAACAATAATACATTCAGAGAACACCTAGGAACAAAATATATATGGCAAAGATTAAAAGATAAAACTTCAGGAAGTCAGAAAGGGTCAAATCATGAAAGATAATATATGTCGGCTTCAGAACTTTATGAAAATGCTGGCACTTCACAATGCAAAGAAAAACAAACAAAAAAGAAAAAAAATAAAGGCCTATTTCAATGTTTGCCTATTCCCAAAAGATTTTGGATAGATAAAAATTTAATCACTCCTTTTGGAAGCAGTGAGACTCATGGTTGATTTGGAATTCTCATTTTATACATCAACCCCACCTCAACTCTGCTCTTTTTGGGCTTTCCTTTTAAAGTTGCACTTCTGCTGGCCAGCAACTGATTTATGCTGAATCCTAAGTAGTATTCAGGGAACACTGGAGAGGTTGAGAGATGCAGATTCACAATTCGACACATTGTAATAAATCCAAATAAAAAGACAGCCTCTGACCTACATGATTCCTTTTCATCCTAAGAGGGGTGCCAAGTTATTTCTGTTGTCACAATGTTACATAAAGTATGTCAGGTGCCAGCTGAAGTTAGACTTGGGGTGTGGGCAGTTCCAGCTAAAGAAGCTATATGCTAAGCTGTAGCGGCCGTAGTATTTCAGGACCATTTTTACTCAGAACTCAACCATCCTGAAAAAAATTGGGGCAGAATAAGGTGAGACACTCAATTCATATGTAGTTTCAGCAGTGGGGAGAAAATATTTGCAAAGAGGAAGCCTGATAGTAAAAATAAAAGATTGGAAATGGGTCACTCCTAGGCAGAACTAATGTAGTAGATCTTTTAGCTCAGAAAAAGAATGTAGAAGACAAATCAGAGTTGAAAAGGTAAAGGAGTGCAGATGAAGGTAGCAGGTAGAGTGATCATAAGAACTGAAATTGGGTAGGCTTGATGGGTTCGGGTCAGAGAAAGATCAGGATTAGAGATGGAGGTGCCGCCTTCCAGGAAGCAAACAGGATAATATCAGTCAAGATGGGCTCCTGTGTGTGCCCGTATGCCCATTTGCTCCTCATGCTGTATTTCTGCTTTATTTCCAGGGAAAATCTTTGTGACCTCAGACAATGTATGATACTTAAATCTTTGTGAATCAGCTGTATGCTAAAGGTCATGCCTACAGGATGACCCTGGCTTAACGACTGTGTTCTTGTGGCCCCTAGATGATGAAAAAGATTGCGTCCATCAGGCATAGAGAGATTATATCTGTCCCTTCACCTAATCAGTCAGTAAATGTGTTTTGAGGATTCTGCAACACATGCTACCTGATACAATTAGAAGTTAAAATAGTTAATAGAGGCTTTTATCAATGCTCCTAGCCTAAGTTGCTTAGAATCCACTGCAGAAGCTAAATAGAAACACATTCAGGTTAAATAACAAAAGGGAAAGAAAATATCACAATGTAACATTTCAAGAAGTATCACAAAGAAGTGCATAATCAATTGATTAATGGACTACAATGTGAATTGTACAACAATGTATAATATATAAATGATATATAATAACATTATTCAACTCAGTTATTTTTACATTAGCAATTTTTATGACTCTATTACTTCGTTTATAACTTCAGTGTGTGATTATCTGCCTAATAACAGTCCAAGAAATAGTATTGCTGTCTGGAAAAAGTGATTATGCAATATGAAAAAAGAAAACAGGGATTGTATTTTTTAATAAAACTAAAATATTATCATTGTAGAAATGTAAATGACTAATAAATAATATACTCAGTAATACAAATTAAAACAATAAGATGTAATTTTCTACCAAGCAATTTGTCAAAGATTTTTCAAAATTTCAAATTTGTCAAGGATATTATGACCCAATTTCACATATGAGTGGGAATATAAGTGAATACAAACTTCTGGAAAGCAGTTAGGCAATATGTTTCAAGAGCCCTAAGCACATTCCTACCTTTTGACCCAGCAATTCAGCCTTTTTATATTTAATGAAATAGTCTTGTTTGTATAAAGATATATATATATAGATTTTTATGAGAAACAATCTAGTAATTTAAATGACCTACATTTCCAATAAATATACGAGTGGCTCATTGAGAGCATATTCAAATGATGGGTGGTTATAGCTGTGACAGAAGATATTTTTGAAGAAGACTTATTGACATGAGAAAATGCTAAAAATAAAATCTGCTTCAGAATGCTTGGGCCTTTTGATTTACCGGGGCAATGATGGGCCTGTGCACTCTTTCTTTTGCCAAATTACATAATCAGTTTATCTATCTAGAAATGCCATTTCTTATGCTTTTCTTAGACAGATATTCACATATTGAATTGATATGCAAAGTAACAAAGTCAGATAAAAATTGCTAATATAAAAATAATATGAGTTGAATAATGTTATGCACCATGTGCATATAATACATTGTTGTACATCTCCATTTTAATCCCTTAATATACTGCAGGGCAGTGATGGGTAGGTAATGAGTGTTGCAGAGACATCTCATCCCACTTCAGTACTGAACCCTTGTTCCCACATCCTACCACCCCTAGGTCTAACGGTAAGTCTCAACAAATAGACTTTGACAGAAATAAGGTCCAGGGCTGCAGCCAGACTCAAAATCTACCAATCAATAAATAAAAGAAAGAGGAGGAGACTTGAGACAATCCAGTTTGGATCCAGGAAATCCATAGCAGTGTTCCTGAAAAGGTCTGTGGAGCCAGAGGTTAAGGACCAATCCAATTCAGAGTTGTTTCACATGTTATGATAGAAATGAGAAAAAGTATATAACGGCCTCAGCTCAGAACAGTGATCTCTGTGATGTAGCTCTTGCATCTATCTGGCTACTTCAGAGCTCCGTGATGTTAGAAACCTCCCTGAGCCACGTTTTCCTCTATTTAAAACAAAATTCATAGTTATCTGCCTGAGCTCTAAATTTCTGTAATTCTCCAATTCTGACATATTGTATATTTTTAATATAAATTTTTAAAAGAGAACGTCAGGATAAAATAAGGTATACAAAATGGCTTAAAAACTACTTCACAAACCATATTGTATTCTTCTGTATAATATCCTTTGCTAAAGAAATAGTCTTAAACCATCTTCCTTTTCTAACAATGTAGTCAAATTATTTTAAACATATTTGGTGAAATTTAGCACAAAACATTTAAATGCACAGCCGAGTTGAATATCAAAGTCTTTATACTTGGTTTATTTGTAAAGAATAGGTTAACATTTTACTGTGACCTCTCATATTTAAATACGAAAGAAGAGTTCCAAAAAACATCAGTATTTATACCTGTGAAGTGCCAACATACTTAGGTGTTAAAAAACTTTATTTTTCAGAAGTTCAGATTTTGATTGCATAGAAGTGTTTATTTTCACAGTAGCCAGACAAATAAATAGATACAAAGTGCTTTTATAACCTGAAGGCAAAGTCATTCCAGCTAGTATGTAGGTCATCAGCTGTTTTCTGGATTCGGTTTTTGTCCAAACAAATACTTCTTTTCACTCTTCATTGACTATTAAAGCCCACTACCATTCTTCAAATGTTATTTTTCAAATTCTTTTCCATTAGTGAAATCTTGAAAATCTTAAAATGCAGAATTTAGAGTAGGATTCAATGGAATAAAGACAACTCACATGGTAAGTATGAGGGACTAAACAGAGGGGCGGGTAGCATGGGGGTGGCGCAGTGTCACACTATTCTTCAGCACAGATGGAATCAGCAGCCCCTGCTCAATGTGATTGGAGAGCCTCCAAGCTCTTTCTGTCGTTAACATTTCCCTCATTAATCTGGTTTGATTTCTTCTTCCCCACTTACTTGGCCTGGAGTTTTTTTATTTTTAGAATCTTAGTGATTAAGAAAATAAAGGCAGAATAATCTCTTTGTGTGACAGCTTGGTATAGCAGTAAGAACATAAATAATTTCTGCAATCAAGCTCCTTTTTTAATCTTGGCTCAACTACTAAAACTTAACCTATCTGGATCTCAGTTTTTCAAAATGTGGCAAGAGAAAGAAAGAACATTTTTACTTCTAGCTTAAAGGGTTGTTTTGAGAATCAAAGGATATCAGTACTACATATGACAGTGCTTCACAGACCGGATGACACTGTGTAAAAATTAGGCCACTTTAAAGTATATGCTTTATTTAATAGGAAAATAGGGGACCCTCTATCTTTTTGAAACATTAGTTGCTCAACTTAGTTAATTGTCACCATCTAAAGAGCGAAGTGGTTCAAGAAAATTAAGTGAGGTGTGTGGCAACAACAAACTAGGAGGGAAAGTTTACTACCTCCCTCCCAATCAGGGGCTCCGAGTAATTAGGTATTTTTTGGTGGGAAGTATAGTTCCTTTGCTTCCAGGTGAAAAACTTAGAGTTGAAATTTACATCTCAGGTCTTCTCATGAGAACTACCTGTGTCCACCTAAAATGAAACTCTTGCTTCCTTCGCCTTTCCTGTCCTGCTCCATGTCCCTGTCTCCTTTCTGGATGCTCCTGGAAACACATCCTTAATGCATCACTTGCAACTCCATCCTCGGCTTTGGATCTGCATCTGGGATAAGCCAACTTAAGAAACCCAACAAATGAATTTTTTTATTAAATCAACAAATATTTATTGAGCATCTACTAAATTCCACCACTGTTCTTTCCCATATGGCAGAGGGGAACAAAACAAACTTCTTCTCCACGCATCTTATATTTTACTGGGAAGAGTGAGAAAATAAATAAATGAATAGGTCTATGACACTATTCAGCAGTAAAAATTCTTTGACAAAAAATGAACCAGAGTAATTTAGGGAGGGGATAGAGAAAACGTAAAGTACTATTTAGATAGAGAGGTCAGAAAAGGCCACTCTGAGAAGTCACTGTTGATTATGAACAGAAAACATCATCCGCCCAAATATTATGTTGTTACTTTTTAATGTTGACGATTATGTTGGCTTAAGCCTGTGTGAGAACTTAACATGTGCTGAGCTCTCGGATAGGTCATGAGAAGCCACTTCCTCACAGAAGAATAGAAGAGGCATGGGGCTGAGATTGAGTTGAGGAGCTGTTTGGGCGTGCATGGGAAGGGATGCATCCATTTCCTGCCCCTGTGTCCCAGCAACACAGGACAGAGGTAGGAGGAGATGTGGAGATGCTGAGGTATGTTCTAAAGATTGAGATATTGAGACCATTCAGCCATATGGGAACCCAGTAAAGGGGCTTATTCCGTTGGTCTCTTGCTCTTCTTTCAGGGAAAACATGTACTCTTACCTATTTGTATGCTGCATAGGAGTGTGCGTGCTTTTCTGTGTGCAGAAAAGCTCTTTCTGTCATTAATATTTCCTTCAGTGGTATTTCTTAAATGTTAGTTGATTAGAAAAGTGTGTGTGTGTGTTTCTGTGTGTATATGTGTGCACACACATACCAAACTTTGTTTTACACATATAAATACACCATTGTTTAAACCAATTATTGTGATGGGACAAATAGTAATATACAATTAAAATATGCATATCTACATAGACTATATTGCATGTTATTACTCTAAGTTCACTTTTATTTATATAGATTCGTCCTTTTTCACATCCTTCATTTCTAAAACTGCAATCTTTTTCTTTAAAGCATTTGATTTTTGCCTGTGATTGCATTAAATGCATGCTAAAATAGAGCTAATATATAATGTATCCTAGACTTCTATGTATTTCAACCCTTGGAGACAAATCAAAACTGAAATATAACTCATGATTCATTTTGTAAAATTCAAGTTTCCCATAATCTTAATAAAATCTTCTCAAACTAAGCATCCAAAACGAGCTATTCAATAATCAAATACTGCTGGCTTTGTTTCCTGGGAGGAAAGGCTAAATGGAACATTTTAAGCAAATCATGGATGCAAATGTAATGCATTACTTCAGAGCCTCTGTGCCTGATTTCAAGAATATCAGTTCACTGGGCTGTACCAGGATCTAGTCCAAAATGAATGAACCATGTGGACTTAAAAGTGGATCTGGATGGCAACAATTCACCACAGGTTATTTCCATCCTGTGAGATTGCATTCCCCTTGTTCCGTTTCTGTGAATAAAGAAAAAATAAATAGGTCTAGCAATGTAATTCCTTATTGTATTGATCAGACTCTCAGCATTAAAAATGTCTGCCCTTTAACCTTTTCCTCTTCATAAATCTTTCAGTGACTCAGATGAGCATGACATGAATGTGTTCCCCAGAAGACACTGTAAGCAATACTTTTTTTATTACTGACAGTGTAAAAAATGGACATGTTTTAAGCCCTCTACAAATTGCTATTTAAAAACACAAGACATGATTGATCACCAGATGGAGCAGTAAAAATGAAAACTGGGAGATAAAGATGGAATACAAATATTTAATCATAAATGGGAAAACAATGAAAATCTGAGGATAGCTATATTCTGCTTGCAGATAATAACCTTTCATATGAGAATGACTCACTTATGGAGTCTAACATAGGGACATAAATCCAGTTGCATCATAAATACAAATTTTTGCCTGGAACACACTTGCTTATGACTGAAAACATTTGTTTAGCTATTCTAACTTGGAAAAGTCTAATATATTAGAATTTTGACATCACACCAGTCAAGAAACATTACTTCTTATACCAAGAAAAAAGTCTTGGCTGTGTCCTCACCCAAACCTCATCTTGAACTGTAGTTCCCATAATCCCTGCACATCATGGGAGGGACCCAGTGGGAGGTAATTGAATCGTGGAGGCCGTTACCTTCATGCTGTTCTTGTGATGTGGATGAGTTCTCACGAGATCTGATGGTTTTGTAAGGGGCTTTCCCCACCTTGTCTCTGCACTTCTCCTTGTTGCCTGTTGTGAAGAAGGACATGATTGCTTCCCCTCCCACCACAATTGTAAGGTGTAAGTTCAGCACGGCTGAGGTCTCCCCAGCCATGCTGAAGTGTGAGTCAATTAAACCTCTTTCCTTTATAAATAACACAGTCTCGGGTATGTCTTTATTAGCAGCATGAGAACAGACTAATACAGTCTAATATATTAGAATTTTGACACCACACCAGTCAAGAAACATTACTTCTTATACCAAGAAAAAAGTCACTTTCTTCTATAACTTAAAGAAAGTATGACAGCATCACAAAGCACATTGAAAGCATTTTGAGAAGACATTGGATGCAGAATAGTACAGGCCTTATGAAATACTTTCTTTGGTATTAAATAGTTCAGCTCTCAAGGGTTCCAGGACATTGATGAAACAGAAATTTATTTAAAAATATTTAACAGATGGCATTGCATTATTCCTTTATGCAACTGAAGTATTTAAAATCGCTCACACATGAAAATAACATGTTAGACAAAACAAATTATTTAATCAAAAATTAATTATTAGTTTAATAAGACATGGATATTGAAGTTCAACACACAAAGATATTGGGATAAGTATAGGAATTGACTTTTCTGTCACAATGTAAATTACAATAAAAATAATAACTATATGAGAAGTTCTGTTATGAGTTTTCCAGCACTTAGTGCAAGCATTGAAATGTAGTATTCACTAAAGAAAGCATGTTAAATTTATTAAATCAAAGCATTTTGTGTCAACTACTTGTGTACATTAACTTCTCTCCACCCCACAGCACCCAACAGAGAAACTGTGCTTACTGTCATATCCATTCACTATCCCATCCTCACATTTTGAAAAGTCCAGCCTCTAAATGTTAATAATTTGGCCTCTGCCCAAATACACTGCAATAAATCAAAATACTTACTGTGAAGGATGGTATTTGTGAATATCTGGTATTATCATACTGAACATGACTTTAGTATTTGTTTCTATAATGCCTGATGGCAGGTTTGTCTTACAGTTTTGACATAATTCTTCAAGTTTACAGTTTTACATATTTAGTCCAACCTCCTGGTTCATTGGCAGTAAAGAGTCAGGGAGAACAGGGCAGTGTCTTCTCATAAAAAATCTAATGTGAGAGTCACATAATTGCTTGTATAAAGGATTAGTATTTAAGATGCATGAATGGCTTGAATTTTAAGACTAAAGAAAGGTAATAACGGTCTTCTTGGTTCCCTGCCTTCTTATAATCTGTCAGAGTACCAATCATGCTAACACATTAAGGAGGGTTCAACTGACAAAAGAGAAACAAGGTAAGCTTCCCAAAATAATTCTTTCTTAATCAATGTGTGTGATTCCAGTGATCAGTTCTTCCAGGTCCACATAAAACATCTTCTCAAACATCATCTGATTGTGACCATCCATTTCTGGTACTTTTATTCTTTTAGTTTTGAATTTTCTTATTGTCCAGTTTTGACCAAATTATCCACCTGTGCACTAAATTCACCTGACAAAGCCATGTTAATAAGTAATTTGAAAACACCTCAGTAACTCTACCTTTTGTGATATATTTTCTCATCAAAAGCAAATAAAGACAATGAGTACACAAAAAATAAAAATTAAGAAACTAAATCATATCAGAAGAGAAAATCACCTTCACTAGAGAAAGACAGGAAGAAAATGAAGAAGGAAGAGAAGATCATAAAACAACGAGAAAACAAATAGCAAAGCAGCAGGAATAAGTCCTTACTTCTCAATAATAACATTGACTGTAAATGGACTAAATTCTCCAATCAAAAGACATAGAGTGGCTGAATGATTGAAAAAACAAGACCCATTGATCTGTTTCCTTCTAGAAACACACTTCACTTATAAAAACAAACATAGACTGAAAATAAAGACATGGGAAAAAGATATTTCATGCCAATGGAAATAAAAAAAAAAGCAGGAGTTGCTATACTTACATTAGACAAAATAAATTTCAAGACAAAAACTATAAGAAGCAACAAAGAAGGTTACTATGTAATGATAAATGGGTCAATTCAGCAAAAGGATATAAAAATTTAAAATATATGTACACCCAACACTGGAGCACCCAAATATATAAAGGAAATATTATAAGAGTTAGAGAGATAGGCCTTAATACAATAATAGCTGGAGACTACAATACCCCATTTTCAGCACTGGACAGATCTTCCAGGTAGAAAATTAACAAAGAAACCACAGACTTAATCTGCAATATAGACCAAATGGATCTAATAGCTATTTGCAGAACATTTCATCCAAGAGCTGAAGCATATATAGTGTTTCCTTAACACACAGATTGTTCTCAAGGATAGATCATATATTAGGTCACAAAATAAGTCTTAAGAGTATTCAAAAATTTGAAATATTATCAAGCATCTTCTCTGACCACAATGAAATAAAACTATAAATTAATAACCAGGTAATTTTTGGAAACTATACAAATACATGGAAATTAAACAATATGCTCCTGAATGAACAGTAAGTCAAACAAAAAATAAAGAAGAAATTTAAAAAATTTCTTGAAACAAATGATTATGGCAACACAACATAGCAAAACCTATGGAATACAGTAAAAGCAATACTAAGAGGGAAGTTTATAGCTATCAGGGCCTACATCAAAAAATAGGAAAAATTTCAAATGAACAATCTAACAATGCATCTTAAAGAACTAGAAAAGCAGGACAAACAAAACCTAAAATTAATAGAAAAAAAATGAAGGTCAGAGAAGAAATAAATGAAATTTAAATTTAAAAACACAAGAGATCAATGAAACAAAATGTTGTTTTTTTGAAAAGTTAAACAAAATTGACAAACCTTCAGTCAGACTAAGAAAAAGAGAAGATCCAAATGAATAAAATCAGAAATGAAAAAGGAGACATTACAACTGATACCGCAGAAATTCAAATAATCATTACTGGCTACTATCATCAACTATATGCCAATAAATTAGAAAATCTAGAAGAAATAAACCAGTTCCAAGACACATACAAACTACCAAGACTGAACTGGGAAGAAATCCAAAACCTCAACAGACCAATAACAAGTAACAAGAGCGAAGCCATAATAAAAAGTCTCCCAGTAAAGAAAAGCCTGGATCCTGATGGTTTCACTGCTGAATTCTACCAGACATTTAAAAAAATAATTAATACCATTCCTACTGAAACTATTCCAAAAAATATTAGAGGAGGGAATACTTACACACTTATTCTACAAGGCCAGTGTTATCTTGATACCCAAACCAGACAAAGACACATCAAAAAAAGAAAACTACAGGCCAATCTCTGATGGATATTGATGCAAAAATCCTCAACAAAATACTAGTTAAGCAAATTCAACAATACATTAGAAAGATCATTCATCATGACCAAGTGGGATTTATCACTGGGATGCCAGGTTTGTTAAATGTACACAAATCAATCAATGTGGTAGATTATAAGAACAGACTAAAAGACAAAAACCATATGATTATTTCAATTGGTGCTGAAAAAACGTGATAAAATTAAATAACCCTTCATGATAAAAACCTTCAAAAAACATGGTAGGCCGGGCGCGGTGGCTCACGCCTGTAATCCCAGCACTTTGGGAGGCCGAGGCGGGCGGATCACGAGGTCAGGAGATCGAGACCATCCCGGCTAAAACGGTGAAACCCCGTCTCTACTAAAAATACAAAAAATTAGCCGGGCGTAGTGGCGGGCGCCTGTAGTCCCAGCTACTTGGGAGGCTGAGGCAGGAGAATGGCGTGAACCCGGGAGGCGGAGCTTGCAGTGAGCCGAGATCCCGCCACTGCACTCCAGCCTGGGCAACAGAGCGAGACTCTGTCTCAAAAAAAAAAAAAAAAAAAAAAAAAAAAAAAAAAAAACATGGTATAGAAGGAACATACCTCAAAATAATAAAAACCATATATGACAGAGCTACAGCTAGTATCATGCTGAATGGGGAAAAACTGAAAGTCTTTCGCCTAAGATCTGGAACAAAACAAGGATGGCCACTGTCACCACTTATTCAACATAGTACTGGAACTCCTATCTAGAGCAGTCAGACAAGAGAAAAATATAAAGGGCATCCACAATGAAAAGGAAGAAGTCAAATTGTCCTTGTTTGCAGATGATATAACCTTACATTTGGAAAAACCTAAAGACTCCATAGGAAAATGATTAGAAGTGATACATTCAGTAAAGTTTCAGGATACAAAATCAACATACAAAAATCAGTAGTATTTCTATATGCCAACAGTGAACAACGTAAGAAAAGAAATAAAAGTAATCCCACTTACAATAGCCATGCATAAAATTAAATACCAAGGAATTAACTTAACCAAAGAAGTGAAAGACCTCTATAATGAAAACAATAAAACACTGTTGAAAGAAATTCAAGAGGACATTAAAAAATGGGAAAATATTTCATGTTCATGGATTGGAAGAATCAATATTGTTAAATATTCACACTACCTAAAGAAATCTACATATTCAATACAATCCTTATCAAAATAGCAATGACTTTCTTCACAGAAATAGAAAAATATATCCTAAAACTTACACACAACCACAAAAGAATAGCAACAAGAATAGCCAAAACTATCCTAAGAAAAAAGACCAAAACTGGAGGAATCACAATATCCAGCTTCAAATTATACTACAGAGCTATAGTAACCAAAATAACATGATACTGGCCTAAAAACATACAGACATATAGACCAATGGAACAGAATAGAGAACCCAGAAACAAATGCACACACCTCCAGTGAACTCGTTGTTGATGAAGGTACCAAGAACCTACACTGGGGAAAAGATAGTCTCTTCAATAAATGGTGTTGGGAAAATTGAATATCCAAACGCATAAGAATGAATCTAGACCCTTATCCAACACCATATATAAAAATAAAATCAAAATGAATTAAAGATTTAAATCTAAGACCTCAAACTATAAAACTACTATAAGGAAACACTGGGGAAAATTTCCAGGACATTGGTCTGTACAAAGACTTCTTGAGCCATACCCTGCAAGTACAGGCAACTAAAGCAAAAACGGACAAATGGGATCACATCAGGTTAAAAAGCTTCCGCACAACAAAGGATACAATCAACAAAGTGAAGAAACAGCCCACATAATGGGAGAAATATTGGCAAACTACCCACCTTATAGGAATCAATAACCAGAATATATAAGGAGCTCAAACAACTCTATTCTAAATAGTCTAATTTTGACCAGATTGGTCAAAATATGGGCAAAATATTTGAATAGACATTTCTCAAAAGAAGACATACAAATGAAAAACAAGTACATGAAAAGGTTCTCAACATCATTGATCTTCAGAGAAATGCAAACCAGAGCTATAATGAGATATCACCTCATCCCAGTTAAAATGGCTTATATTCAAAAGTCAGGCAATAACAAATGCTGGCAAGGATGTGAAGAAACGGGAACACTAGTACACTGTTGGCAGGAATGTAAATTAGTACCACCACTATGGAGAACAGTTTGGAGGTTCCTCAAAAAACGACAATTGGACCTACCATATGATCCAGCAATCCAATAGCTGGGTCTATACCCAAAAGACAGGAAGTCAATATATTAAAGATATATCTACACTCCTATGTTTGTTGCAGCACTGTTTACAATAGCTACGATTTGGAAGCAACCTAAGTCTCCATCAACAGATGAATGGATAAAGAAAATGTGGTACATATATACAATAGAGTAGTACTGTTCAGCCATAAAAAAAGAGTGAGTCCCAGTCGTTTGCAACACCATGGATGGAACTGAGATATCATTACATTAAGTGAAAAAAACCAGGCACAGAAAGACAAACATCACATGTTCTCACTTATTTGTGTGATCTAAAAATAAAAACCACTGAACCTGTGAACACAGAGAGTAGAGGGATGGTTACCAGAGGCTGGGAAGGGTTATGGGGGTATAGAGGGGAGGTGTGGATGGTTAATGAGTACAAAAAAAATAGAAAGAATAAATAACACCCATTATTTGATAGCACAATAGAGTGACCATAATCAATAATAACTTAATTGTATATTTTAAAATAATAAAAAGAGTTTAATTGGATTGTTTGTAACTCAAAGGATAAATGCTTGATGAGAAAGAGACCCCATTCCTTATCATGTGCTTATTTCAAATACATGCCTGAATCAAAACATCTTGTGTACTCCATAAATATATATACCTACTATGTACTCACGCAAATTTTATACATTTTAAATATCTTTTAAAAATTATTTTTCTCAGCCAATTGATGAAAGTACAACTGTCAAAAATCCCCTATTGGTGCAACAACAAAATGCAAATAAAGACCAATTCACTAATGTTGGACTGTTAATAAAAATTTTTCCTTTTGTTCATTTCAGTTTCTCATAATCTAATGAGTTCATATTAGTTTTCCAGTATCTCACTGTTTGTGGAACATCCAAATTGTAGCTCAGAGCCCTGGAATTCAAACTATTCAATAATGCCAGTGGTGATTCACTCAAGAATGCAGTTCATTCACAGAGAATGCTTAGCGGAGTATACAGTAATCCATAGCAATCTTCCCTTCCAGTTCTTTTCTGCCACTTCTAGGTAATACGGATATGAGTAAATAATACTTTCCTGGAGGAGACCATTTGCTCTATTAGATTTCGGGTTCTTACATTCTTAACACTCCATCATTTCTTACTAGGTCTATTAGCCTTCTGAGAAAAAATAGAAAATTCAGCTGTGTCAAGTCAACCAATTGCCACCTAGATGGTGGCTTGACAGGAAGTCTAGCATGAGCCTTGTTCACTGCTGTTTTCCTTAGGTAGGTGCCCACTGCTGGGTCCATGGGTGCTAGCTGAATTAATACAAAGTTCTCTCTTGATAGGAAAAGAAAGTGATTTGATAAATACAGTGTTCAGTAGTATCAAATGTTGAATAAGTTCACTTATCTTATTGCCTGGGTGATTATTTAGTTGTTTAAGGGATTGCACCCAATAGAAAAAGTTTTACTCTCAGATAGAAACAGAGTCTTATGTAAAATGGTTTAATGATACCTCATAAAGTTATGAATAGTAAATGCAGTAATATCTGCCAAGTGGCTAAGGTATGATGCTTAGTACAATTAGATGTGGTCAGCAAATGTTTATGTTCAGTGTTAATATTGAGTGTAGGTGAGGTTGTTTATAATGCCACTAAAGGTAAAAATTAATATATCCTGTACAGTTTGCACTAGCAACTCAATAAAGTGGCCTCAAAAGAAAAGTAGAAGAGAAATAGTATACCTTGCTAATTCTAGATGATAGTATAATACAGATGTTAGATGTTGCTGTCTTTATCTTAGAAAGTTGATTAGCAAAAAGCAAAATGGTAGCTGAAGTTTGTGTTCAAATCCAGAATTATAATGCAGCAGCACAGACACCAGAAACCCTGAACTATGACCCTCACATGGACCTGCTTCTCCTATACCTCACCATACCTTCTATATTCCAATTTTTTCATCTGAAATTTTCAATTCTGAGTATTATAGTTTTGACAGTAGTTCTTTGTATCAGCTGGATCATCTGCTGTTATCTTTGAGAAGATGCTGATGAATTAAAAGTGGTTGCTTTTAATTGAGAGCGTATATTTGCACTTTAATAGTGTTCTGCTGTTGGCTTGAGTCACTCAAGAGTGACTCAGGATTCAGGATCTCATACTCCCACTCTGGCTTCTCTGACTCATTTTTTCCAAAGGAAGACTCATTTATCCAGTGAGTAAAAAACTGTGTTCCCTAGTTTCTTTTTTTTCTGGGATCCTTAACTATATATTTACCACTCTATTATGAAGTCATCTTCTAGTGTATGTTTTGCACTGCAGCCATCACCCCTGGATTCTGGATGCAGAAGGAACATTGTGGACAAGGGA
Organism: Homo sapiens; assembly: GCF_000001405.40. Classification (NCBI taxonomy): domain Eukaryota; kingdom Metazoa; phylum Chordata; class Mammalia; order Primates; family Hominidae; genus Homo; species Homo sapiens. The sequence goes on along the minus strand of NC_000018.10, from coordinate 29,164,073 downwards.
TGGGGAGGAAGTAGAAATATGGTTCCAGTCTGGGGCTGAGTTTCATCTTCCAATCCAGGTTTTATTGGTTTTTAAAACTTAATTTTTGAATATTCATTTGACTCCTGTGCTTGTTTCTCAATTGCTTCAGAGGAAAAGGGTAAGATGATTACCTAAATTATTCATGTAAATTTCTTAAACCTCACAGTAAACAATCTGTGTCTTTGAATTCATGAGAGACCATTCTATGACTCTCCAGGCACATGATAATTTGGGAAAGAAAAAACAAAACAAACTTGAATGTGGAAATATGATCACTTATGACAGAAGAGCTGATGATTATTCAGAAATATAGTTATCCACATCTTTGGTAAGAAAGGCATATCAGAAGTTGGACATCCATTATTCTTCCAGTAACAGCTGACTCCCAGAGTGACAAGCAGACATAGATGGTAGATTCCTTTGTCAGTCACCAGTAATTCCAACTTTGAAAACAAGGCCGCTACATGTTACTTTTTCATTTTTCCATCACTTACACTGTTTCTGACAGAAGGCTGAGGTAAAGGTGCCAATGTGGGAGTTGAATATTTAGCATTGAGGTTTCTTGCCTTTATCCTTTTACACTGCTAATTTTTATTTACTTTTTTTTTTTGCAAATATGTCTGCTTCCTCATAAAGATCAAGTCTCTGAAAATAATTATACAGTTATTAATTGAAATGAAGAGTCAAATTCTATTTTTAAAACAGAAGTCTCATACATTCTTAAAATTGGAAAGCAGTCTCAAGAGTAGGGAAAACACTTTTCTTTTTGTAGCAGACAGCATTTTATTTGATTCACAATGAATAGGGTTTCTCCTGCCTGACAGCTACACGTGCTGGGCTTAACAGCAGTACATAGGTGTACTTGGAGAGAGAGAAAAGTATATTTTGGAATATTACAGGATGTTAGCGTTTATTATTATGATTTTAATATTCCCTGAAGTTTGCAAAATAGTTTACTACTTAAGTCAACCTTTAAGGGATTTTGATTCCTGAACAATTCTACATGTTCACTAATGTTTCTCCCCCTTGTCTTATTTTTACTTCATGGCAAAATGATGGGATTTAACTTTATTTGGTGGGTGAATGGGTTAAAATTTTTGGTAATGCTCTCTTCTGGTACAAAAGATGAAATCGTTCTGTCATTCCTTTACTTGAAAAAAAATTTTTTATATAAATGTATTTGGAAGTTTTTCATTTATTGAAGACAGTAACATAAAAGTGTTACTTCTATTTTGATGTTGTAAATGCTGTTTGAATACCCCTGCACATATAGCATTTCAAATGGGTAAAAGTGTATCTTTTGGATAAAGTCCAAAGAATGGAATTATTGGGTTGAAGAGTAGATGCATTTATACATTTAGTATGTTGCTAATTCTACCCATAGCGATAGGGTCTCTTACACTGCCACCAGCACTGCTGCAACTCAGCAAATCAGTAAAATTGAATTTTTGCCAAATAGAAAGGTAAAAGAATCAGTAAAGGCTTAGTTTGTGTTTTTCTAATTATGAACAAAGTTGAATATTTTGTTAATGTTTAAAGGTCATATTACTTTCTATTCTGTAAACAATGTCTTTATTGTGTTACATAGTTCTCTATGACTGTGTCGATCTTTTCCTTATCTAGTCATATGAGCTCTTTATGTATTAAGAATATGGTAATTTGTCTCTTATATGAGTAGTGGATGGTTTTCTGGATTATTATTATTTTAGCTTTGCTTATGATTTTTTTGTGGTATAGATTTATTTATTTTTATGGAGTTGAATTTAACAATTTAAAAAATATTTTGTGTATTAGAATTTGAAATAGTATAAGAAAGTCTCCTTCCACTTGAGGTGATAAAATAATTCTGTATTTTCTTCAGCTATATTTATGTCTTTATTTTATATATTTGAATGTTGTAGCCAGTTGGACTATATCCTGGTAGTTGATGTGATGTGTTAATGCTAATTAATATTCTTATCACACGATTTTCTACTTGTTTCCACATCATTTATTGCCTAATCTATTGATAAAGTCAGTTTGTTTCTGAGTTTTCTATTCTTTCCCATTGGACTTTCTTTTTCTTCATGTGTTAGTAGTATACTGTTTTACTTATTGAAAGCATCAATCTTGAAGGGCTAGTTTATCTTCTGTGCATTGAAATCCTGAAAGGCTAGTTTATCTTCTGTGCTTTCTTTCTAAGTTTTCCTTCTGTACTTTCTTATTTATTTTTCCTTGGAAGTTTACATTGATTTAGCTTGTCTAGTTCCATTGTGTTTTTAAAAAGGACTTGTGTGTTTGCATTTGATTCATATTTATTATTCATATAAATTACCTTAGAAAAGTTATCTTTATTCAACAGAGTAAGTGTTCAAAACCTGGCTCATTCCAACCCTTTTGCATCTCAGGCCTCTCACTCATGAATGTGACTCATTCTTCATATATTGTATAATATGTAACAAATATATTCAAAAGTTTGCTTTGATCATGGTTGTTTCCCATTCAACAAACATTAATGGAGACATTTGGCTAATCATAGTACTTAACTAGCTATGTGGGCTATGAAATACTGCACAAATCACTTTGAATTTTTCTGTCTTCCTTGCCCACATTTTCCACCCTGGACAAATGTCTTACCCAATCTCTGGCATGCACCCCTTTTTAGGAACAAATCACACCTGCACTGACCATCTCAAATAAGAGTGCTTGCTCTTTCTTTTGAAATATGCTTTTACTTCCTCTCTGTGTCAGTCATTTGCCTCTTGCCTTTGACTTTAAGGCTAATGACCATTTTACATGTAGCATTTCCTTTTTTTTTTTTTTTTTTCTTTTTGAGACATAGTCTTGCTCAGTCACCCAGGCTGGAGTGCCGGGGTGTGATCTCAGCTCACTGCAACCTCTACCTCCCAGATTTCAGCGATTCTCCTTCCTCCGCCTCCCAAGTAGCTGGGATTACAGGCATCCTCCACCATGCCAGGCTAATTTTTGTATTTTTAATAGAGATAGGATTTCACCATGTTGGCCAGGCTGGTCTCCAACTCCTGACCTCAAGTGATCCACCTGCCTAGGCCTCCCAAAATGCTGGGATTACAGGTGTGAGCCACCATGGTTAGCCGTAGCTTCTTAATTAGATCATGAATCAGTTAAAGAAAGGTACTAATTCATAAATGTTTTCTTTTTTTCATATTCCTATAGACAAGAATACGGGTCACAGGGAGTAGGGGAGGGTGCATGTATGTCTACTCTCTTTGCATTAGTTTCTCAGGATTCTTCATCTCCTCTAAGTGTTTGTCCCTAGCAATTCAACATAAAAAAGCTCACCTCCCTCTATTCTAAATAATGAATTAAATATTTGACTCTGTTCCAATAAGCAGACAGTTCTTTTTTTTTTACAGCAGCAAGACAATATTCACAATCCTGCCTTTTGTAATTAATCCAGTTTTTAATCATGAACAGAACTTTCCCTCTCCTTCTGTTGCCAAGAATTTACAGGTTCTTGGGAATTGACATGCAACAAAAAATGGATTTGTCCAGGGGCAGAAGCTAACTCTGTGGTCTCTGGTAAAGTTGGACCATAGATAGGCCAGATGGCAAAAAAGCTTCTTGTGTGTTCTCTAAATGTAGGTACAGATTCCCACTGTCAGGTGATACTCAGGATAAAAATATCTCTTTTAAGAGGCATTGAAAGTCTAAATTGAATACATCTGGCAAACCTCCTTTATTTACTCTGCGTTAAGCATCGTAAAGTATCCTTTCAAGGCAGAGAGGGAATGATTTACATTTGCAAAGCTCAGGCTGATTTATTCCTAAAGAGTTTTGCTCACCCAGATGATTTGTGTTCCACCTTCCAAGATCTTTCAAACTAGCTTTCCAGGTGCAGAGGTGAGAGTTGCCAGTGTATAATTTTTGGATTACCCTTCACTCCCTTCTGCAAGATTTTCAACACTTTGGCTATGCTCCAATCTCCAGCTATAGTCTCTGCTTGAAAGGATAAATTACATATTTTTTGTAATTATATAGAAATAAAAACACATTTTACCAGTGAAGATGCCAAATCTGCCAACTATCTTAAAACATCTTTATTCTCATGCACCCGAATCTAAAAATAAGTTCTATTTCATATTAGATCCCTTTTGCAGTGTTTTACCACTGCAAAAGCTTTAATGAATCTTAAAAACAAGTACCCTAAATTTAAAAGACTTAGAATTAGATAGTATAATTAATGATCACTTTAAGAAAGGTATAGCAGAGTAGTTGTTTTAGACATCAGACAAGACCAGAAACTAAGATAACAGTTATTCTGTAGGGACTTATCCTTTATCTTTAATCTTTAGCTTACAAAGACATTGAAATAGGGCTCACATCTATGATTCTCTACTTAACCAATTATGAAACACATGATTCCTAAAAAGTTGTAATTAATTTTTAAAGTATGAATAGGAGGTAGGCATTACCCATGTAGACAAAGTGCTTAAAAGAAGAGTTGCTAAAGTATGAACCTTAAAGCATTAGGTAGTCAGAGAAATAGCAATATTTTGGATCTTATCTACAAACTCCAGCTGTGTGGTTCCTCTACATAGAGATATCCTGCATTAGTTATTTAATTACTTAACATCAATGCATTAATACATTTGATCAATAAAATAATTGAACTTTATCTCAGGAGCATTTGGTTAGAGCATGGACCAGCATGTTTGAAATGGCATTAAGGATGATAACTTTGCATTAAAATTTAAATCTCTCCTTAAATTTATCCAGGAAAATAGTGTGTAAAGCCGTTGAAATAAATCTAATTGAAGAAAATTATTACTAGAAGGGAAATTAAAGCCAACAATAAATTAAAGTCACACAAGTATTAATAAATGATAAATAATGAATAATAGTCAATTAAAAGGAAATTAAACAATGATATTCCCATAAGAGAGGTAAATGAACAATAAGACTTATTAAATTGCATTGATCAGTGTGTAAATATATCCCTAGACCAAATGCATTTGAGCAAGTTCATTAGCCTCCCCCAAGCAAAAACCCAAATCCATGACCTGGCATTTTAAATAGTTTACTAAAATGGATATGGAGCGAGAACAATTGGAATTGACCATCACTCTCTGAATGTTCTTACACAAACACTTGCGTAGACATCAATATCCTAGCATTTTTCACACAGCAATTATTTTATTTACTTTTTATTAAAATAACACATAAAATTAAAAAAATACCTAAATACTACCAAAGGGTGTGCAATGAAGTTAACATAAACACCTCAATATTCCTCAGACCCAGCTCCCTTATCCAGAAGCAACAATTTACAAAGATTTCTACATTTAATTTGTCAATGAATACCCTGAGAATTATCAACAGTAACACACCCCAAAAAAGTAAAAAGTAAACTTTCTTGCAGATTTTTCAAATTTACCCATTATCTATTAATATCTCACTCTAAAAGGCCAGGCTTTTAACTCACCACCCATATATCCACTCCGCACTCCCAATAGTTATCTCATAATTCTCTGTTTCTATCTTCACTGTTCCCATCTGCAAATTCAAGTGATTATTTATGGTCTATGAACCTTAATTTTTATGCCTTGACACCCCCTTTCTAAGATGAGGGCATTGGTGCACCCATTTCCTCCAACTTATCTTTATTAACTCCCTGTATTTTTGCTTTTATATCCTTATCTTAAAGCAAAGTTAATTATCTCATAATCTGTCTACAGGTTTATCATAAAAGTATAGTGCAAATGTAAATTAGAGTTTAGAATAGGGCCAGGTAGTGTGTTGATTACATCTTCTCCTTTGTGATATGCTGATATATTTATATTCTGTTATGGTCCTTCTGATCTAAACTAGACAATAGGTCAATTACAAAGTGACATGTCAGAGCTTATCTTGTTCTCTTGTATTTATTTCCCGATTTTCACATTTTCCTTTCTTACTCATTTAATTTGCTGGAATATGACCACAATTAATTTCCTAAGGAAATTTTTTTCAAACATACTTCCTGAGTTCTTTCAGATTTCAAAGCATTTTATTCATTCCTAACATTTTAGTGAAAGTATTCATGAGTATGTAAGTCTACATCGAAAATCATTTCTGCTGAGAATTTTGAAAGCACGTTTCCGTTTTTATCTATAATGCTAAATGAATGATAGTCTGATTATATGTCATTTACAGGTGATTTTAGGATTTTTTTCTTATGTTTCACAATGATGTGACTAAATATTTTAAGGTATAGTACATGGAAAGCCTTTTAAGTTAGGTTGGTTTCTCTTTTTAGCTTTTAAAGAATTTTTGGTACTATGTCTTTGATCATTTCATCTTTGTTCTCTTCATGCTTTTTACCAATAACTTCTTTTAGCCAAGTGTTAGCCATCCTGAACTATATTTTTTTCTCTTCCATATTCCTTTATTTTTATTGTAGTTATATTAAATGAGCAATTAACTTCATATTTATTTTCCAACTTTCCTATTTAATATGTTGTTTCAATAATGACTTTAACTTCCAAGATTTTTTCTCCTCATTAACCTCCCTCCTTCCCTCTCTCCCTTCCTCCCTCCTTCCCTCCCTCCCTCCCTCCCTCCCTTCCTTCCTTCCTTCCTTCCCTTTCTCTTTATTTTTTTCTTACTTTCTTTCTTTCTTTTTCTAATTCTCATGGCCAAAACCTCAAATCCGCCTGAGGAGACTTTTAAACATTATTTTGGTTTCCTATATTACCCTTTATTTACTCAGGATTAGTTTTTACTTAATATATCTTCATCATTCTATTTCATGTTGCAGTACCTTTATGAACTTACGGTGAGTCATGGTAGTCAAACCATACTTAACGATAAGGATCTAAGAAGATTGACAGAGAGACTGTGTCCAGCACAAAATGCTTTAGAGAAAGAAATCATGGGGGTGAATCTTATGCTGCAGGACTCATATATAACAGGACAAGAAAGTACAAAGAAGACTTCACTCTAGGTCTCTGTTACTTAAATTAACCAACCTTATTTTCCTCAGATGGCTTTGTCAAACTTGTATTTGTCCCTGGGGTAAAGGGCTTCAATGCTGAGCATCGAGCATAAGGAGTTGGAGAAAGAGATGTGGGTGATTTACCTCTGCCATGTAAGTCCTCCATTATTTGTCTTGTCTTAGTCCTATTTCTTCCTTGTACCCATCAAAGCATTGGCATTTCTTAGTCTGCATCTTCTTGGGGGTTCTGCTGAATAAGTCCGCTTTTCATTAGCTGCAACTTTCTTTTCAAGTGTTCTAGGTTTTGTCTTTCTGTTCTTGGATTAATGACTCACGCATTCATCTCTTTTTGTCTGTCAGAAATGTGTTTAAACCTGTCTTTAATTGATGCCCCCACCCTGCTCTCAGCTGTCAACTTATTTATTTACCTTTTTTACCTTTATTTTACTTGCATGTTGGGACCTGAAAAAAGTGGAGGTGGGTACGTACCAATGCTTTATCTACTATCTTGCCCTGACGAATCCACCTCTCACATGAAACAGTGAGTTACTGAAAGGCAGCAATTGTACCTTTTTGTCTTTGTATTTCTAGTGCTTATCTTGGGGCCTGGAATATATTACATGTTCAAAAAAGTGTGGGATAAAAGAAAACAAAGATACTTCTATCCTAGGCAGATGTGTGGTATCTAAAGGTCATGGCATTGTCACTGCACAATTCTTGCAGAAAGCAAGGCTGTGCTGTGTGAAGCAAAATGTCGCAACAAAGTCTGCCATCATTCCAAATCCTTCATGTGATAATTTCTGAATTAAAGTGTTATTATAATGAGGAAAAATGAGGAAATGGCAAATTTTCTTAATAAGGAAAATAGTAAAACCATGAGCCTGTGAAATTAATAAGACTTTATAAATGCAATATATTTACAATGAAAATCTCATGCAAGGGAAATATTTAAATTACATGAAATCCTTGCACAGAACAGCAATGATAAATATATTTGGATTTAATGGCATGTACTCATCAAATACTCATATCTGTGCATCATATAAAACATTTATATACAATTACATTTGTCACCAATGCAGGCGGTTGATAGCTCAGTAACTCATTCTATGTCATTGATTCAGAACAATGATCTTTAAATATTACCTACATGGTAGCTCTGCAGGGGTTTTAAATGAGTAACGTTATTATAACTTCTAAGTGTTTATGGGGAACATGCAATGTAATTCAACATCATAGTGAAATGTTGTCTTTTTAAAAAGACAAAGTAAACCAAAGCAGTGTGTTTTCTTTTTCAAAACTCAGTGAACATTTTTCTAAATGCCATTTCGTATCTTACTTACATAAAAGAGAGAAAAGATAAATTCCTACTTAAAAGTCAACTGACACCCTGATGCTATACAATTACCACCCCATTACGCTAGTGTTTCAGACGAGGAAATAGAATCCTAAAGATAGTTTAATGTGCGCTCAATACTACAAAGTTATTTACAGTGTTAGAACTAGAAATAAGAACACCTGGATTCTAGCTCAATCTATTACTCTTTGTATTACGCAGTTTATGGCCCATATGTGGAAAAATCAGGGAAAACAGGAAACCATCTGAAAGATAATGGTTTGAGTAGACCTATGCTTTAAAAGACTGGTCTTCAGGTCCAAAGAAAACAAGGAACGATTCTTTACAAACTATATCCACAAAGAATTCAAGGGAACAAAGCAGCTTAAGACAACCTGGGCCTTAAAAGAGGAAACTAGGGATGTTGTTTCGTGATTTCTCATTAATAGTTTCTGAATGACTGAATATGGATTGCTGCCAGTTAGGGCTGGTGTCACCTTTCTCAATGACACATCCATGTTGTTCTCCACATAGCACTTCTATCGACCCATACTGACATGAACCACACCTTAAGAGTGTACCCTCTTTGGTAAGAAGATGAAAAACTTGGCAGCACAGATGGCACTGTCATCACATAGTCTTACTGAGAGTTAGGAGTTGAGAAAATAACCTAACATGTGAACAATGAATGTGCAGATGGTATCAATAAACAGCATCTGAATTCCTGGATAATGGAATTGCATGTCAGAATTACGAGCTCATAGCTGGGGGTGAAGTTCACCTTATGAGTAAAAGAAAAATTATTTTTACTAGAGCCTGCAGTGCCTGCTCAGAGGGCTTTGTTCTAAATATAGATCAATGGAGGAGAAAAAGGTAGTAAATGTCAGACAATGACTAGCGAATGAGCAAAGCACAAACAAAAGGGGGATAAATGGTTTAGATGATGTCACATATCATCACAAAATGTCTGGCTGGGGTTACCTGGTTGCCCCTCTGGCCACTTGCCCAGGAATGTACCTTGGCAACTATGTGCTCATTTTTGTTCTGAGGCTTTTGTGGCCTTGTAAAAATATTTGAAACAGTAGTCTGAAAAATGTAACATGATTAATAAAAGATCAACTGTTATTGGTTTCCGTATGGGATATGTCTAGGCAGAAGACTGTTATTTTCTATAACAAGAGGATTCTACTCAGACACTATAAAACATTTTCTGAGGCTCAGTCTCAGTAAGCTGTAAGTAGAATGTGCTGTCCTAAAACATAAAAGTAAATCTTTTCCTAAATATTTGCTTCAAGGAGCATATTTCAGTAGATGCAGCATAGTATGAAGACACAAGAATTTGCTAGACAACCTCTGCCTAGGCTTTCCAGCACAGGGTGTCCTTTCAGACAGTGATGCACATCAGTGAAACAAAGGGCAGGAACAGGGATGTCTGTCTGATCTTACAGAGGAGCTGCCCTTTGGATGACTATAATGTCTAACTATTTTAAGCCCTATATCTGGGTTTCCTGAGTTTTTACCTCTGCCTCCAATTGTCTATGCTTGGAAGAGTAATAATTAGTTCTGTAATTCTTTAATATTCACATATGTAATTATTACTTTGCATTCATTGAGCTGTGAAAATTTCTGTCTTCTGCTTTAGAGATATCGGATTGGCAAAAATAAATGAATTTCATCTGAAGAGAATTAACACAAGCATACACATATACACAGGAGTGCACATAAAAATTAATCTTCAAGAGGATAGAAACAGGGGATGGTGTAGTTCCTGCCATGAAGTACAGATCAACTGGTACCAGAGATTCAAAATTGTGGAATGGATCATGGGGATTTCTCTCTTCCCTGTCATAAAGAGTAATTCAATCAGGAAAACTGACATGCATTGTTGTATTGTGGGTGCAACAGCTGAGAAGATGAAAAAGACATAGAGAAAGGGGATATTGGAAATAAAAGGATGTTAAAATGATATAATTTTTAAGAAGGTTGAGAAGGAATATGGGATATTTATATTCCTCTAAATTTGATAGATAATGATGTCCACAAAGAAGAGTTTGCTGAAATAATTTTAAATTTTGGTGAGCACAGACTATCAATGCCAAACGCAATGGGTAATTTTCTGTGTCAGCTTGGCTAGGCTGTGATCTCCAAGTGTTTGTTCAAACAGCAATCGTAGATGTCCTTGTGAAGGTATTTTTAGGTAAGATTAACATTTAAATCAGTAGTCTTTGAGTAAAGCAGATGACCTGCAATAATGTGAGTGGGTCTCAAATTTGTTTTAAGTTGAAGGCCTTAAGAGAGAAAGATTAAGGTCATCCATGAAAGAGGGAATTCTGCTACCAGATTGCATTTGGACTCAAGCTGCAATATCAGCTCTTCCCTGGGTCTCCAACCTGACAGCCTGTCCTATAGATAAGAGCTTGCCAGTCCCCACAATCACATGACACATGAGCCAGTCCTTTTTTTTTTAGCCAATTCTTTAAAATTCTTCTCCTCTCTCTCTCTCTCTCTCCCCCGCCTCTCCCTCTCTCTCTCCCTTCTTTCTCTGTGTATACACATGCACGCGTGCACGCGCGCACACACACACACACACACACACACTCATCCTATTAGTTCCGTTTCTCTGGAGAACCCAGACTAATGTACTTCCTCAGTAATTGTTTTAGCATTCTGGATTCTGTTACTTTACTATCAGCCTTAAAATTGCAAAAAGAAGAAGGAAAGTTTTATCAACCATTTCAGACACTAAGTTTTCAGCCTTTTGGGATCAAGGAAAATACAATCCATATGTTTTGGACTCACTTGCTATTATCCAGAACATTATATCGGAGATGGTTTAAAATTTCTGGCTGGTTCAATATACGCAAATCAATAAATGTAATCCAGCATATAAACAGAACCAAAGACAAAAACCACATGATTATCTCAATAGATGCAGAAAAAGCCTTTGACAAAATTCAACAACACTTCATGCTAAAAACTCTCAATAAATTAGGTATTGATGGGACATATTTCAAAATAATAAGAGCTATCTATGACAAACCCACAGCCAATATCATACTGAATGGGCAAAAACTGGAAGCATTCCCTTTGAAAACTGGCACAAGACAGGGATGCCCTCTCTCACCACTCCTATTCAACATAGTGTTGGAAGTTCTGGCCAGGGCAATTAAGCAGGAGAAGTAAATAAAGGGTATTCAATTAGGAAAAGAGGAAGTCAAATTGTCCCTGTTTGCAGACGACATGATTGTATATCTAGAAAACCCCATTGTCTCAGCCCAAAATCTCCTTAAGCTGATAAGCAACTTCAGCAAAGTCTCAGGATACAAAATCAATGTAAAAAAATCACAGGCATTCTTATACACCAATAACAGACAAACAGAGAGCCAAATCATGAGTGTACTCCCATTCACAATTGCTTCAAAGAGAATAAAATACCTAGGAATCCAACTTACAAGGGATGTGAAGGACCTCTTCAAGGAGAACTACAAACCACTGCTCAAGGAAATAAAAGAGGATACAAACAAATGGAAGAACATTCCATGCTCATGCGTAGGAAGAATCAATATCATGAAAATGGCCATACTGCTCAAGGTAATTTACAGATTCAATGCCATCCCCATAAAGCTACCAATGACTTTCTTCACAGAATTGGAAAAAACTACTTTAAAGTTCATATGGAACCAAAAAAGAGCCCGCATTGCCAAGGCAATCCTAAGCCAAAAGAACAAAGCTGGAGGCATCACACTACCTGACTTCAAACTATACTACAAGGCTACAGTAACCAAAACAGCATGGTACTGGCACCAAAACAGAGATATAGATCAATGGAACACAACAGAGCCCTCAGAAATAATGCCGCATATCTACAACTATCTGACCTTTGACAAACCTGAGAAAAACAAGCAATGGGGAAAGGATTCCCTATTTAATAAATGGTGCTGGGAAAACTGGCTAGCCATATGTAGAAAGCTGAAACTGGATCCCTTCCTTACACCTTATACAAAAATCAATTCAAGATGGATTAAAGACTTAATCGTTAGACCTAAAACCATAAAAACCCTAGAAGAAAACCTAGGCATTACCATTCAGGACATAGGCATGGGCAAGGACTTCATGTCCAAAACACCAAAAGCAATGGCAACAAAAGACAAAATTGACAAATGGGATCTAATTAAACTAAAGAGCTTCTGCACAGCAAAAGAAACTACCATCAGAGTGAACAGGCAACCTACAACATGGGAGAAAATTTTTGCAACCTACTCATCTGACAAAGGGCTAATATCCAGAATCTACAATGAACTCAAACAAATTTACAAGAAAAAAACAAACAACCCCATCAAAAAGTGGGCGAAGGACATGAACAGACACTTCTCAAAAGAAGACATTTATGCAGCCAACAGACACATGAAAAAATGCTCATCATCACTGACCATCAGAGAAATGCAAATCAAAACCACAATGAGATACCATCTCACACCAGTTAGAATGGCAATCATTAAAAAGTCAGGAAACAACAGGTGCTGGAGAGGATGTGGAGAAATAGGAACACTTTTACACTGTTGGTGGGACTGTAAACTAGTTCAACCATTGTGGAAGTCAGTGTGGCGATTCCTCAGGGATCTAGAACTAGAAATACCATTTGACCCAGCCATCCCATTACTGGTTATATACCCAAAGGACTATAAATCATGCTGCTATAAAGACACATGCACACGTATGTTTATTGCGGCAGTATTCACAATAGCAAAGACTTGGAACCAACCCAAATGTCCAACAATGATAGACTGGATTAAGAAAATGTGGCACATATACACCATGGAATACTATGCAGCCATAAAAATGATGAGTTCATGTCCTTTATAGGGACATGGATGAAATTGGAAATCATCATTCTCAGTAAACTATCGCAAGAACAAAAAATCAAACACCGCATATTCTCACTCATAGGTGGGAATTGAACAATGAGATCACATGGACACAGGAAGGGGAATATCACACTCTGGGGACTGTGGTGGGGTGGGGGAAGGGGGGGAGGGATAGCATTGGGAGATATACCTAATGCTAGATGACGAGTTAGTGGGTGCAGCGCACCAGCATGGCACATGTATACATATGTAACTAACCTGCACAATGTGCACATGTACCCTAAAACTTAAAGTATAATAAAAATAAATAAATAAATAAAATTTCTATATATGTATTTTTCTTGAAAACAAGTAAACAAAACAGTAGGTTTTCTACTATATCCAGATGCAGAGCATAAAATCTGTTTTCTAACTCAGATTTTCCAAAATTTCCTTGGATTCCAATGTTGACAAAACTCCCCCTTAATACTGAAAACAAAACAAAACAAAACAAAACTAACTGCTGGCAATTATAACTTTGCACTACAAAATATGTTACTCAGTCTGAATTAGGTCAACGGGAAATAAATTGATTGTCAAAAGCTGCATATTAAAAAAACTTTCATTAAATGCATTTGATATGAATACATAACTGTAAAAGGTATATATTTCTAATGTACATATATGACATAAATAAATCTGAAGCCAAGCTATACTGTTCCACAAAATAACTTAATTTTGAAAAGAAAAGCTTTCTATTCTTCCCTGACCATTCAAACAATATACTGAATGTAGGCCTCAAAGTGCCAATTAAAAAATGCCTTTTTGCAGAATGCCCTATTTGAGGTGTCAGGTAATGAAAAGTTACCAACTGGTATTAGAGAAAAAGAATAATTTTCCAAGAGAAAAATATTGTTGCAATTTAGTTTTATTCTACATTTAACGAAATTATTTCAATAGACCTCAATCTGAAGAAATAATAGCACAGAAATATCCAAGTAATTACTGGCTATTTAAAACCCCCCACTTTTTTTTGGTTTGTTTGTTTTTCATTCTCTAGAGTAAAAACATAGAGGAAAGGAAAAGAAAAGTGATATATTTATTGTCTTCCTGATAAAAAATTAAAAATTTCTGAGTGAGTCTTACTATAAATGTCTGGTATTTTATTTACTATCATTGTATGTCAACTAAACATCATATAAAACATGTCATGCTGTAAATGGGGGAGAAGATACTACCAGTTTCAAATGTTTCGGAAACATAAGTTTTATCTAGATAGGCCAACCTTTCATTTTCTATCGGTATATACTCAGAAGCCTGATAGATGTGCCTTGGACTCTTCAGTCCCACACATCATCAAAGTCCACTCTTATGATGTTCTTATTATAGTTAACATTTCAATTCTCTCATTTCAAGGGCCCAGGATGGCTTGTATTATGACAAGACCAAGGGTGGCTGCCTCTCCTTTGACCTATTACAATGACTTTTGGTCCCAAAGATTGTCAGAATGTAAGCCTCTGTTACTGCTAATGATATCTCAAGAATATGTGAAAAGGGCTGGCACAATCTGTAGAAAATGGCTACATATCTGGAATTTAATAATGACTTTTCATATGGTCAATAATGAAGACTTTTCATAACATCAGTTAAAGGCAAGACAGTAGCGGTTTTACCTCTGCTTCAGCAAAACATCAAATACCGATGCATGTCTACTGATTTTAAGCATTGGGTGACTGGTGCAGAATATTTTCAGATGTTGCACCACAATATTTTTCCAGCATTGGTCAGTATTTGATTGGCAATCTGCAACTTTAGAAAGTTCTATAAAATTGAAACAGATCAGAGGAAGAAATTGTAAATATGCAATACAATTTAAAATAATTATAAGGAAAGAGACAGTTGTTAGAAAATATGAAGGGAAGAGACAGCTGTTAGGAAATATTCGAAAACAGAAAAGTTTAAGAAATATTAGAGTGAGGGACAATGAACAAAGTATGATCCAGGAAGAACTAGACCAGAAGCACGGAAGATCCATCCACCTTCCTGTAGAGGAGAAAGCAGGTCTACACTGGCCTAAGAGAGTTCATTTTAACTTGGCCAAGACAAAGGTATTGAGATGCTGGGTAAGTCTATAGAAACCAAGCATCATGAAAGTGCACATGTCTTTTATTTGAATGTTTCTCAAACTGACCAGTCCTCAGAAGAGCAAGTAATTTGATGATAAAGAGCTGCTACTGTGATTCAGTTATAGGTTTGCAAAAATGTCTCATGCTAATTGATCAAACCATGCTAGAAACTGCTGGCACAAATGTTTTTGTGATCAGATACATTTGAAATAACAGCTGAATTATTCAGTCATGCATAATGGTCCAGAAAGAAAAAAGAAAAAAATGACAAAAAATTATAAAAACATAGAAGATACACTCCCTTCCACTACTGAGGGATGGTGACATTGATTTTGTTTCACTATGAAACATAGCATCCAGAAAAATAACAAGATTCAAGCACGTGGAAGTAAACATCTTTTTCAATTTCACATATTATTAATAAGGTTTTTAAGATTCAGACTACAGAGTCTACACCAGCTGGTTTAAATAAAAATTGGCTTATTACAGGACATTTCAACTTATAAATTATATAACCTAAAACAAGGAAGCCAGAAAAACGCCTAACTATATCACAGGACTGACTCAGCAGAAATCCTACTACTGCTGCTTGCTAGTCAAGAGCCACAAAGCCAGGATCTATCCCACAGCTGTATAGGAAAGAAAAATGAAATGCCTGCATGATCATGTTTGTGAAAGACCTTCCCCTTCCCAGTTCCCACACTGGTGCATCTGCTACTAAATTCCTGGTCACGTGCAGGGCACCAGCTACAAAGGAATCTGGGATATGTAGTTTTAATGCTCCATACTGTGAGCTAATCCAGAGTATTAGTCACTGACACTCATATAGAGAAGTCAAAATGGAATGACCATCAAAATGTTGGAGAAAGATTAGGGAATTATTAGAAGAGGTACTAGGGGAATGATAGTCATACTTTTAATATTTTGAGAGTTTGAATTTATAAATCTCTCACAGACTACATAGATTAGCTGAATTACTACCAGTCCAAAAATTACATGTTTTATTTTATACTGTATTATAATAGGTGTCCTTTTACTTTCAAAAATTGTAGCATTTTTAAACTAATTTTCTTAAGAATGTGATACAGAAAGAAAACTGAAAAACAACATATTTATATTTTATCTGATTTTATAAGATTTTTTTTTCAGTCAACTGGTGAAATTGGTAAATCCTGCCAATAAGTCTTTATACCAAATTACGTTTTAAAATTAGTTTCATAAAAGGAACAAAAGCATTTCCATGCTAGACAAGATGTCACTTATCGTCAATTTAACTCGAGGCATTTGAAATAAAACAACTGTATTTTTACATTGAAAATTATTTGTTACAGGAACTTGATAGCATAATCCACAATGTGATGTGAGGTACTTGTCAAAAATTTTAAAGTTTATAACACATAAGTAAACATTTGAGAGGATACCAGTTTGATTTGTAAATACTCTAAAAAATAAAATTTAGCAAACTTTTTTGTTTCTTTTTAAGAGATATGGTCTTGCTTTGTTGGCTAGGCAGGAGTGCATTGGCTATTCACAGGTGCAATCATAGCACACTACAGCCTCCTGAGTTCAAGAGATCCTCCTGTTTCAGCATCCCAAGTAGCTGGGGATATAGACATGCACCTTTACATTTATGAATGAAAAATCTCATGGCATCACAATCACCTGAGTTATTCACATTTCTCTTTTGCTTATAACTACTTGCCATCCAAAAGCTGTTGTTTTTTTTTAACATGTCAATCATTCCCCGTGCCATTTACCTAGCACTGAGACCACAATATGCGTGAACTTTAACTTCACTTTTCAACCTTGTCTTACTGTTAACATTGACAGGCGTTTTTGTTTAGACTGAAATGTTGCCTCTGGAACTGACAAAATGCAGTGGTTTGCATTCTCTTGCATGGAAAGAAAAACTCAACTTACAAAACAGAGAAGTGGAACACAATAGCTTTTTTTTTTTAATGTCAGAATTATAATTATCTTGAGCCTTAGGCCCCTCACATATTTTTCTGTCTCGTTTGTGTAAACGACTCTGTCATGCTTCAGTATTTGTGAAAAGAGTCTGAAAATTACAGACACAAGTGTTTAGAAATTTCCCCTTAACCCTCCCTGAAATGACAATAAACAAAAAAAAAAAAGAAAAAAGAGAAAAGCATGTTTATGTCTCTTAACCTCATAGGTAAAAATTAAAAAGGTTTTCATTTACATAATTTATCTAGCACTAGCTTTAAGAATAATAGGCTAGCTTCTAAATAGAATGTATTCCTGAATTGATTCCATAAGCAATTTGGTTACCAGGTATTTCCTCCTGGTAGCTGTAGAAATAGAGAATGCACATATTTCTCTATTAACTATTTCTTCCTTATCTTTTGAGAAATCTCATAACATCACAGAATGTTATGTTTCACACTACGTTAAAATGTAAAAACGGCTTCCTCTTACCAAGAAGTGTAGCTGTTGTTGGCTAGCGCCTCATCAGTGAATTTCAGACAGATGTTCTGCTTTCTATCTGCACACTAAAACCTAGTGCCTTCAGTACTAAAGATCTTCCTCCTGTCACATTAAACTATGACAGGCCCTGAGCCTTCCAACTGATAGGAAGACTCAAACAGCTTTATTTACTTCTGAATATACTGAAGGGGTTGGGGGTCGGGGAGGGCATGATATCTTTAATTTGAGCCAGCTGTGAAGCTTCCAGAGAATCCCTCTGTAGCCAGTGCTGGGCTAAGATTAAACCAGGCAAAATGCCTAAAGAGATACTGAATAGGTTTGATACAAATTACATTGTCTTGCTGGTTTGAAAGTGCACATTACTGGAGTCATTAACCATAATCATCCTCAATTACAAGCACTATAAGCGTGCATACAGCAGCCCAGTAAATGCAGCCATTGTTTGTCTGCAATGTCCATAATCTATGAAGACATTGCCTCCCATCACTGGACAAGAAGCCACCTCCTTTCTGTCCCTTTCCTCTCTCTTTTCTATATAGTCCCAGTGTTTCAAGCTTTATCTCCGAAATAGTGAAATCCGTCAAAGCAATTTTTTTCTCTGACAATTCAATATTGTTAAAGATACTAATTTCCCTGTTCCGTGCTAAGGAATAAGCATTAGTTGTGACAAATTTCAGATTCGCTTTTGCTTGCCCTATTAGATTGGCCAATTTTTTTAAAAATAATACTTTTCTAATTATTTTTCAATGGTATCATAACACTTCATATCACAAAGTGGTAATAAAATAAGGAAACAAATAGGATACATGGTTTATAACTCTCACATTGTAACATTTAATTATCAGAATGTATATCTTCCAGTTAAGGTTGAACTGAGCAAGAGTTTGGGAAGACACACTTTATATATATATATATATATTTTTTTGAAATATTTTCAGACTAGCATAGTAAAAAGTACATAGCACAAAAATAGTACAAAGTATTGTCATATCTTTCCCCCTAAATTTCATGAATGTTAACATTTTCTTCATACATGCTTTATCATGCTCTTCACTTTCTGTCTCTCTATCCATCATCTATCTATCTATCTATCTATCTATCTATCTATCTATTTACCTATCATGTGTCATCTCTATCATCTATTTTTTGTCTGTGTGCTATACTTTGCATATTTGTCCCTTTTAAAACTCATGTTGAAATTGAATTGCCATTGTAACTGTAGTTAGAGGTGAGGCCTTTACAAGGTTTTTGGACCTGAAGGCGCCATCCTGATCTGTAGATTTAAATCCTTATTAAAAGGATTTCCAGGAACGAGCTCTCTCTCCAGTCTTCCACTCTTCTACCATGTGAGAACACAGGATTCCTCCTCTCTGGAGAGTTCATCATTCAAGGCACCATCTTGGAAGCAAAGACTGGATCCTCACCAGACACAATCTGCCAGCACCTTGATCTTGAACTTCTCAGCCTCCAGAATTGTGAGAAATGGATTGTTATTGTTTATAAATTACCCATCTATATTATTCTGTTACAGCAGCACAAAACTGGCTAAGATACTTGTGTGTTTTGTTTTTTTTTTAATACTTTTTTTGAAAGTAAGTTGCAGATTTTACATTTAAATACCCCTTTACTTCTCAATATTTCAGTGTGTTTATAAATTCAGTATATTTCTAAAAATAGGACATTTCTTTCACAGCCAGAATCCAGTTATTAAAAGGAGGAAAATAACACTGATAAAGCAGCATTGTCTAATCTAAATCTTTTAATCAGATTTTGCCAATTCTACCACTAACGTCCATTCCTGTTCCAGAATTCAATACAGAGTGGCATGTTATCTTTAGTTTTCATTTCTGTCAGACTTAGTATTACCTTACATATTTAAAGAGATCAGGCCAATTATCTTGTTGACTGTCCTTTATTTTGAGTTTGACTAATGGTTTCTAACTATTAGATGCACATTATAAAATTTTTGTAGGAATATAACAGGTATGATAATGTGTGTTTCTCAGTATTTCTTATTAGGAGGCATCTGGTATTGATTTGTCCCATTGCTGATAATGTACATTTTAAATCTGCAGTTAAGGTTGTGTCTGCCAGGTTTCTCCACTACAAATTTACTATTTTTTTCTTTGCAATTAATAAGCATCTTATGAAGAGATGTTATCAAGTGAATATTCAGTTTGTTGTCATACTTTTGCCCATTATCCATTGATATTCTTGTCTGAATCTATTACTCTTGTGATTGCAAACAAATGGCAATTTTTTCTAATTCCATGATTCTTTTTACATTTATTACTTGACATTCTACAGTAAGAGCTCTTCATTTTCCCCATTTATTCATGTATTGGTTCACTTCAGCATTGAATCCTTGATTTTCATTATATTCTGTGTGTTATATTCCATTACTATTATTATGATTTTTATTCGTCAAATTGTTCCAAATTTGGTCAATGGGAGAGACTTCAAGCTAGCCCTTAGGTTCTTTTTACATGTCCTCATCATTTTCTGAGCTTGTTTTTTACTTCCTAACACCACAAAATATTCTAAGTACATCTTATAGTTTCCATGTTTTAGTCTTAGAATCAGCCATATCTACAAGGATACCTGCATACCTTTTAGAAGAGAATAATACTTAGAAGCAAAAATCTGTGTGTAATGTTTGCTCAGTGACAATGGGATGTTTTCACCTTTCGGAACTCTCAGAGTTGGAAAATATATTCATGTATGTATGTGCATTGTATGTGTATGTGTGAGTATGTGTGTGCACAACATATCTATAAATATTTGCTATAGATATAGTGTGGCTGTTACTTGCTGAGATTTGGTGACTAGTTTTTTCTTTTTAATTTATAGCTATTTTTAATTTGGGGATTTTCTGTATTTGAGCATATTACTTTTCATATTTATTTTTTTTGGTTTTCTTCTTTTTTTCTGCACTGTTTTGGGAGGAACTGTGGGCTAACATGGATTTAGTTGGGTGATGTCTTCTCTGGCTCTGTGGAAGTCTGAGCATAATTTTCCCTGTATTTCAATAGTTTTCACTTGGAATTTTTTTATTCAACAAATACTAAGAACTACAAGAAATGTTTGAGATACTTCTTATATAAGGGAAATCATAAGAAAGATAACATTCCATATCTTTAAGAAAAGATAATTATAGTATAGGGCAAACAAAACCTAGTGTCATGAATATCAGGTATCAGAATCAATAATAAAACATTATTTATTACTAGGCTCTTTCTTTCTAGTTATTTCAGTGGCTTTTGTTTTGGACTCTGACAGTAAGTTTCACTGAAGTTCTTACCTTATTTAAAGCCTTCCCACAGTCAAGATGCAGACTACATGGGGAGTTCATTCAAACCCAAGTGGATTCAGTTTTGTATGTACAGTTGTTGCTGACATTTCTTGCCAACTCTCTTTCAGCTGAAAAAATCTCACTCAGCATT
Source organism: Homo sapiens (assembly GCF_000001405.40). Taxonomy (NCBI): domain Eukaryota; kingdom Metazoa; phylum Chordata; class Mammalia; order Primates; family Hominidae; genus Homo; species Homo sapiens. Next base: position 29,142,921 of record NC_000018.10, on the reverse strand, counting down.
AGATGAAATTATCTTGAGCCCTTTTAATAACTCCTTTCAAGCAGTGAGATAAATATTGACAGTTATTTTTTGCCAGAAATATGCCAGTCCTTGAACATTAGTGATTATTTCAAATAGTTTTTTATATCCCTTTAAATATTATTGTAAATTTACAATTTGATTATGCATTACTCACAAAATATTATATTATTTCAGATTTAAGTTAGTAAGTCCATTAATATAAATTCATCTAGAGCTTCTTAAGTTGTTTTTATGTTATTTAGTAATTTTCAATTCTCATATTTTTCATTTGAGTAAGGGTTATTTTATTTAAAGCCATTCCTCTCAGATATGAGGCATTGTTGAGATTGTCGAGATTTGAAATCTCAGTATTGTTGAGATTTCAAACTTCATATATTTATCATTTGATGTGGATATCATAAAACAGGGATATCATTTAACAAGAGTGGAAATATGTACCCATGAGGCATCCTATAATTTAAAAACAATGGTCAGACAGGAAAAAAAGAAAGAAAAGAAAGTAATTAATTGATATCTAGGTTAAATAATTTACCTATATGTTTATTTAGAATAACTTCTCTAAGCTACTAGTGAAACAGGTAATTTCATATAACATAAAAGAAACTTCTATCGGGAAAATTAAACAAAAAATCAGAGCATATGTTATTTCTGAAATGTCAAGCAATAACCTTTAGCAATATTTCTTACACTCTGAAGTAGACAGAATAACTTTTACTACCATCTCAACTATATACTCCTATACATTGCTGCATTTTTGTAGTGTTTACCATGGGCTGTGCTGTGTCCTACCTGCTTTAAATAAACTAACTCATTATTCTTATAATACCCTATGGATGAGGTTCTAATATCATATCACTTTTAATTTGAGCAAACTGAAGTAGAGAGACTTTAAGTACCTTGTCTAACATTACTGAGCTAGGGAATTGAAGAACAAATCACCAAATAACAATCATACTATCATAGCAGAGAATGACTTAGTTTCCGAGAGACATCTGGGTTTTAGCTTCAGAGTTTAGGCCCTCTGATTAGCAACATTTAAAACTATGATATATAATTCGAGAATTGTATACCTTCACGTTTTACATATCCACAGAAAACTTAATGTTTTCCACTGGCTATTAATAATCTATAACAAAAACAATAGTGTAAAACAACAAATGTAACTACTTTATTATTGACCCTGATATTAACATCCAAATCCCAGTATCTACTCCCATGCTCATTTTTCTCCTTAAAACTAACTACAGAAATTACTTAGATCTCACTACATCTCTTCGCTGTAAGTAAGCACTGGTAAGAACCAAAAATTTCAAACAGTCTCAGGAGTTCATTTTATCTGGGTCCTATGGGGCATTTCTTCCTTCCCTTTACTGCAGTCAGTGGCCATCCTCAAACCATCTTCGTTTATTCTATTGCAGCATATGTTTTGACTTCCTTGAGTCCTTTGCTTAAGTTCAATCATAAGTTATGTAGCCCAGTCCAAAGCCTTTGATGCATACATACAAATACTAAGTCATCGATTGACTATCCATTGAGGGAAGATGAGGAAGAGGCACAAAATATTAATTCTAAGCCAGATAAATCAAGATTTTCTGAACCCTCATTAGTACTCCGTAAAGGAAGCAAATAGCATAGTTTCTTTTCATGATTTGTCCAGTATTTTGGAAAGTTTTTAAATATAATAATAACAACAGTTTGTATTTATATAGTGTTTGACAGTCTTGAAAATTCTTTCAAGTAGATTTATTTATTGAATTCAAAATAGAATCATGTGAGGCAAGCAATGCATTATAAGAATTTCACAAATAAAGACAATGAATAGAAGTTTTTTCTTAATTCAAGTGGCTAATGGAAATAATCTGTATTCAAAATAAGATTCCAAATTCAGAAACGTTTCTTGAAATTAATATGTTAAGTGTTGTCTCTTAAGATAAAAATAGAGGTAGTAGTCAAGAGTATAACCATAGTTGAGAAAAAAAATGAGAGTTTGGCAAATATATTCTACTCACTTTGTCTGATATATATTGTATCAACTGGATTGATTGTTCACTGACCTTGGAAAGCAGTTGTAACAACTATTTTTTTTCAGGGTATGTCAGTCAAGATGTCAAAATAAGAATCAGTGGATGAGATATCGTTACCTGTCAGGTCTCTGAGACAGAAAATCCACCAAGTAAAATTTTTATCCCTACAAAATACATCGTACTTGATGTTTATTGGATATTTAAAATGAAAACAATAATAGATACCCTAGTAAGAGGTCAATATTTTGAAGCTCAGAAGAGATGATGAAGAAGAGTTTCCAGCTTCATGTACACTATCAACAAAATAACAATGTAGGACATTGCAGAGATAAGAACTCACCAATATATAGACTTTAAGGAGTAATCAGGAAAAAAAACTAATGAGATTGTTCTAAATGAAAGATATTTTTCTGTTACTAAATAGAGTTTAGGTAATGATACTTTTGAAATGCAATGACTTAAAATTAGAGTATAATTCAAGTGCAGCAGGCAGTTGAGATTCACAAAGCATTTCATACATACAAATCATTTCTTATACTGCTACCTCATCTCGAAAAGAGAAGATAGAATCAAGCCATATGAAAACTGTATAAAACTAGATCAAGAGATCTTTTTTCGGAATGGTATGTATTCAGCAATATGACAGAAATGTATAAACTCAGCAAACTGCTAGCTTTTTGCTTTTTTTGTTTTGGGTTTGTTTGACTTAGTAAGAGTGTAGGATTTTATTGACAGAAAATTGCACCACTGAAATATTTTATACTACAGTCTATTTCAGGATCCCTGGAGGTTTAAATAACTTAAAGTCACTCTTTGGAGAATAGCAATTGACCTCTGAATAGGTCATACTTTACAGTGTTATTTACTTCCGAAAGATTTCGAAAGTCAATCAGTATTGTAGAAAAATAAAGTGATAATTTGTTCAATAGTTTATACCAATAATCACTGTCAAAAATAGGATATGATTTAGATTAAGTTTCAGCTGAACTACAATTTAAATATAGGGTTCTCAGCTTATATGAAAGCTCACCTGAATCATACATAACCACATTGAAATAACAGAGATCCGTGGGTATAGTGCACATTATGGAAACAGAATTATTTTGCAAAACATATAAACAGTTGCATGGAGTGAACATAATATTGTATCTCTGAGATTTTTCACCAAGCCTACTCGCAAATCCAAGTAATCAATTTCTTATCATATGTGACATTTATGGCATGATTTTTGGATGTAGGGTAAGGGGAGCTAGATTGGTATTTGGCAAGTGACATTTCAAAGTAGAAAATTAAATTACAAAGAGGCTAAATGTTGCACCACAGAATCAAAGGGTTTGGCAGGAGCAAAAGCTGCGAAGTCATTTTTCATATATTCTCTAAAGGATCTTTTCACAGTTTATGCCGAAAATCCAACATTTCAGTGGTAATTAACAGAAGTTAATCCAGATGACTGTCTGTGGAACAGACTTCATAAACTTACAGAACGTGAATTAACTATCCATCAAGAAAAAATAAACTATTGCAGAGGCAGATTTATCACAACTATAAGAGAAATAGAATTGTTTGTTCTGCGTTGATCAGCTGCGAAGTAATTTCACTTCAGCAAATGTCAAATACAATACACGAACAATAAAAGCTAACATAGAATGTTTGTAATCAACATTTTGTTTCACAATTTTAAAAAGATTTTTTACCCAGCTTACATGTTTGTCTCTGTGCTATCCACCAGAATGTAAAAAAAAAAAAAAAAATCATTGCTGTCAAGTTATTTATAATTTAAGCCATGCATGTGGTATTATGTTTTCTAAATTAATTAAAGAAAAAACAGGTTTTAGGCCTATTGGAACCTGACCATGCCAAACATAGATATGAACATATAGTGAAAATTACCTTTAGACCTATGTATGCAGCAGAATTATTTTGTCACATGCGTTGAATAAAAATGTATGCTCCAAGGGAAATTTCTGGCCATCATTTCATGGTATCGTATACCCCCTATTTTCTTAAATCCACATTAATAAAATATTTAGTAAGTTTGTTATGTTTACTTAGATTCTTTCCTTAGGGTTTAAATTATATGATTCTGCTACTAATTAGCTGCCCAATCTTGAGCAAGTCAACCGAATTTCTGTGTCTTGGTTTTCTCAGCTATAAAACATGTGTATAGGCTTAGACGATTTCCAAGGACACTTCTAGCTTTATGTACTATAAGCTTTTGATTTTTGTAACTATCATAAAAACTTCTTGAGAAGTAACATTGTATACAATCATATTTTCTAACTTATTCAATTTCAGAATTTGGAAAGTTATTGATTTTGTGACTGACGTGACCTTGATACAACAAAACTCAAACACTGTGATATTTCTAATATCACATATATTTTCTCTTATCATACAAATGTTATAAAATCAAATTTAATATTCAAAGATCTAGGAAAAGATTTGTGAATTCTGGAAGCAGACAGGAGACAGCAAGTCTCACATTAATTCTTCCTAACACTGATCTTTCTCCCCTAGCTCGGTGATTGTTGCTGTTGTCACACCCTCCTATGCCTCTAAATAAAAAAACTCACTCTATATTTCTCCATATTCATCCTGTCCTACATATATCACTCAGCAAATTCTGTCTTTTTTACCTCAATGATGATGCAAAAATATTCAATATTCTTACTACTACATCTGTAAATTTGTCATCTTTCACTGAACTATCATAATAGAGTAACCTAAATTGCCTACCAATCTATTACTAGCTACTACTTTCCTCAAACTTTACACCAAAATTGATGACACAAATTAGCAAATATAATAAATCTGGCCTAATGATGCATTCCATCTGGTTATTGCAAAGTGTATATATGTGCATGTATGCACAGAGAGTGTGTGTGTATGTATGGCATAATAAATATATTTATACTTATTTAAGATGATTTTAAACCTTCCAGTTCATCATAGGTCCCACCACTCCCTACTGTATTTTTCCAAGCTGCTTTACACTTAATAGATGAAAGAGCAAACTGAATGTTGGAATGCAGCTACTTAGAGCTCTCCTGATTTGCAAATCAATATAATTGCATAGGCCATTCCTACTACTTTAATGCACTCACCCAGTTTGTCTACCCCTAAAACTCCCATTTGCTTTTCAAAACTCAGCTCATGCATCATATCTGTAGAAACTGTTCCATGAAATTTTCTCAATTGGGACTTTGCCAACCTGTTAATACTTAGAGTTGTCCTTATAACTTGTACGTACTTAATCTATTTTTCCTCAAACTCTATCATATATTTTTACATTTCAAAAATCCTGTTTACCTGAAAAAAAAAAATAAGCAAATTGAACATAAGTTCACACGCTTTTCTTCTCTGAATTCTGTCCTTAAGCTTATACCTGGTAAATTGTAGATGCTCAGTGAAAGAATCAAGTCATTTCTCTTGATCAGACTTTCACAAATAGATTTTTTCCTGATATACCTTGAAATGTACAATGTATTTATAAAACGTAAGTAGGGAGTATAATATGGATATGGAATTTAATTGCTAAGAAAAATGTTCAAAATTTGATGCTTGTTTAATTTGTAATAAATATCCAATAGGTCCAATAATACATATGTTATATACATTTTAATATGTATTTAATATAAAATTAACACTTTGAAATTACACATAATAATGACTAGTGATCATTGAATGACACTTTACTTCTTTGTTCTCAATCCTCCATTGACAACCCTCCTCTTTCAAAACAAACACCAAAGTCCTTGCCATGTCAGTAAGCCTCCCACACTCCAAACATCTTTGGCTTCATCATCTATCTTTCTCCTTTCCTCTCAAGCCACACTGGACTCTTTGACCTCCCTACAATTTACCAAGGACATCAACACCTCCTTGTCTTTGAGTTTGCTCTTCTTAGTTACTTGATAGCCCCACGGCTCCTTCATCTTGCGTTACATCTCTGCTCAAATAACCTCTTATGTGAAAGGCCTTCTCAGAATATCCTGTATAAAATGGCATCCCTCATACCATTGTGATCTATCCTCCTAGGCTAGTTCTTCCTAGTACTTATCATAATTTGACATATTATATATATGTGTTACTTTGAGATCTGAGTCCCTTAACAGAACATTACATTCACAAGGTGATCACTTTGTTTCATTTCTTGTCAGGCACATAGCAGGTGCTGAGAAGACATTGACTCAATATATGAGGAGTTCACATACACTTAACACTTCATGGAGCTCATTTTGGAAACTACAGCTCTAAACCATTTTCTTTTTTCCTTTTTTAAAATGTATACATAGTAATTGTACTATTCAGCCAATCTTGTCATTTGTGACAACATGGATGATCCTGGAGGACATTAAGTGAAATAAACCAGGAACAGAAAATCAAATATTACATAATCTCACTCCAATGTGGATCTAAGCTTTTTCTGAAACTAATAAAACAATTTCAACCTTATCTTATTTAGTCGTATTTCCACTAAGCAAAACTGTCCATTCTGGCAAAATAGTTATACATAATCCATAGGAAACATTATTTGAATAAATAAATGTAAATGTGTATAAAAAAATCTTATGTAAACTTTGAAAATGTTTGAAACTTTGCTAAATCTTTCAACCATACTCATATTTATTTGTATAAAAATATCATCTAACTATCCCACAAAAGCCAAAGAGCTTGGTTGTTTAATATATAATTTAGCAATATTTTTTAAAGTATAAATATTCTTTTCAATCTTAGTGTGACTAATAAGCCCTACCATGGGCAGATTCACTTCAAGTAGTTATGTTCTGAAATCTTTGTAGACATTTATGCTTTTATTATTAGAATAAAGCTTCTGAGCATTTAACTATTTTTGAATATTCACAGTCTTTTTACCATAAATTACTATCTCAAAAGAGTTTAATTGGAACAGATTTTAACTACCAAATGTCATAGAATGGAATAATTTAGGGGCTCATTTGTACCCTCAAATACATTTTCCCTCATTATGTCCTCTATTTGATGCTGCATTAAGCCAGAGAAAAGGTGAATCAGACATGCCATTAAGATTGCTGCAGCTTAAAAATCAGTACAGTGGATAAAAAAGGTATTAGTCAAATGTGTCAAAATGGAACCCAACCATGCCTGATCTTAATAAGTCCATTATAAGCGGTATTGATTAAGAATGCTTGTCAATCATTAAAAGACATTTTACAGAGATATTTAATGTGTTAGAATATTTTAAGATATGAACAATTGAAATAAGCTGTCAGCATATTTTTAAATGACAATCAATCAACTATTGTTTATTGAATAAAAGCACTGAATTAAAGACCACTAGAAATATAAAGACATATGAATATAATCTTTCTCTAAAGGGCTCAGAATTCCAATTGGGATGAAGGATATGCACACTCATATAAGTTATCTATGTTGGTCCTCAATTTCATTCGTTGTAAATATGAAGCTAGTCTAGCCAATGCATCAGCTCCCTTTTTTGCCTTTCCCTTTCTCTTTCTTTTAAATGTATTTTTTAAATTTCTATACTTGAACAAGAACAATAAAATTATAAAGAAGTGGGAATTTTCTTAAAAATGTGTAGGTAACACCGTTTATTAGTTTCTTATATAGGTTTCCATGCAATTCTTACATGTAAAGCAAGCAAATATGAATGCATGCTCGTTTTTTAATACAAGAGGTCTCATACTATATAAACTGTATTTTACCTTGAAATTTTCAATTAAGAATGTCCTAGAAATGTAATGGTTTGCCATTTTTTTCTATAGCTGCATAGTATTTCAGTGTTTATTTAACCAATCTCTGATAAATGGATACTTAGGGTTTTTGTGTTTGTTTTGTTTTTCCCCTTAACTGTTTGCCGTAGCAATGTTGCAGTGAATATTTGAGTGTTTATAAATCATCTCCCATAGTCATGTATATGTACATGATGTGTTCCCAGAAGTAGAACCCCTAGGTCAAAGCCAAATGCAAATGTAATGTTGCTGTAGAGTTGGTATATTTCATTCCCACCAGCAATGCACAGGAGCTTAAGTCCTTCCTAAACTGAAATTCTACGTGTTTCTTGAAAAACAATACAAAACTAGAGTTACGACAGTTCAAATAAAATACCCTTATAAGCAAAATGTATTTCTCCCTTTTTATAGAGACACAATGGCATAAAAGGTACATTTTATCGTAGAAACTAGTTTTGGTTCTTGTCATCAAAGGTAGAAGGAGACTTACTTTTCAATGGAAGACAAAGGCTCATCTTTTATCCTAAGATGCTTTTCTCTGTGTTTTTTGCATGTGAAATTATCTCCTAGCACCTTTGCCATCCAACTAAGTGTCCTTATGTCCCCTTGGTGATTTTGCACAGTCCAAAATAAACCTTTTTAGTTTGTAAAAATCCTGGTTCCTATCTGTGATGTTTCTGAGATCTGTCAAGATCCCACCAAATAAGAATGATTTGCTGTCCAGGTGGATAAGTGATCATGAACTGTAAAATGTGACTTTACAAAAACCATTTCGGAGTCATTCTGTTGCAAACCATTGTCAGGCACATTATCTCGTTATCAAGAGCTCTGACCATTCTATACTTTTATCTGACTACATTTATGAGTGACAGGAAAACCCAGACCCAGACCCAGCAACTAAAGAAAAGGGTATCTCAGAGAGATTAATAAAGCCAGTCAGATGATGGGAAGTAAATTGTCTTGGTCAGATCTACATAAGTTAAATTGCTACACTGTTCTTCTTTAGTTTCATTTAGAGAAATCACAATGTTTTTCACTTAAGACAAGGAATTTGGAGATATTTTTATTTTACTTAATTAACTGAGAGCTAAACTTCATAGTTCCTGAGAAGAAAGGAGAAAGGACATCAGATTCATCTTCCATATGAGTCTGTGTTCCTCTGGGATAAGTCCTCCTTAAACCTACGTTGGTTGCACAGGGCTGGCACCTCCCTGCTCTTTTCGAGAGAATTGAACTCTATTTTCCCTTAGTTGGAAAGAATTCCCATTTAGTTCTGAATCATTTAGAAGCATTAGAAATATCACATGGTCAGTCTATAAAGAATGATGAATCTCTACTTATTCAAAGGGTCAAGGATGTGGATATAGTGTTCTAGTATTTTGTATATTCTGGTGCACCTTGAATATATCCACAGAAACTTAGAAGGTATTATTGCACCATTTTAAATATAATAGAAATAAAGGAAAGGGAGATAAATTGACTTCTAAAAATTAAACACCTGGTAAGTAGCAGCATTGGATTTGAAATCTGGCTGTTTTGGATATGAAAGTAGAAAGCTGTCTCAAATTTTGTTTTATATGCATATACAGTTGATTCTCATTATTCATGGTAATTATGTTTTATAAAATCAATGCAAATACTGAATTAGGGAATACCGAATCATTACTCCTGGCAGAAATACATGATGAGGTTCCCATAAGCATCTTGCCACAACATTTTATCAACAAACCAATAACTTTGTTTTATGTGTATTTCTACTTAAAGATACCTTATTTAATATATATTGTTAATTCATTAACATTGAATTTACAGCAAAACAGCGCTATAACTCGTGCCTGATGAACCTTATTTAACATACATATAAATGCTCCTCAACTTGTAAAGGAGTTATGTCCAGATAAAGCCATGGTAAGTCAAAATTATAAGTGGAAATTGCATTTAATATCCTGATAAATCCATTGTAAGTTAAACCATTGTGACCCGGGAAGCCTGTGTATTTTTTCCACAAGGATCAAAGGCTTCTTGCACTTAGGAACACTAGACAAAACTTCAACACTGTGCTTGGGGCTCGCATTAAACAAAACCACCAAAAAAAGAAAAAACCCGCAAAATGTGGCACTAAATAGATTATAAAAAGACACACTTTTATATCAGTACAAGAGCTGATATGAAAGACAGAGCATCACCTTGCTCAACCTCAGCTGGGAATATATTCCTTAGGCAACTCACTCAAAATTTTTACTACTCTATATGCATGTTAGTGAATAACATAAAATCAGTGTAAGTATTGATTTTTGGGTTACAAATAAATTTTATGGAGTATCAGAATTCACAAACACAGAATCTATCAATAACAAGGAGAAAATATGCACACAAACATGTGTTCGTGTGTTTAGGTATTTATTTGAATCCTCTGTTCCTTAATCTATATGAGAAGAAAGAATACAAGTATACTCATGCATCACTTAATGACAGGCATACATTCAAAGAAAAGTGTTTTCAAGCAATTTCGTGGTTGTGCAAACATAGAGTATATTTACACAGATCTAGGTGGTATAGCCTACTACACATCTGGACTATATGGTATAGCCATTATAATCTTATGAGAGAATAGTCGTGGTTCCTTATTGACCAAAACGCCATTATATGGTGCATGACTGTATTAGTATTAGTATTAAAGTTGGTGTTTGAAGGGCCCCAAAATTAGCACCTTTCTCACAAGTGAGTGTGGAAGTGATTAAAAGATCAAGACAACAGGAAAATAAAGATTAAAATACCGTGATTAGTGACAAACCCTTAATTGGAGGAGATGGTATAATTCAATGCAAAAATGGACTATCTAATACTGAACCTCTAAATTAGACTACCAGTTCAGCCATGAAACGCAGGCTCGAATGGCAGCCAGGCCTTGAAAAACATATAGTATGAAGGTACAAACCAAAGGGGTGCTCCAGAGTCAAGAGAATGAGTGAGGGAACAGTCACATACTGACTTGAAGCATTAACGTGTGTCTCTTTATTTCAGAAACAAACATCAGACGCAATAAGGTAGTATTCCTGATATCAACTAATAATTCTTGTTTTCTAGGATTCTACTAAGGCATAAACTTATGCTACATAATGCTCAACATAATTCTGAGACATCCATACAAAAATCCCATTTCACAGCTGAGTAAATTGATAGAGTAAAAATTTTTACCCCAATTTCACTATGAAAAATTTTAGAAGTTGGATCTTTATAAAGATCAGTAAGGCTCAGAAGTCCACATGCAGAGCTGCTTTGAAGATAATCCTGTAAAAATCCATCCACTTGCTAAAATCAAACACAAATGTAATGAAATATGAATATGACTTCTAGGCTCATTCAATCTTTGAATGTCCAGCTTGGTTTATTTAAATTCCTCACAGTGGTAATTCTGTGTTCACTGATATCAAATGACATGTGAATTTCCACATCATTTTCTCACTCCATTTTCTGATTGACATTTATATTTTAGTCTACGCCAGATAGACCAGAATTAGAAATTAAGAACTCATAGTTCTTCAAACACACTATTAAGTATTATTTAACTTGGTAGTGATAGGATATTCCCAGAAAGGTATAAGTCAAATTCATTTTCATTCAAGAAATAATTATTGCGCACGTTGTTTTAGTATACTCCACCTCCCTAATAGTTTTACTTCTCCATTGATTGTTCTCTGAAGTGTATCTCTTGAGTAATTTGATAGATCTACATCTTTAAAATCCTTTTAATGCAATCAAGTTTCTACCTAGGAAGTAGATTCATTTAAATCACTGTCCTGATATCTTCCCTTACGTCCAAAAATATCCAGCCATTCTATGATTACTGAGTGTTGTAAAATTTACATGTATTTTAACTATCTATATGTACATATAAAACACATATATACTCATACACATATATTTTGCATGTTTTCAAAAATTATCTGAGCATCGGTCACTGATTATCTCATTGAAAATATAAATAAATTCAGAGTGGGCATGGTGGTTCACACCTGTAGTCCCAGCAATTCCAGAGGCTGAGGCAGAGGTATCACTTGAGCCAGAGATTAAGGCTACAGTGAGCTATAATCATGTTACTGCACTCCAGTGTGAACAACAGAAAAAATTCTGTTTCTAAAAAAAAATTTAAGTTCCATTTTTTAACAACAGGTATGCTTTATTCTTCTTTATACTTCTCACCATGACTGTGAGGTAGAAAAAACAATGACAAGAAATGCATGGGGAAAAGGAGAGGGTCTGGACTAGTGACCTGGGTGCAATACTACCAAGGCTTAATTGTTCATTTAGTAGTGCTACTTCCCTTTTCAAAGAACCTCCTGTCTCAGATACCCCAGTGCAGCAGTTATAGAATAAGAAAAATTGCTGAAAATGCATCTCTAAAATACTAGAGCTACCATACCTTGGGGTTTAAGTGTGGGTCACCACCACTGCAATCTTATTATTATTATTATTATTATTATTATTATTATTATTATTATTATTTTTGAGACAGAGTCTTGCTCTGTCACCAGACTGGAGTGCGGTGGTATGATCTCGGCACACTGCAACCTCTGCCTCCCAGTTTCAAGCGATTCTCCTGCCTCAGCTTCCTGAGTAGCTGGGACTACAGGCACGTGCCACCACACCCAGCTAATTTTTATATTTTTAGTAGAGACAGGGTTTCACCATGTTGGCCAGGATGGTCTCAATCTCTTGACTTCGTGATCCACCCGCCTCAGCCTCCCAAGGTGCTGGGATTACAGGCATGAGCCACTGCGCATGGCCCACCACTGCAATCTTTAGGGCATTGCTACCCAGGTCATCATGATAGCTGTGAACCAAGAGCTGTCCTATACTCAACCACTAAACTAGACTTACCAATTTAGACTTACCAATAAGGTTGTCCTTATTGTACCAGCTCCAATAAAGAATTCAATGGCAGCACAGAAGGAAAGACGAAAGTAACTTATTTCCCTCTCTAGTTTTGGATATTCTAGTTAGGAAGTTGAGGGCATGCCTGTGAACTAAGTGAAATGACAGGGGCTGCTTTCGTGTGCTAGGGCTGCCATAACAAAATACCATAGACTGGGTGGCTTAAACAAAGAGGTTTATTTTCTCACAGTTCTGGATCAGGTACCGAATAGTTCAACACCTTGATTTTCGGTCTTTAACAGAGGTTAAGTTATGGATCAGGAAGGATCTTGAAGAAGAAGGTACAAGATTTCCTGATCAGTTGGAGCAATGGTGACAACAACAGTTAGAGAAATCAAAGTTATTACAGTATTTGTATGGCAGGCTGGTAGTATGGGTCATGCTACCTACATACCTATAAAAAGAAAACCAAAACTGATATTGATACAGTAAGTTCATTTAGCTGTTAACAGTTGTAGACATAGAATCCTTTGAGTAGCAATCTGATGTTTTGATTTGATTGAGCTTTTTTAAAAATCAAAGTTTTTGATTTTTTTATAACTTTGATTTTTTAAAAATCAAAGTTATAAGTAGAGTCTAACTAGGGATGATGTAGTACATTAATAAAATATTGCAACTTACATCTTAGTAAAAACATAATGAAAGCCAAAGGATTCTAAACAAGAAAAAGACCGTGATTATTTTTAATACAATTTTTTTCTAGTGTTTACCTTTTCAATGTAGCATGACATAAAATAGACTTATGTAATGAAGGACATCAACTTTAGAAGTCTTATGATAATGTTCTTACTGGCTAATGAATTTACACGTAGACCTCTGGCATTTTTCTTGTTCTCCATATAATCCTTTCATTCCCAATTGCCATGAACTATTTCATCAGCAATTGTATCCTTCGAAGAGCATTTCTGTTTCCCTGGGATGTGGTGGAAATATAGGAACGCTACCCTCTAGGAAAGGTGGCAAACTGCTGAAAGCCAAGAATGATTAAAACAATGTCAAAAGAGAAAAAGGGTAAAATCAATCACACTTTTCCTAAAAATCTGTAGATTTCTAAAGCATATAAGGTTTATATACATGTAAATCAACAGAAGTGTCTAAACTATTAAATATATACACATATATTTCATAATATTTAAATTCAAAACTTTCCATTAGGCTTCATATAACCTAATATCCTCTATATGGTCATTAAAGAAGACCATATGATTTGTTTCTGAGAAGTAAATGAATAGTGGAAAACATAATAATTGAAACATTATTTAAAGTGCCAATAAGACAGCCAGCCATGTCAATCTCTGTTTTAAAAAAATTCATCACATATATATGTGTGTGTGTGTGTATATATATATATATCCAAATTTTTTCTCTAATTTATGTAATACTATATTGTTAGCAGTATATTTTATGGAATTAGTAAAATGCAGAAATTTAATAATTAATAGAATAGAAGCAGAAATTTAAATTTCATATAATTACCAAAAGTTATAACTTCTATTTTACACCTTTCTCATAAAAATTTTACTAAATGAAGCAGTCATATTATAGAATTTGCTTTTCATATGCTTCAACTTAAGTCTTCATGTGTGTATCCTGCTCTGGAATCACATTAATATTTATATGTTTTTCATTCTTGCCATAAATGACACTTGATATATCTAAAGAACTGCTGTATGCAAGCAAGTTTAGAATGCAAAGGAACACTTCTATTTCACCTGATTTGGGATAAATTTAAAAAATATTTTCCAAGTGGTTTTGCAATTTGATATACACTGATCATAATGCAGAAGGTATGATTCAGCTAGCTCTGGTGTTTGTGAGGTGCAAAACAACCCAAACAAAATAAAACCAAAACAGAAACCACACCCTTACAGTTACCCATTGTAATATTGATCATAGTTCAGTGAGGTCAGAATTGTTGACAGGTCAAACTTGCAAAAGTTGACAATACATTATATTTAGAGATAGATAAATAATTTTTAAATTTTAAATATGTAAATAATTGTGATGGAAGGCTAATCAAATGGCTCCCAGTGATCCCTGCCTCTGAGTGTACCCTTGGGTAATCACTAGTTGAGTATGGGCTGGACCTAGTGATATGGTTTGGCTCTGTATCCCCACCCAAATCTCATGTCGAATTGTAATCCCCATGAGTTAGGGAAGGGACCTGGTGGGAGGTGACTGGATCATGGGGGCAGTTTTCCCCTATGCTGTTCTTGTAATACTGAGTGAGTTCTCACAAGATCTGATGGTTTAAAAGTGTGTGGCTGTTCCCCCTTCGCCTTCTCTCTCTCCTGCCACCATGTAAGACGTGCCTCTTCCCCTTCTGCTGTAACTGTAACTTTCCTGAGGCCTCCACAGCCATGTGGAATGGTGAGGCAATTTAACCTCTTTTCTTTGTAAACTAGCCAGTCTCAGGTAGTTCTTTATAGCAGTGTGAAAATGGACTAATACACCTAGTGTCTTGCGTCTAATAAACAGAATACTGCAGAAGTGTTGTGATGCCACTTCTCATATTAGATTATAAAAGACTATGATTTCTATCTTGTTGGAGCTTCTCTTGCTCATTGTGATGAAGCCAGCTGCTGTGTTTTGGGCTGTCCTTGTCCAAGTGGCAAGTAAATGAGAAAAGCTTCCATCAGTGGCCAGCAAGTAACTCGGTCCAACAGCCTGAAAGATACAATCCTATCAACAACCACCTAGAGAGCTTGAAAGCTGATTCTGCCCCTATAGAATTTTGAGATGACTGTGGCAGCCAAAATCTTGATTGCAGCCTTGTGGGTGACCCTGAAACCAAAGACCCATGCAAGTATGTCACACCCAGATTCCTGATCCACAGAATCTGTGAAAAAATACATGTGTGATATTTTAAGCTGCTAAATCATGGATAACTTGTTATGCACAATAAATAATATAATAATATAATAATATTTTACTTTAGAATCACCTAATTCTAATTCTTTAGGGCAAAAACCATTTTCTATTACATAATATGGTTACATGCTGTTGTTTCAATGTTCCCTGTTCTCTAGCCTTTTATTACCATATCTGAAAAATAAGAATGCCGAGAAAGAATATCTCTAAGATTGTTTCCAGGTCTAAATTTTTATCTTATTTACATAATTCCACTACTAAATTCACACATAGCTTTGATGGCAAAATAGAAAATAAGGTTTGTAAAGATTATATGATGCATGCATGAAAAAGTACCTAGTTCAGTGTCATTCACTGGTAAAATACTCAGAAGGTGTGAAGAAACCGATGTTGTTTGCCGCAGGATGGAATACAGAGACAGCAAGCCTGGGGGTCCAGTTTAGCTGCTATTTTTTGGTCAGTTTGGGTTTATCAAATGGGGTAGAGAAGAACAATTGGGGGCTAAGGTTTTGATACATCCAGTGGAAAATTTTCAGTCCTTCAGCATCTTTCACACAGATGTTTATTTGGATTTACTTATTTTTAATGTTTTTTTTGTAAGATCAATTCTTAACCTTTCTGTAGGAAAATGTTTAGAATGTCAGAATAAAAATAAAAGTGTGAAATACATATTCACAGCTTTACATTTTCAAGTTTAATAAGTACATGCTTTTAACAGGGATACAAGTTGAAAAACTGAAAGGGCAGGTGGAAGATGATGAGGAAGTAGCTGCTTTGTTTCATTTTTATATTACAAAATTCAAAAATTTAGAAGCACTAGTTTTAATGGCTTTTATGATTTATCAGATATACATTGACCACGGTCCCTCCACAGGATAGTTATATGAAAAAATAATTTTGCAACATGATTGTACTAAAGATGGCTGAAAATTCTTTGTTGTTCCTCCCATTGAGAGGTAGAGGTAAAATTTACCCCCCTTTGCATGAAGATTGGACTAATTAATTAGCTTGGCAAATGGAATATGGCAAAGTGATATTCTGGGATTTCCAAAGCAAAGAGGACGTTTAGCTTCCATCAAGACCTCCTGTAATGCATGCTCTGGGCAAAGCCAACAACCATGTAAGAAGTTTAGCTACCTTGAGACCACCACATTGGAGAGAACACATGTAGGTCAACAGTGTGAGCTACGTCCAGCTTTTTAGCCATCCTCATCAGGTGCCAGACATGTGACATTAGGACCCTACATACCAGGCCTACCCTAGCTGAGTATCATTGGACCACACAGGACCCTACATACCAGCCCCACCCTAGCTGAGTATCATTGCATGACACCATGAGAAATAGAAGAAATACCAAGCTGAACTCTCTCCCAATTCTTAGCGAACTATATTAAAGGATTGCTGTTTTAAGCTATTTAATTTTGGAGATAGTTTTTTCACACAGCAATCAATAACAGAAAATATCATCATATTCACCTAATGTTAACCCAAGTGTTTGATATCTACCCAGATGCGTGGTAGACTCTAAGTGTCAAAAAATACTTTGCAGTCTTATCTAGAATTGACAATTTAGGCCCAAAATGGGATGGTACAAAGATGTCATTGGAGACCCCTAGAAAAATCAGAAAGAAAAATAACAATAAAACAGACATGGGGGATGTTCATATTAGAAACGTATGGTGTAATTTTATTGAAATTCTATATTTCTGCTTGAGTTGTTATAAAAAAATATAAAAATGAATAGGTATACATGTATATGTGTAAATGTGTGTATGTATAAACACATACATATATCCCTATATAGAGAATGTATAATATATATTTATATATAAAAGTACTGAGTTAAAGAAAACTTCCATTTATTATTTTATGTAGAACAGCTACATTGAATAAAATTTACCAATTTATTACAGTAAAACTTGTAATGATCACAATAGACAAAGCCAGGTAAATATTGTCCCCAAAAAAACTCTGTCTTGAAAAGACCAATAACGCTTTATGTAGCACATACTTTAACGCAGAAATAATTACTTACCTCTCATACCAAAGAAACAACAACAACAAAATCTTCAATTAGGTTAATATTGAAAATAGAAAAGTGATAGCTTGACTAAAAATTTCCTACTTAATTTCTTCCTCAAAACCCCAAAGTAATAAATGCTATCTTATACACTGAGCAGGACTCTAAGGTAGAAATCGCCAACAGATAACACCCTATTGGTAGTTTCCCGTATGATGTAGAAACACGGTTTTCAACAAAAGGAAAGGAAAAATGGTTCAATATAGAAGATTTTAATGAGAATCATCCATCTGGCTGTTGCCTCAGCCATAGTTCTTCTAAGAGGCAAACACACTGTTTCATTTTTCAAGTCTTCTTATGTTTACTTCCAAATCATCTGTATCAAGCTTATACTGTACCTTCATAATTTATATTCATTAGATACCAATAAAAGTTGATTATTTTCTGTTGAGATTTTTCTAACATTCAGCTGTGAGATACTGATTTAGTTCCCTTATACCGCTTCATTCTCTTTCCTCTCTCCTTGATTATTCTGAGTTTCTTAATTCTATTATTAAAATTCAAGCTTCACAATTAATCTTTCTTCCCTTTCCACAATAGTATTGCATTTTTAATATAAAATATGTACAAAATCCTGATTTACTCACTTTTGATAATAAATATAATATTAGATAATTTTTGTGAAGATATATCAGTTTTAAAATTAGAGTTTTTTTGTATACTTAAAATCTTTCAAAAAAAGGAATGATATAAATTTTCCAACACATACTGATCAAATATATCTATTTTCATCTGGACTGTTCGCTTTTGCACCCCAGGTGTAAATTTTTCAGTGGTGCTTTTGGCATATACTTTTCAGAAGAGTCATATAGAAAAAAATAATAAAAGAGATTTTACACTAAAAAAATTCATTGATATGTCTTGTTAAAATACTGTCTTCTCAAATCCCAGAGGCTCACACCTCCTGGTGTGATACTTTGTCTCCACCTGTGTGAATCAGCATGATACATACCTCAGCACAGGAAATCTATAACATAATGCTCACTAAATGCCTTCAGAAAGGGAAATGTTAACACCAAAAAAGGCCTGTTTTTTGTTACAAAAAATATTTGAAATGTGCTTAGGTATTTATCCTCCAATTATTATAGCAATTAATAATAGATTAAAAGGATTTACTATCTTTGGAAAACTAAATAGTATGTATTACAGGCTTGGCACAGTGATAAGTTTTTTTCCCTAGTCCAATTTCCTTGTTTTCTGACCCAGAAAAGCTTCCAGGAAACCTTAACTGTAAAGAGGCATTCTGCTTTCTCTTTCAGTTTAAAGGCAGATGTTTACTTTTGAATTACAAAAGATTATGCTATATTCATATCCTATTCAATAGTTAATAATTTTCCTTCTATTGCAAAAGAAAATCAAATATGTTTCTACTTATTTCTCACAAAATGAAGGTAAAACTTCATTATCAAATTGTCTTTCTGAATTGCTTAATGTCCAATTGAAGATACTGTTTTCTTAGAGATGACATAACACTTGATTTCTCAGCTGCCTATTGTAAAACATTTATTGTTTCTTCTCTGTTTTAGATTTTGTACCATAACCTTTCCTTGGTTGCCTTTGTTACATTACAGTTTTAGATACATTTTACAAACAAAAGAATTTCTAGGTTTTGGTCAGATTGAAGCTTTAGTTTCTGCCAATAACACAAATTAGATGTCCTGAAAATGTTCTCAATAAAGGCAACAAAATAAGCCGAATAAAATAGAATAAATAAACTTTAAATATGTAACCAAGATTACAAGCCATTAAAGTAATTCTATTCAAGGGGGAACCACAAAGATTCCAAAAGATGCCAAATAAAGACAGAGAAAACCCCACCCTTCAACACATAATTCTGAAACTATAGAACTCAAAAGATATCAAGGAGATTTTAAATGCAGCTAGAGAGAAAGGGAAGATTACTAGGAGTAACAGCAGGCTTCTGAAGAGTCATCTTCAGAAGAAAACTAAATAATATCTTTCAAATTATGAGAAAAAATTAAAAAACTATAATTTTATACATAGCTAAGGTATTGTTTTAGGACAAAATCCATATACAGACAGTTTCTGAGAGGCAAAACTCAAGCCTCAGACAAATCTCAAAGATGTCTTTCAGGACAATGGAAATTATGTTTGGAAGGATAAAGATAAAATACAAGAAATAGTAACACCAAGAAAATTAGTAAACATGTAGCTAAAAATACAAAATTGAGATTTAAAAATAACAAAAATAACAGTCAATTTGAATGTAAATATAAGAGAAATCTAAAATGTTGGGCAACAAAAATGAATAAATAATTTTAAATGCTTTAAGATTCTTGTATAGTTTTGTTGGAAGGTATAGGTATTTATTTTACATTGTGTTTTATTATCTATGTAAAATGTTAGGAATTGTATGAAAAAATTATAGATTAAATTTATGTTGTAAATGAAAAGGTTTTAAAATTAAATACATAAGTAGTCAACTTAAGAAATGAAAACAACAAAATAAGCTGAAATAATGAAAATAAAAATAAAAAGAGTGGAAGGTAATTAATATACTTTTTTTTAATAGGACAAATTCAAAGGTAAGGTATTTGTAAAATTTAATAGAAGAGATAAACTTCTAGCAAGACTATTATAGAAAAAAAAAATGTTGCTATTGAATATAGTTGGGCCCAGAAAAAGGAGACATTGCTAGGTAGTAGTCAAGGTTCTCTAGAGAAACAAAGCCAATAGGATATATAAAGAGATAGATATATAAGAGGATATTTATTATGGGAATTGGCTCACAAGACAATGAAAATCAAGAAGCCCCATAAATATGTAAGCTGGAGACCAGGAAAGCCAGTGTTGAAATCAGGCAGAATGAGAAGTCCTGAGAACCAGGGGGCTGCTGATGAAGTCCCCGAGTCAGAAGGCCTGAGAACAGGAGCGCTGATGTCCCAGGACAGGAGGAGATGGGTGTTTCATCAAGAAGACAAAAAGAAAATTTACTTCTCCTTGACCTTTTAATGCTAATTGAGACCTCAACACTTTGGATGATGACCCACTTTATTGAGGAAGATCTTTACTCAATTAACTTAAATGTCAATCTCTTCTGGAAACACCCTCACAGACACACTCAGAAATAATGCTTTATTAGCTATTTGGGCATCCCATAATCCAGTCAAGTTGACACATAAAATTAGCCATCACACTAGGAATATAAAAATGATTTAAAATAATATTAAAATACATAAATATTTTTATTCAAATGAATGTAAAAGTTATATGATTTGTGTAATTGAACAACACTAACTCAAGAAGAAAATTTTAATATAACAATAACTATTAAAATATTCCATCAGAAGCTTAAAATCTATCTTCAACAGACATATATACTTACACAACAACTAGAAAAAAATAATTTAAAATTTTAATTGTCAAAACTTTCAAAAAGCTGATAATGAGAAATTTAATAGAACTCTACTGAAAGTAGAAGATTGTTACCAAACTCATTTTGTGGATAGTATAATATAGAATAGTGCTACTCAAAGTAGTCAATCAGCTATTTGTTACTGATCAGCAATGAGATAAGTAGTTTGCACTAGAATGTAAATCAATTTGCTGCTTCCTTCACTGAGAAAGTCTTGCTTCCAAAAATATCAGCTGAAGGCACAGCATGGTAGCTCATGTCTGTAATACCCCACTTTAGAAGGCCAAGGCAGGAGGATTGCTTGAGGCCAGGAGTTCAAGACCAGTCTAAGCAACATAGCAAGATGCTGTCTCTACACAAAATAATAATAATAATAATAATAATAATAATAATAATAATAAATAGATGGGCATGGCGGTTGCACACCTGTAGTCCTAGCTACTTGTGGGCTGAGGTCAGAGGATCGCTTGAGCCCAGGAGTTTGACACTGCAGTGAGCTATGATGGCAGCTTAAAGTCTAAATTCTCTCTAAATTCTGGCTCAAAAAGTCTTTGCGTGTGTGTGTGTGTGTGCTCCAGTAACAAACAGTTCAAAACTGGCATCAGTTAACACATCACACATTATGTATTTTTGTTCTAGAAACCAAAATAGGACAAGATTAGAAAAGAAAAATTCCAACCATAATCATGAATATAGAGGTATGTGTCCAAAGCAAAATATTCTCAAACTGAGTTTATTAGGGAATTAAAAGTAAGAAGTGAAAATCAGGTTTAGCCTGGGAATTTCATAAAACTCAATATGAATGCACGATAAATAAATAAGAAAAGTAAGTAAATGAGGAGCTTTCCTTTTTCATTAACCTGATATACGATACCTAAAAAACCCAAAACAAACAAAACAACAGCAATGACATAATGGTATAAATACAACTCCATGATGAAAATTATAATCTACTTTTTTAAATTGGAAAGTAAATACAGATGATAATTATCCTGGTTTATGTTCAATATGTACACATGAAATAATAAGTACCTGCCTAAAAATAAAGGAGGAAATACATACAAAGATTTGGAAAAAAGAAATGAAAATGGAACAATTACATAGAGCACCAATAGACTCCACAGAACAGTTATGAATAAATAAGACTGTACAATAAAATTTCTGGATAACATTTTTATATTTTATGTCTATTAGGAAATATAATTTTAAAGATAATTTTCATTTTAGCCCCTTATAAAATATACATAGAACTATGCCTACCAAATGTGGATAAAAACTCTAGAAAAAATAAATTTTACATTCAAAGACATTAATAAAGAATTAATTAAAGGAAGACATAATACATGAAGATTTTAGAAATAAGAAAGCTCAAAGTATTAAAAATGCTACTTTTCTCCAAATTAATATTTTAAATTAAATGCAATGCCAGTTAGCACAGTGTTTTAAGAAACTGAGAAAGGTGGCTAAAAACAAGAGACCAAGGAGAGATCAAGAATATAGAAGAGATCAAGAATACTACAGGTGATTCTAGTAGATAAAAACAACAGAAATTTAAATTATTATAAAGATATAGTAGTGTAGAAATAGTTTAGAAAGTATTGGCTCAGTGACAGATGACTAGGCTATCACAGAATGGGATAAGTAAGGGTACACTGGTATACAGTATAAGATCAGATAAGATATGCTAGGATAGATGAAGATAGGTAGGGTAAGATGTGATATGATAGGCAAGAATGGAATGGAATAGAATAGAAGAGAATAGAATAGAATTTGACAACAAAGTGTTTAGTAATAGATCCACCAATACATGGAAAGATTTTGAATAGGTGCCATTGCTGATGATAGATGAAACAATGGCATATTTATTAATAACTAAAGGTACTGGAAAAAGTCATCACTCATACAAAGAAAATCAAGTCTTCACACAAGGACTTTAATCTGAAAAGCAAATGTTATATTTTGATATAAATATATCATAAATAATAAATATATTGTATCCTAAACGTGACCTCAGAATAAGAGTGTCTTTCCTTAAAAGTACAAACCATAAAATATACTTTGTAAAAGTACTTGCATTAAATTACACACACAAACACACAGACACACAATCCAGAGACTTGGCGATGTATCTCCATGGCATAAGACATACAAAGAAGCAGTATGCTAAATATAAAATAAACTATGGTACCTGGTGGAAAAAAAAAAAAAAAGAAAGGAAGGAAAGAGGGAAGAAAGGAGGCAGAGAGAGAGGAAAATAAATAAAAACACTCCAACAAAGTGGAAAAAATACAGCAATGGAAAATTCAAAGAAATGTGATTTGTGTTTAAAAAGGTTTACTCTAGCAATAAGAGGAATGTAAGTTAAAGAAACTACTTCACGCTCAGAGACTGGCAACATTTAAATCTGACAATAACATGTTTTGACAAGGATGTGGAGCAAAAATATTTTTTATAACCTGCTAGTAGGAATTTAGTTACAACCAATTCGAAGAGTAAATTGGCAATCTAAATAAACTGAAGATATACGTACTGTAAGACCCAGCAGTTTTTCTCTAGGGAGGCAATCGTACGCAAACATGAATACATGAAGATATATACATAGAACCACTTATAATAAAGAAAATTTATCAGCAAACTAAATTTTCACAAAGTGAAAAGCAGATACATTTATTGTATTTATTTAATAGCTGGGAAATGAATGCACACTAGCTATATATTTCCAAGGTGTATTATTCTCAAAAATATATTGAACAAAAATAAGCAATTTGCAAAACAATGTAGGCAACATAACATTTGAATAAACCTTAATATAATAAAATATAATATGTACTTCAGGGATAAAATATATACATTATAAAATGTAATACCTGCCAAAATATAAGAATATCAAATTAAACATAGTGATTGTTGTTTCGAAGAGATTTAAAAGGAATTGAAATATTTTATTTTTAAGCAGGTGATAGAAAAACAAGTGCGCAAGATATTACTCTTGAATTTTTTAGGTATAAAATTTTCCACAGAAATATACATATGGTTATCAACTTCTGCAAAACTGCAGGGCCATTCAGAGGAAATGGGAAAAGATGATAATCTTATCAGGACAATGTTGACATTAAATGGGCTATGAATATGAAAAGTATCTTTTGCAAGCTTCATCTGCCTAATAACAGGATCCCAATTATCATGTCAATCCAGAATTGCAGCAGGAGAAGTTGACCTTCGCCAAAGTATAGAATCTGTTTATGACTAGAGCTGTTGAGGTCTTCGTGTAGACAGAGGAAGCAAGGTTGAGATAATGAAAGGGAATATGAATCTTTAAGTTCAACCTCAGCTTTATTTACAACAGCTTTTTTTTTTTTTTTTTTTGAGACGGAGTCTTGCTCTGTCACCCAGGCTGGAGTGCAGTGGCGCGATCTCGGCTCACTGCAAGCTCCGCCTTCCGGGTTCACGGGTTCACGCCATTCTCCCGCCTCAGCCTCCCGAGCAGCTATAGGGGACTATAGGCGCCCGCAACCACGCCCGGCTAATTTTTTTTTTTTTTTTTTGTATTTTTAGTAGAGACAGGGTTTCACCGTGGTCTCGATCTCCTGACCTTGTGATCTGCCCGCCTCGGCCTCCCAAAGTGCTGGGATTACAGGCGTGAGCCACCACGCCCGGCCTTACAACAGGTTTTTAAAAAGAAATTGACCAAACTCAAATCTTTATACAATATGCTGTACCTTTTAAACTCTTTTTAAACATCAATTTTTTACAAAAATTTCCAAAGGGAAAATTATTAGTATCTATATCTGTATATGTCTATGTGTGTATGTATGTATACAGGTTTGCATATATATGTATATGTATATATATGTATATGTGTGTATATATATGTATATGTGTGTGTGTGTGTATATATATATATAAATTTTCTAGAAAAGCATGAGGGCACAGAGTGACCATAACATGATGGCAATCATCAAAATATATAAAAACAAACATCAACTAAGCAAGGGTAGAAAAATAGAATGGAATAGAACTGAATGGAATTGAGATAGGAGATCAGCAGGACTTCTTTTCTGATCACAATCCTGCTGATCAAAACAGAACCTAGTAGAAAAACCTGCCACCAAAACCAGTAGATAGAGGAAAGTGACCTCTAGTTGCCTTCACTGCTCGCTAGCATAAAGACACCCCCACCAGGGCCATGACAGTTTACAAATGCCATGGCAATAACCCGGAAGTTACAATCACTTCCTTGCCCCTTTTCTAGAAAATTCTGAATAATCTGCTTCTTAATTAGCATATAAATACAACTAAGTATAAATATACCTAGCCAGCACGCTGCTGCTGCCCTAGATGATTCTGCCTATGGGATAGCCCTGCTCTGTCTGTGGAGCAGCCACTCTGCTGTAACTGCTGCCACCAGTGCTGCTCTGGGTGACTCTACCTAAGAGACAGTCCTGCTATGTCTGTGGAGCAGCCATTTTGCTGTACATTGTTGATCTAATAAACTTCCTTTCTTTCACTGTCAGCTCACTCTTGAGTTCTTTCCTGAGCAAAGTCAAGAACCCTCCTGGGCTGAGCCCCAGTTTTGAAGTATGAGAGCATCAGAATGGAACTAGGCTACTCATCAGGTCTCAAGGGCTTTCTCTCATTTTGCTTGTATTTTATGGGGAGAGTGGTACTTTATAATAGTTAGACAAGCCTATCAAGGTAAACCCAGACACATTTTCAACAATTGCTATGACTAAGTGTATTTCAAGATAGAGCTAAAGTTCAATAATCTACTTTAGTCAATATAAGAGTAAAATTAACTACCGGTACCAGTTCTTATAGTGGCACATAAAATATTACAACACCCATAATAAGCCAATGAAAAAATCAATTATTCTTATTTTACAAATAAAAAAGAATGAGTTTGAGAAAATGCAGATAAGAGCTTTTTTTTTTTTTACAAAAAAAAAGGTATGTCACATACAGCTATTTTTTTCCCTACAACAGAGTCACAGCCAATGTTCAAAACCAGCTTTATCTCATTCCATTTACCATGTATTATGCTTCCATGTTAAATGGGGTTATTACAGCAATATCCGGTTCTCCTAGGATGGGTGCTATATTACCAGATATGGTAGGAAGAAACTCGAAGGCCAGTCTGTACCTTCTCAGTGGGGACTGCTAAATATCTCTACTATTTGAAACATTACCATGAGTTAGATGTAGTACCTTTAAGGAGTATATAATAATAACTGGTTGGAGCTCAAATTAGGATTTTTTAACTTCTACTATTAAATTTGTAGTAATTAAGTTTCCAGATTAAATTGCCATTATTTAGGTGGGAAAAATAAACTAAGAAGAGAAACTAGTGAAAGGAAAGGAAGGAAGATACCATGCTGGGCAACCTATCTAAATCACATCCTGCACAAACGGCCCAGGAAAATAGCAAAGCGCAAATGAGTATTAATTTTGCTTATTTAAATCAAGTTTCCAAAATCATCCCATACACTACATATTGGTGAGAAATCCATATGCATTTAGTACTTATAAATATTTTATACAGTGTTTAATAGAACCTAGAATTTTTAGGCACATTATCTCTTACAGACAAAGGCCACTGTGGAAAGAATATAGTGTTATTCAGTTCTGGATAGAAGTTTTGTGTCACATTGTTTAGTCTTCTTGGCTTGGTGGTGTCCCTGGGCAAAGTTTCTAATTAGGGCATTGTGTCATGATTATCTTTATCATCATTGATACCACCACCACTGCTAACACAACGAAGTTAATTTCCAGTTTAGAAAGCAATTACACATGCTTATTTACCCCAGTGTGTGCACAGGTGGGTGGTTGGGGTGCTGTATATCTTTCTGAAGGAGATATTTGATCTGTGATATATTTTATTCTCATTGCAATAGGAATAACTTACAGGGCTTTTAAGCAGGAGAGTAATAATAATTTAAAGCTTTAGAAACATTAGTCTGGTTGATTTGCAGAAAGTAGATTATAAAGGAGCAAAAGTTTAGGGATAATGATGGTTTGTACTTAAATGACAGGTAATGGGCAAAAATATAGACTTGATTAGCATGTAAAATTATTTCTAGAACAATTTAAATGAGATTTAAATGAAAGCACCTAATGAGAGAAAAGAGAAGAGGTGAGGGGAAGAAGTCTCCTATATTTAGAGGACTGGCAGATCAGAAACTGAATCTCCAGGAAAGGAGAGTCACCAGTAGTGGAGTCTGATTGGTGTGGCATAGCCAGCTAAGGTAGTATCACAGTATCCTAGAGAAGTAAGGTTTCCAAGGAGTTGGTTGTGTCCAACAGATAGCAACCATTGACTTTGGCAAAGCACAGATCACTGGCACTTTAATAAGGTATATATTTTTTGCTGTCTTGGGGAAAAAAAAATCCAGATCAAACTGGTTTGTGTAGAAAAAGTGAAGTTAGAAAGTGGAGTCAGAGAAATGACTGACTGCAGGCTTGTCAACTCCCTGCGTGATGTTGCTGCTTCTAATCTCATATTCTGAAAGTCCTCTGAGGTTATATAACTAACTCTTCTCGAAAGAAGCTTTATACATTAAATGTAAGATATTTATAACTACATGCCACTACTTTTCTTATATAGTTCTATTTAACACTCTCTTTGATTGTGACTGCCTGGGTTTCACCTCTTAATAACTTCAGGTCCAATGAGGGGTTATAAAATCTTAAAGTTTTGCAGTACAATGCATAAGAAAATTTTCAATTAATATTATAGAAAATGTTTCTTGATGTGTGATTGAAATTTATTTCTAATTTGTACATCAATTAAATAATACTTTTTAACAGCTTAATTCCTTCTGGTTGAATGTGTGTATAGATACGAAACTAAATAAATAGGTAAGTAAATACATCTGATTTTCACTTTAGATAAATTCACACATTTTAGGTAAATTTAATTTTTAAATTAGATTTGTTTTCTTTAATATGATAGAAACTGTCATTAAGACACGTAATTCATTATCATAAGAAGTATAATTATAGGTTTCTCAGTTTGTTTGGGCTGCCGTAAGAAAATTCTGGGTTACTTATAAAAAACAGAAATTTATTTCTCACAGTTCTGGAGGTTGATGGGTGTCTGGTGAGGGCCTGCTTCTTCATACACCACACATTCTCCATGAACCTCCATATACTAGAAAGGGCTAGCTTGCTCTCTGGGCCCCTTTTTATAAGAGCACTAATCACATTCATGAGGGCAGAGACCTTGTGACATAATCATCTTTGAGGGGACCCACCTTCTAATACTATCACATTGGGGATTAGGTTTCAATGGAAAAATATTGAGGGGATACATTTAGACCACGCCATTCATAAACACATAGAAGAAAAGTACCATCTTGCTTATTTTTATGTATTTATACTATCTCTACCGTGTGATTACACCTTCTAAATATATACATATTTTAATACTATGTACTTTTTTTTTTTTTGTATTTTTAGTAGAGACGGGGTTTCACTGTGTTAGCCAGGATGGCCTCAATCTCCTGACCTCGTGATCTGCCCGCCTCGGCCTCCCTTACTTTTTTTTTTTTTTTAGGATGGAGTCTTTCTCTGTTATGCAGGATGGAGTGCAGTGGCATAATCTCAGCTCACTTGCAACCTCTGCGATTCTCGTGGCTCAACCTCCCAGGTAACTGTGATTACAGGCATCTGCCATCACACCCGTCTAATTTTTGTATTTTTAGTAGACACAGGGTTTCACCATATTGACTAGGCTGGTCTCAAACTCCTGACCTCAAGTGATCCGCCCATATCAGCCTCCCAAAGTGCTGGAATTATAGGCATGAGCCATCGCACCCTGCCAATGCATTTACTTTTATATTTAGCAGTCCTAGCTTTTAAATTTTATCTAGTAATATTGATCATCTTTAAAAAACATAATACACACACACACACACACACACACACACACACAGAGGCATGCATAGAAATAAACCAGGATTGCAATGTCAATGTGCTGACAGGCAAACTGCACAAGAATGCTTTATTTTACGTGAAGTTTGGATGCAAATTGATCTAGCTCTGTTAAAGTAGTTGTTCAATGTCTACATTTTTATATCTCCTTCAATTCATTTGACACTTTAGATATCACTACTGCAAAGGTTACAGTTGGATAAAACTCTTTACAAAGTCTGAAATATGCTCCACACAGTCTTCTCTGTGATTCATTTAATGTAACCTTTATATAGTTTATTAGAGATGGAACATGTTGACATGGAGAATATGAAGTAATTCAAATGAGAGAGTTGCATTTTCTAAATTTTTAATACCTTTCTCTTCAGGTCACGAGCCATATCCTCCCTCCTAGACTAAAACTCTCATAGTACCCTAAGGTAGTTAATGTATATTTGCATGTCTAGTTTATCCAGGTATTTTACAGTAATGTGAATACTACAGTGGGGCTGGTCCCTATTAATGATTTCAAAACCATCATTTTTTGTGTTTTTTCTATGCTCAAAGTAAGATGTATAGTTTATTACAGATATTATTTCATTTAATCCTCAAAACTGTTCTATAAGGTGGCCAGTTTTTATCTTAACTTGTATATGAGGAATTTGAGTCACAGAAAGTTTAATATCTTAGATCACCAAGCTAGTCAGCAAACCACAGCATTGTAATAAATATTACTATTATTCTAAAGCCTAAACTATTGATTACTAGACTGCACTATTTTTGCATGATTTTGATGCAAATACTGTGCCAGGAGATGAACTTGAACTTAAAAAAGGGGGAAGGGGGATTATTTCTTTAAAAAATATATAATTGTCTTTATGTAGTAGAAAAAATACATAATTCAAAGGTTATATTTATTACATTGATAAAGATTTCTAGACTAAAATTATTTAAGGGATGTTAAATTGCTAAAAAATCACTATTATAAAAACAATTAAGAATCTCTCTTACATTATAAAGTCAGAGTCATTCTTAGTAGCTGAACTGTATTTCCAGATGAACATAATACATAATTATTCATTTCAATGTGCCATATACTGTTGTAATTTAATTTTTTCACAACCCTATGTCATCAGGACTGTTATTATCCCTATTTTCCAGATGGGATTTTTGAGGCCCAGAGACATTAAGTAAATTGTCCCAGGTCACATATCTAGTAAGCAGCAGACTAAACATAAACATTCCTGTTGAGTAATTACAAAATTTCTGATGACTGTATATTTCTGTCTTAGGATGAAAACATCCAGTTTTTAATATAATAGTAACAACCTATCCCGATCACCATCCTCTTTTCAACTGACCTGTGTGCCCCAGTTACTGAGAAGAGTCCTTGGGATCCAAACTTATTTTCACAGACAGAGTATATTTAGGTACCAACAGATAAACTTCTCAATGATCAATAGTTCTTATATCCCCACCAACTTCTCATTGACAAAGAGGCTAACCCCTGGCCTATACAAACACACAAACCCACCCCTTCACACACACATACAGTTATAGACTGAATGTTTATGTTGTCCCCAAATTCATGTGTTGAAATTCTAACCTCCAAGGTCATGGTATTAGGAAGTGAGGCTCTTGAAAGGTGATTAGGTCATGAGGGTGAAGCCTCATGTATGGGATTAGTGCCCTTATAAAAGGGATCCCAGGGAGCTCTTACTCCTTTCTGTCGTGTGAGGACACTGCAAGAAGAAAGCCAGGTATGAGCCAGAAACCAGGCCCCGTCAGACACTGAATCTGGTAGTGCCTCTGTCTTGGACTTCCAGTCTTCAAAATTATGAGAAATAAATATTTTCTAGTCAAGCCATTCAGTCTATGGGTATTTTTATTATAGTAGCCTGAACAGACTAAACACACACACACACATACACACACACACACACACACACACACACACACACACCCCAGACCCTTTATTCAAGTTACTATATTGGCAAATAACAATGATCATTGTAAAACCATCTGTTCTTTCACTTCCAGAAAAAGTAAATGGAAACATTAACCCAACAGGTTGTTTCTTTCCAACTGCTAACATGTCTTTTGAAGGACATATTCCAAGTCTTTACTTATTATATAAATTTAGAATTCAATTCTTAAAGTAAATTTTATTTATGTTAAGTGTGTACAAAACTCTTTCTCAACTAGAATTCAGCCCACGAATGTTTAGGTGTTTGTGTCGTTCCTGCTGGTATCAGAAGCTCTCATATTGTAAGGTAAGGGATGTATTTTGTAAATGCATATAAATTAAAATATTTTGAAAACAATAATGTATACTAATGATAAAATGAAAAATATGCAGTAAATTATAACCATAAAATTTTTAGGGCTTTTTATTTTTTAGAGTCATCTCATTGGCAAAACGGAACGCTTAAGACTAGAATGCAAATGATTAATAGTGTGACTCCATAAAAGCAATGGCAGAACTGACAAAAAAAAGAAAAATAAGTGGAGAGGAGTGTAGATCTACTAATTTACTCATAATACAGGGTCAAAATGATGAACTGAGAAATACAAATTCAAGCATATAGCATCTCAAGTTATAAAAGTAACTTTAAAAATGAATTAAAATTATATATGTATCACAGTCAGGTAGTGGTAAAATAAAAAGCATGAAGGCAATATAAGTGCAGTTATTTCCTCAGCTTCATAAATTCTGAAATAAAAGTAGGATATGTTATTTTTAACATTACAATGACCACCCACAAAAGAAATAATAATAGAAATACTTATCAATTATCTCTGTGAAATAAATTTAGAGAAAAGAGTCTTGCTTCTGCACTGCTGAAATATTTTTTCTTATTTACATATTACAATTATTTATGTATAATTAATAACATATTTTATAGTTTAATAGTTAAAAAGAAGCAGCTAAATTTTTTGCTTAATATCAGAAAACAGAGCTCATAATAAACTAAAGTCTGAAAAAGTCGGCATCTTTGGTACACATTTCTCCTGTATCCGGCTTGATTATAGTAAGCAATTCTACTCAACGATTTAATTGTCAGAGGATGCATTTTGTGGCTAACTTACCCTGGTTAACTCATTGATTTGAGGTTTCACATGAGCATGTTCTTGAGGTACCATTTAAGCTTTCTTTGTGATAAAGACAGGCATTTAACTATTTCCACCCAAAATATCTCCTAGGCTAAGATAATGCCGTACATATGTGTGATAGAGAGTATTAGGCCTTCATTGAAGTATATTTTTGGAAAATAAATATAAATCACAAAGTGCTTTGTGAAAAACTATTGAATATGCCTGTAGGTATTGCATTTAACTTCCATATGAAATGAGGTGTCCCATCTAGACTTGAAAGTGGGGTTTCATTAAAAACTATATAACAAAATTTTAAATTTAACAACTACATGCTTTTTACGCAAAAATAGGTTTTGCTTTGAAAAAATTACAAAGAATTTCTCTCATTTAGACATTTATCAATAGTTTAACCATTAATTGTGGTCTATTTATTTACCATTAACAAGTTTAACAAAGTCAAATAATGTTAAATGGGGATAATATAAGATGTGTCAAGGCAAAGATTCATTTCTCAATTTTTTCAAACAAGTTTTGTATTATATTAAATTACCAACACAATGCATTAGCACTATTTGTATGTATTTGTTTGTGATTTATAAAGCCTGATAGAATCATAAAATTATGTTCACAGTTATGGCCTTTGTAAGTGAAACATGTGAGGTTTAAATGATACATATGTAATGTACTGTTTTCAAAATAATCATTCCCAATTAAGACAAGCATTATGCATAAAGTTAATATTAAAGGTTTAAAATATTAGGTCATGTTTCAGGTAATGTAAAAGTTAGTATATATTGTTTTATTAATAGCAAGTAGGATATCCAAATTTTTTCTCCTTTCTATTATTCTTCAAATAAGAAAGAAAAAAAGACATAGTTACTGTATTTCTGTTATGATTTAGGGTAAGCTTGACAAAAAGCACCAGAACAGGTGATATTTCACAAAGGTCAATTCCACTGCCTAGTTTTTAAACCCTTCATATCCCATTCCAAACTACCTATCAGTTTTAGTTTCCAAAATAAATACTAGATGAGATCATTTGTTTTCCTTGAGTCTTTTCAAATTTCCTGGTCCTGTGATTATCTTGTTTCCTGAACCTCTATTGCATTTAAAGCCACCAAGGAATATACTTAACCAAGGAGGTGAAAGGTTTCTACAAGGATAACTACAAAACATTAATGAAAGAAATCCTAGATGGCACTAACAAATGGAAAAATATACCATACTCATAAATTGAAACCATCAATATCATTAAAATGGCCATAGTGCCCAAAGAAATCTACAGCAATGCAATGCCTGTCAAATTACCGGTTCCATTTTTCACAGAACTGGAAAAGAACTATCCTAAAATTCATATGGAACCAAAAAAAGAGCCCAAATAGCCAAACCATCCTAAGCAAAAAGAATAAAGCTGGAGGTATCACATTACCTGACTTCAAATTATATTGCAAGGCTATAATAGCCAAAACAGGATGGTACTGGTATAAAAAGAGACACATAGGCAATGGAACAAAATAGAGAACCCAGAAACAAAGCCACATAACTACAACCAACTGATCTTTGACAAAGTAAAAATAAATAAATAAATACCCTAAGGAAAGGACTCCCTAGTTAATAAATGGTGCTGAGAAAGTTGGAGAGCCTTATGCAGAACAAGGAAACCAGACCCCCATCTCTCACCATATACAAAAATTAACTCAATTAAAGACTTAAGTATAAGACCTGAAATTATAAAAATCCTAGAGGAAAACCCCAAAAGAGCTCTTCAGAACTTTGTTGTCAGCAAAGAATTTATGACTAAGTTCTCAAAAGGAAATACAACGAGAACAAAAATAGAAAAATGAGACTTAATTCAACTAAAAAGCTTCTGGAAAACAAAATAAACAACCAACAGAGTGAACATACAACCTACAGAATGGAAGGAGATATTTGCGAACTATGCATTCAACAAAGGACTGATATCCAAAATCTATAAGAAACCTAAACAAATCAACAACAACAACAAAATAAAAACAAAACCAATAACCCCAATAAAAAAGGGCAAAGGATATGAACAGACATTTCTCAAAAGAAGACATGCAAGTAGCCAACAAACATGTAAAAAGACGCCCAACATTATTAATTAATCATCAGAGAAATGCAAATTGAAACCACATTGAGATGCAATATTACACCAGTCAGAATGGCTATTATTAAAAAGTCAAAACATAATAGATGTTGGTACAGATGTGGAGAAAACAGATTGCTTATACACTGTTGGTGGGAATAAAAATTAGTACAACCTTATAGAAAACAATATAGAAATTTCTTAAAGAACTAAAAATAGAACTTTCATTAAACCCAGCAATCCCACTATTAAGTATCTACTCAAAGGAAAATAATTCATTTTATCAAAAAGACACCTGCACACATATGTTTATCACAGCACTATTCACAACTGAAAAAAAAGACAAATTGGGCTTAAAATTAAATGAGAAGCCTTCTGCACAGCAAACAAAATGATCAACAGGGAACACAGACAATCTAAAAAATGGAGACAATATTTTCAAACTATGCATGTGACAAAGGGTTGATATCCAGAATCTACAAGAAACTCAAACAACTCAACAAGAAAAATACAAATAGCCCCATTAGAAAGTGGGCAAACGGCATGAACAGACATTTTTCGAAAGAAAACATACAAGTGGCCAACACATATGAAAAAATGCTCAACATCACTATTCATCAAAGAAATGAAAATTAAAATCACAATGAGATACCATCTCACATCAGTCAGAATGGCTCTTATTAAAAAGTCAAAAAACAATAGATATTGGCAAGGATATGGTAAAAAGGGAACACATACTTTGTTGGTGGGAGTGTAAATTAGTACAATCTC
The DNA here is from genome assembly GCF_000001405.40 of Homo sapiens. Taxonomy (NCBI): domain Eukaryota; kingdom Metazoa; phylum Chordata; class Mammalia; order Primates; family Hominidae; genus Homo; species Homo sapiens. Next base: position 29,108,000 of record NC_000018.10, on the reverse strand, counting down.
TGTGGAAAACAATATGGAGAGCTCTCAAAGAACTAAAAATAGAACTACCATTTGATACAGCAATTCCACTACTGGCTATCTACCCAAAGGAAAATAAATCATTTAATGAAAATGGTATCTGCACACATATGTTTATTCCAGCAATAGTCACAATAGCAAAGTCATGGAATCAATCTAAGTGTCCAGCAACAGATGATTACATTAAAATGTGTGTGTGTATACATGCACACACACACAAACACACACACACACACTGTAGAGTACTACTCAGCCATAAAAAAGAATAAAAGCATGTCTCTTGCAGCAACAAGGATGGAGCTATATTAAGTGAAATGATTCAGAAACAGAAAGTGAAAAACTGCATGTTCTCACTTGTAAGTCGGAGCTAAGCAATGGGTACACACGGCCCTACATAGTGGAACAATAGACTCTGGGAACTCCAAAAGGTGAGAGAATGGAAAGGGGATGATGGATGAAATACTAGTCTATTGCATATAATGCACACTATTTGGGTGATGGGTACACTAAAGCCCAAACTTCAACACTATGCAGTACATCCATGTAACACAACTGCACTTGTACCCTTAAATCCACAAAAAAAGAGTAAAAGCCACCTGAAATTAAACTAATATTATCAAATTATGTTAATATTTTTGTTTATTCAGTAAGTCTGTTACAGAAAGTAAAAATTCCATGTCCTAGGTCAAATATTGAATATTGATATAAATATTCCATCTCCATCTCCATTAAATATTGACACAATGCCCCTACGGTGACGTCAAATTTGTAAAAAGCAAGGGGAGAATTAAGAAACATGTATAGGAAACACAGAACCGTTGGTATAATAAAATTTTGCATGGAAAATTAGTTTGTGTATACATTTTATCTTAGTTTATTTTCCTGGAGAAGTCTCAGGCAGTCCCTAAAATATCCTTATCCTTCTGCAATTTATGTGGAAACATTACTTACACAAAGAGAGTCATTCTGGTTTTAGATTAATTTCATGTTACCTACTGTTGGTTATACAACCTAAATGAGCAGTCTCCATTATCCAGCCAGCAATGCTATGTATCATAAGTCCATAATTTTCAGGATGATTTTCAATGCATAATCAGCGAGACCACGTACATTCTACTACTAAATGATTTTGTGGATAGGACTCTATCTTTCTGCCAAGAATGTCACTAGCATGAAGGTTCTGGTATATAGTCCCTAATTTGTTTACAGGGAAGTTTGATTGCAACCATCCTTCTTATAAGTAATCCCCTGTAGAGAGTGAAGGGGTTGCAGATGGCCTCTTATCTCCTATCTGTTTTGACTATATTAAATTTAAGGATTTCTGTTTATTATACGAAACAATTAAGAGAGACCCTAGGCAACCCATCAACTAGAAGAAAATATTTTAAATACATATATACAACAAAAACTTCATGTCCAGAGTATTTAAAGTACTTATACATCAATAAAAAGACAATGTAACACGAATAAACAGGCAAAAGTTGCTAATAAATAGGATACCCAATGGCTAATAAAAGACAAACAATGTCAGGTATTATTGAGAATATAAAATAATCAGAATTCTTATACATTGCTGGTAAAAGTCTATGCAAGTACAACCATTTTGGGAAACTCTTTGAAAATACCTAGTAAAACTGAATATGGACATACTGCACCACTCCATAGTTCCAGTCCTGGTGATATACCCATTAGAAATCTGTGCATATGTTTACCAGTAAAGCATGTCCTAGAATACTCAAAGCAGCACAATTATCAATAGCCACAAACTTGAAGTTTCTAACTGCCTATCAACAATTGAATGAATAAATGCATCCCTACAACAGAATATCCTACAGCAAGGATAACTGAATGATTTACAACTATGTGCAACAAGATCAACGAGCCTTACAATGCTGAACAAAAGTAGCCAGACATCATAGAGCACACACTGTATAACTCCATTAATATTTAGTTTTTAAGAAGAGGCACAACTCTTGTCTGCTACATGAAGTCAGAAGAGTAGTTAGGGAGGTAGTAACTGCAGGGGGAACACAGGAAAATTCTGGCTTGGGAAATGTTCACTTTCTTAATCTGGATGATGTTTACCTGGGGATGTTTACTTTGTGAGATTTTAATGATACTGTACTTAAAAAAATCAGTACACATACATGGTAAAAAACACACAGAAACTACAGAAAAATAGAAGTTTCCCTTTCTGCCAACTCTTCTCCATTTAATCCAGGTCCCTTTATTCCAAGGGTAATGCAAATTAACATTCCTTTATTAAGTTGAACTTAATTCGTGTAACTCTTTTTCACATTAGGGACACTATTATTAATATGGTAAAACATAGGGGATACAAAAGTTACACTGATGTGCAGCAGCTAAAATTAATTACCAGAGAAAGCATTGGCCTTAAAAATAACAATAAAATTAGGAATTGCATTTCCCATAGGAACTCACTTTGAATTTCTGTTTCCAAAACTCTGGATTGCCTTTCTATTGAAAAATATCTATTCATGAGTTTCATCAATCTATGAATCAGTGCTTCATCATAAGAACAAATAAATATTTATTACTCCAAAATAATAAAAAAGACAGAAACATAAAAAGAGTAATGAATTTTTGAATTTTGAGCAAAACAAAAACAAAAGTCTAGTAGAAGACTTTGTGTTTTAAATGCAGCCTAGAAAATTAAAAGCTGGCTTGTAGTAAGTCTGGGCACCAAAGATTCAGCCAATGTACTCTGATCTACTTAAGTACCTAATACTATTTCTTTTTACCCTTATAGCTTGTAGAGTCACAATAACCCTGTTCCAAACAAACAGGCAGACTCTTATTTATAACACAATTCCAATCTGAGCTGAGGCATACATTTCCTAAATACACCTTAACTACAGACAGATTATTACATTACTAATTGAAGTATTTCTTTGAAATTGCTGGTCGAGAGCCAATAAAATCTCTACTGAATTATACCCAAGCCTGCTGAAAAATTACTTTCAATCAGAATGTCAATACGGCTATTAATAACCTTTTCGAAGCTGCTTTGTACTTACTGAGGTAACCAGGCAGCTGCTGTGAAACAGGGGACCTTGACTTCCCTTCCCCCGATCTTTACTATGACAGAGTAATCTGAACATCATTCATCTGCAATATCTTTCTACTGTCAGCATATGTGGCAGAAATGGTTTTAGTCTGGGCTAATATTAAAATGGTCGTAATGGAGTCTCCCACCCATTTATATGCAACTTTATTTGATGCACCTTGATATGTCTAACTGAAGCTTGACCATGTTTTTATCAGGAAAGACGTGAGGACCATTTATCAGTGCCAACGGCAGGAAGTTGATACCATAGATCAAGTGTCATTTAGCACTTGCACATCATTCAGAAAGATCAATTATTACAATATTTATTCTAAACTGCCTAAGTTGTATCCACAAAAGTAAGACATCCATCTTTATCAAGTTGCATACCTTTAATTCCTGACATTGTTAACTGGATATTGCATACAACAGCCAGCCACTGTCTGAATTCTGAGGAGGTAATAATTTTTAATTTCATTTAGACATCTCTCAATTTATCTTCATCATTCCTTTCTTTGAACTCAATAAATCCTTGTTTTATAAATTCAGTCTGTAAGCCCTTGCTGAATAAACTAATAACTACAAGATGTTGTTAAGTGAGCGGTGGCTCTGCTGCCTCATTACTTAAAACTGTGAGGAAAGATTGGGTGGAATAATCTTTACTCAGCTATATCACACTTGAACTTTGGAATCTTCACAGAATCCTTCCTTTCTATGATCATCTTGTGAACAAGAACAAGTAAGAAAAAAAAACAAGAAAAGCATTTGTAAACAAAGATGAAATTTCTAGTGACCATGTTATCAATTGAATTTCCTTAATCTATTTAAATCGCCCTAAGTTTTCCTCTTTCTGTGGAAGCTGAAATTGTATGCCAGAGAACCACTTGCTTTGATGTTAATAATTTATAGGAGTTGGCAATAGATATAATCATTTTAAGTGTTACGGGAATAGCATCTATGAATAACTTAAATGTCTGCAATGAGGACTGGGGAGAGAGAAGTAGCATTCCTATTACATATTCAAAGTATTTTTATTTACAGTGCAGAATTAAATTTGCTCCCCTAAATCAAACCAGAGGATGTGATGAATTTGCATTTAGCTATACTAAGAAACTCGACAACATATGGATTTTAAAGTTAAATATCTAAATATCCAGGTCAATATGGAGGGAGGAAAAAGGAAAACAAAACACTGAAAACAAAACTAAAACACTTACGAGACAAGGAGATGGAGGCAATTGTGGAAATATTGCAGAATTTTTTAAACTATTAGGTGCAGTAAGCAACATTTTTTGAGGTTCCTGATTTCAAGAAATGTACATTTTATCAGTACTTGCAGCACTTTTCACAATTCTTAAGAAAAGTAAAAAAAAAATTCTTAACATTCAACACTTAGCTTCAATTCATTTTTGAAGTATTCCTATTATTAATATGGAAAAACTTCTTCATCAGGAATTAACATTTACTCTCTTTCTTTTAAAATAATTCAAGGTGATATCTCCAAGTAGATGAATTCATTATCATTTAATATAATTATCAGTGCCAGACTTGTGCACTAACCCAACCTGGTGGTCCCACTATCTCTCCTTTCTATATCAATCTGAACCCTACCCAGGGGCTAAACCCAAGCTAGAGTAGTACTTTGTATTATCCTAATTATCGTACTTTTATTGTTCAAATAGTTTATCTTGGTGACTTAATACTGGTCCTGAAATAAGAGTGCCTGGACTTGAGTCCTCCCTGTACCACCAATTGGCTGTGCTGCCTTGAACAAATTGTTTATCTACTCTGTGCCTCATTTCTTCATCTGTAAGATAATAATAATAGTATTTTCTCAAAGGGATGTTATAAGACTAAGATAAGGTAATAAATGATACATGTAAAATTCTTACACAGAAAGTCAAATAATAATAATACAAAAACAATTATTCTAATAACAATGCACATTGGAAGGATTCTCTCTGCTAGGTACATTTTTATGCACTTTATATGTATGAACATATTTAACTCCAGTGAAAACCCTATGAAACAGATATTATTGTCTCCATGAAGGAGCACTAGATGATATAACACTTGCCCAAGTCACAGTAAGTTGACTGGTTGTACTGTAAGCTTCCCTAGAGCTGGACATTTGGTTTCTTCTTCTATGACTTGACAACATGGAGATGAATTATTAATGTGATCTGATGTGTAATAATTCTGAAGTGTCTAGATTCAAAATGAGCTATTTTACGAAGTTTCTTGCATAGAATAATATGTTAGGGAAAGTTCTTATAGTTATTTATTATTACCTGTTAGGTACAAGTCACTGTCTAGGTAATTCTTCAGATATTGATTAATATTTAATCCTCATATAGATTAAATAACTTTCTCAAGTTCACTGAGACAGCAGATGGCACAGCCATGCCTTGAGCAGGAAATTCTGACCCTCACATCCCTGACATATCTCCTGGAAATGAATATTTAGGCCTTCTATAAAGGTATAACAATAGGTACAAAACCCAAGATTACTTTTCCCAGGCAAACACTTGGTTTTGCAACAGGGGAATTTCGCACATTTATCCCCTATCTCTAGGAACATTCCAGTAAACTTGTAGTGAAGGAATATCAAGGCATAAACATGATGATGGAGAGACTAGGAGAGAGAAACAGAAAAACAACAACAACAACAAAACTGAAGATGCCTGCCTGTTGAAGTTGGTCAAAATCTGATGAGACTTACCCAAAACTAAGGAGAAGGATGCAACTTAGCCTGGTCTACAGCATTGTAAATACAGTGGGTAGGAAAAGGGAAAGTTTAGATTGCACATATACCCCATAAATTTGTACAAATAAAAAAAGAAAAAAATCAACTAACTCACCTAAGACACATTCTCTGTTACACAGACATATACATATTCATACATATACTTCTGCTTATATACAGATAACTGCACAAGACTGTACCCCACTAAACATATAAAACTAATAAAACAAAAGGTTCTCCCCTCTGGAATTTGAACAGCCTAATCAATAGGGTATTTAGGACTTCCCAAGTGAAGCATTACTCTGCCCAAACACTCAAAAGCAAAGCCCACCTGTTCACAAGTCACAACGATGCAGCCAGAATTGCCAAGTTATTGTTTATTCACTCAATATTAAATGTGAGTTAATAAGACAAGACTCATGAGATATTTAGAGAATTCCTCTAAATAAAAGAGATAAAGATAAATTAAGAAAATTACTCCAGAAGAAAGTGATATTAAAAAATGTACATCCTTAATACACAATGTAAAAAAAAAAACACTAAACAATGAGAGGACAAGAGGGTTTTTTTTCAATTAAATTGGAAAATTTTTGTTATAAAGTGTTGGGAAAAAATCATTACAAGTATTAAAGAATAAAGCTTGATGCTTCTTCCAAAGAGATAAAAACAAAGAAAAAAAAGATATGAGAAAAATAAAGAACATGAAGAATCAACTTGGAAGCACTACCATGTAACTAATAGATGTTTGAGAAAGTTCAGAACAACTGGAGTAGAGAAAGAAATTAAAGAAATATCTAAGAAATTTTCTCCCAATTAATAAATGTGTCTCTAGATTGAACGAGCCCACACAGTGCAATGCATGGGGGAACTATGCACTCAATTACAACATTATAGAGTTTGAGAATTTTAAGTAAAAAGAGATTGTAAATATTGGGTGAAAAAAAAAAGGCAGAAGAGATGCAGACACAGGAATAAGATCAGAACAGCAAGACTCAACAGTAATGCTGAACGCCAGAAGACGAGAGGGCAATTCCCTCCAACCTCTCAAGTGAAATTATTTGTATCTTAGAATTCTGTTCACAACCAAACTATCAATCACGTATGAAGAATTGATTGAGCTATTTTCAAACATGCAAGATCTCAAAAAATCACCCTCAGCAAATTCTTTAGAAAGTTACTTGAAAATGGAGCTCATTTTCTCAGCAAAACAAATACACCAAGAATGAGGATCCAGACAAAAAATTAATTGAATCTAGGAAAGCATTAAATGGAATCAATCCCCAAGATGACTGTAGTTCAGAAAGGTCCCAAGAAGTCAGCCTTTGGAAAGTTAGAGAATATTTGAAAACATGAGAGTTAACCAAGGGGAAAAATGGCATTAGAAAATATTTGGAGTAGTGAAACACAAAAATTTCAGGAAAAACAATGTAGTCAACATTTTCAATTTAGCTCTGCAATGAATATTTTTTTTTAAACACAAATAATGCAAACATTGTTTATGTGAATGTTACATAACTAGAAATTATAAATACAGAAACAAGAACAGGAATACAGTTAAAAGAAAGAGGAAGTACAAAATATTTGCATTTCACAAAGTGGAGAATAAAAATAATTTTGATGGACCATGAATTAAAGGTACATTGCTACAAAACGTAACCAACAGAGTTAATACAATACAATGATATATGTACTCTGATAGGGTTGTGAGATGAAATATAGGATGCTCAGCTAGACTGGAATTTTAGATAAAGAAATAATTTTCTTATATAAGTATGTCCCATGTATCATTTGAGACACACTTTTTAGAAGATAATTATTCTTTGCTGATATGAAATTCCAACGCAATTGAGCATTACATATTTTTATTTGCAAGGTGTGGCAGCCCTATATTGTCAGGATGGGGAAAGAAAGATGGAAGTTTTTATAAGCTAGCTAAATCCTTGCTTCTTAAAATAGGAAATAAATATGTAATATCTAAAGCAAGTAAACTAAAAGTTGTGTGGAAGTATATTACTTAGGGTTACTGATTTATCAGAAAGAATAAAATAAAAAGCTATACATGTTGCTCCTGCAGACAAGATGGGAGATGGGAAGGGCTGTAGCATAATACTGCTAGCTTAGCCATTTGCCTCTGTTGGTTTAATAATAGTATAAGTCTTTAAAAAATAAGTAATGAAGAGGTCACATTTTACTGGGTATCTTAAAGAAAAGCAATGCTGCACTGATGAATAGTGAAGTCTCTTGATAGGAAAACTGTGAGCAATTATAGATTGGAAATGAGATGGTAATAAGAAAATTACCATTCCAGAGTATACTGGCAGGGATAAAAATAATGTGGGGCATAGAACTAAAGCAGTAAGGTAGATGCAAATTCAGACAAGCATAGATTTAGGACAAAGAATAAAGCATTCTTCTCGCCATATCTGGCCGCTCTTTACCGTGTTCCTAATGAGGATAAAATCTGGGTTTTCATTCATAATTATAATTAGATGTATTGTTTGTAATTAATGCACACTTCCTATTACATTATGTGGGTTCAATCAGTCACCTGTAGTCTTTATCTTTACATAGTCCTGGCTGAGCATGCTCTCAGTCATTTCTATCAGCAACTACCTGACCTAAGAGGACCCCAGCTGAGGATGGGAGTCAGCATTTTCATGTATAGGTGTATTAGATCATTTTCACATTGCCATAAATACATACCTGAGGCTGGGGAATTTATAAAGAAAAGAGGTTTAATTGGTCACAGTTCTGCAGACGTATAGGAAGCATAATGCAGACATCTTCTCGGCTTCTAGGGATGCCTCAGGAAAGTTACAAACGTGGTGGAAGGCAAAGGGGGAACAAGCACTTCAGATGGCTGGAGCAGGAGGAAGAGAGAAAGGATGGAGGTACTACATAATTTTAAACAACCAGATCTCACAGGAACTCACTCACTATGATGAGGACATATCAAGGCAGATATTACTAAATGATTCATGAGAAATCCACCCCATGATCCAATTACCTCCCACCAGGCTCTACTTCTAATATTGGGGACTACAATTCAACATGAGATCTGGTGGGAACACAGGTCCAAACCATATCAGGAGGATAGATAAACCAGGTGCCTATTAGGAGACTGTCTTTTCCAGTATTATGTTTGAGTTATTTGTGGGAGTAAGATGTTAGAAACTTCTCCCACTGGTTTCATTAACATCCTGATAAAAAGAACATTCTAAGAAATAAAGAGTCTGTCACAGCTATGTGCAATCCAACATACTGGAATCTGAGAGAAAAAGTCTAAAAAAAGTATTTTAGAACCTACCTGAAATTTAGAAATAATTGAATTAAGTTGTCAAATACAAGCATAACTGTATTCAAAACTACATAGGTTTTAAATATTTTCCAACTCTGGCTTTAGCATGTCCTTCATTCATATACTAGATCCTTGATATGGAGTGTATAAAAGGCCACTGTCTGAAAGATAAGGACTGCAGATTCATGCATACCCTTTCTTCTTCCAGGACCTGCATAGATTAGAAATCACCAGAGAGAGACATCAAGTGTAATCACACTGAAACTAAGAAAAGTTTTAAAGGAAAATAAATAATACCTATACTATCAGTTTATGTTTCCTTTTAATTCATAGACTTGCTACAAATAGACTTCAAATTCATAATACATGCTGCATGCTAAGAAATGCAAATTACAGAAGTGATACTACTTCAAGATCTTTCTCTACAGCACAAGAGCCAAATCAGTCTAACTGCCTTAACTGAAAGGTGGATGATAGGATATCAGAGGCATGTTTTTATTATTTCTGCACACTATTAGTGACAAACAAATAAGAAATTTTAAAGAGGATTAACAGAAAAAAAAATCATATCAGATGCATTTTTTAAATTCTGCAGCATAAAATAAGTTCAACCCTACTAAAACTCAGAATTATTCTTTTAGATTATATTAATTGCCTAAAGACATACTTAGAAAACAGCTGCAATTTTCTTTTTTTTACTAAGTAAAAAAAATCATGTAAATATTAAGTAAGACCAAGACATTTAAAAGAAAGTGCAGCTACACAACTACTTTGGAAAACAGTTTGGCAGTTTTTAATATAAAATTATATGACACAGGAATCCTACTCCAAGGTATTCACCCACAAGAAATGAAAATATATTTCACACAAAGAAATAAAGAAACTTGTATGCAAAAGTTTTGGCAGCTTTACTCATAATAGACCTAAAACTGGAACAATTCAAATGTTTTTCCATGGGTAATGCATAATCTGTGGTATATCCACAAAATGGAATATTATTCAGCAATAAAAAGAGAAAGCACTATTGATTCACCCAATTCACACATGAATGAATCCCAATACATTCTCCCAAGTGAAAGAATATAGTTTCAAAAGGTTGCCAATTGCATGACTCCATTTATTCTAGCAAAGGCAAAAATACAAGAGAAGAGAAAATATCAGTGGATGCCAGGTTCTCTTCTATATTATTTTTTTGCAGGGTCTGAATATGAAGGGGCAACATGAGGGAATTCTTCGAGATAATAGAATTATTCTGTATTCTGTCTCTGTTAGTGGTTCTGATAATCTATGTATAAGAACTCATATGACTATACACCAAAAAAGTGAAATTTACTACATGTAAAATTTTTTAAATAACATACAGTAACATAGTTTATCAAGGTGCAATGAAAAGGAGATTGGACACAGCTTTCAAAAGAGATTTAAAAAGGAAATAGAAGTGTCAAATATCAAGCAAAGTCATATTTGGGGATATCTCACCAAAATGAATCTGAACCAAAGAAAACACAGTTGATTCTTACTAGAAATAAATATGGGCCTACACCAGGAGTGAAACATGTAAAATATTCTACTGGTCAGCAATTACACTAAAACAGAAATCTCAGAAAACCAACAGACAGAATCAGAAGTAAGCAGGGCCCACCATTGCCTGTTCTTGGGAGGAGTTCAGTTAGTTGTGTTCTAAAATGTTGCTAAATTCTAAAAGCAGACAATTACTCATATACAATGAAAGCATTACCCTATTTTAGCTAGAAAGAGAGCCAGAGATACCATGTGCTAATAGACTTCGTCAGCTATTCGGAAGTGAAGACAGGGTGCAAATAACTGGCTGCCCTGTACACACATTCAAGAGAAGGCTAGTAGGGCATGGGGAAAGTTGAACAGCAATATATCCAGTAATCTGATAATTTAGAGAAATATTTACATTCTTAGCCCCTGGTAAAATAATTCTATCAACAGAAGAGACATTTTTTTGAGAACAATGCCTCTGCAAGGTAAATGCAAGAGCCAAGTGCCTGGGTTTGAAGTGGGTATCCCATTTCCCTAAGGAAAAAAGAAGTTACTCTTCATGAACTGTAGGAGACTAATTTGATATTTCAAAAAAGAAAACATGAGATGAAAGTAGAAGACTGGAACACGGTTAAAAATTTAATGGAGAGAAGGCTTAGGGAAGAAAGCATCACTACTTTTCTATATGATTCAAGAAGGATCTTAAAAAGAAAAATAAGCGTGTATGTGTGGTGTAAAAGGAAGTATTATTTGTGAGGTGATGTAATATTACCACCAACACTATCTCCATCCACAACTTCCTCCTCACCACAACAGAGTTTCCCCTACAAAATAGCCACAAAATGTAAAATTTATTACTTACTGAAAAGCAGAAAAGGTCTGATCTCTACACAAGTTAGCACAAGGTTAAAACAGTGCGGTCCGCGAAGGCTGGGGTGCAGCTGATATTTGAGTTACCTAAATATTTGAATGGTCTGTGCTAACACTTCCAGAAAAAATCAATAAATAAATGACTGCTACAGCATTTCTATAAATTACTTTCTGCAGCTGTCCTGATGGATTGCACCAGGTGAAACATATAACCTCTGTCTTTAGATGGGAGGTGGGGGTGGAGGCGCTTTTCCGGGATAAATTTCACATGGAAGGTTCTATTGTCCTATTCAGAAATCCTTTTCTTTTCGCCCCAGATGCCTCCAATTTGCAGCTTGGAAGGTTAAAAGGAGTTTGCTTGCTGCCTTGCCTAGGGTATTAATCTGTGTTATATCTCTATATTCTGTTTGCCCTTTTCATATTAGAGTGCTCCCATTTGATACTAACAAGAATAAAAATAAATTAGTAGAGAAGGCCTTCATATTACCAATTAAAATATGAGAAAATTGAGGGTCAAGTATCAATATGTTCAGGATCACATAGCTTGTAATTAGTAGAGGCACAAATTAAAATCAGTATTTTTTTTCTTTTCCATTTCCTTTTTTTTCTCCTTTGTTGTAGTTGTTTTGTTTTATTCACATCAGGGTAACATTCACCTATGAACAAACTCAAAAAATTTAGAAAACATGCTCAAAAGAGAAATCCAACATTTTCGAAAGTGGAAAAGATAGGCAGAGGCATTAACAATAATTTTTTACAAGATTAGTAGCATATACTTATTCAAATACATCTAGGAGATAAACAATAGCATAGCTATATATTTAGGTTGATAGAAAAGTAATTACTTTTTTTGCCATCCCTTTAGTGGCAAAAACTGCAATTACATTTGCACCACCCTAATAGTATTGCATTCTTGGGCTAAGAATAAATAATCACATGGACAAATTATTACTTAAAGAAAATATTATGCTTGCATTTTACTTTAGAATATAGATGTGTTTGCTGTTGCTTTAAATTTTTTTAACTTTTATTTTAAGTTCAGGGGTACATAGGTTTGTTACATAGAGAAACTTGTGTCATGGGGTTTGTTGTACAGATTATTTCATCACCCAGGTATTAAGCCTTAGTATACAGTATTTATTTTTCCTGATCCTGTCCTTCCTTCCACCCTACACCCTCCAAAAGGCCCCAGTATGTGTTGTTACCCTCTATGTGTCCATGTATTCTCATAATTTAACTCCCACTTACAAGTGAGAACATGCGTTATTTGGTTTTCTGTTCCTGTGTTAGTTTGCTAAGGATGATAGCCTCCAGCTCTATCCATGTCCCTGCAAATAACATGATCTTGTTATTTTTTATTTTTGCAATAGAGAAAAGAAATTGTTTTCATATTGAAATCGTTACTTACATCAATATTACAACTTAAACTTATTCCATGAATAGCAAAAAGAACAAAGCTGGAGGCATCACACTACCTGACTTCGAACTATACTGCAAGGCTACTTGTTATTATGTGTCTTTTTTATCCTGTCTTACCTGTTCTCATGGGTGAGTGGTGGGATTTCTTTGTGGTGTTAAATTGCATTTTCCTAATGATAAATAATGTTGAGCATCTTTTTATGCGCTTATTGGCCACTTTTACATCTTCTTTAAATAAATGTCTATTCAAATTATTTGCACATTTTAAATTGAGTTGTCTTTTGATATTTGAATTTTAAATGTTCTTTATATATTCTGGGTAAGTTTCTTGTCAAATCAGATACATAAATATATATCTATATATTTATATATGTATATGTATTTTTTTTTGCAAATACTTTCTCCCATTCTTTTCACTTTTGTGATGGCATCTTTTGAAGTCACAGAAGTTTTCATTTTTATAAAGCCAATTCATCTTTTCTTTTTCTTTTGTTACTTGTGTTCATGATGTCATACTTGAAAAACTACTGCCTAACCCAATATCACAAACATCCACTATGGTTTCTTTGCTGGTTTTAACTCTGACACTTAAGTCTATGATCCATGTTGACTCAATTTTTGTGCATAGTGTGAGGTAGGGATTCAACTTTATTCTTAAACATGTAGATATACAGTTGTCCTGGCATGATTTATTTAAAACACTGTTTTATTTGTGTGTATTGAATTGTCTGGGCAACTTTGTTGAAAATAACCTTTATATTAATAAGCTATTCTTTGTATTAAAGTGAGTTTCTTGTTGAATAATAGATTTGTGTTATGTTTTTGTATTCAATCTGACAATTTCTGCCTTTTATTTGGTGGGTTTACTTGGTTCATATTTAATGTGACATTTTTAATATTGCTGGATTAAAATCTAACATTTTGGTAGCTATTCTCAATTTATCCCTTTTGTCCTTTGTTACACCTCACTCCTTTATCTTCCTTTCCTTGGATTAATTGAGCATTTTTCATTGTTTTATCTCCCCTAGTGTCTTATTTTTATACCTCTTTTTAAAAAATATTATTGGTTGTTCTATGTTTATAATATACATCTTTAGTAAATGCATTTTATCTGCACCTTCAAATAACACTATACCACTTTACCTGCTGTGTAAGAACCTTGAAAAATATATAACTAATTGTTTCTTTTATCTTTTGTGCTAATGTCATAAAATGTTCTTGTAATATGTAAGAAACATGATACTTTGCTATTTGCTTTTACTTCAATCAGGCAGTTACCTTTAAGAGCAATTAAAAGAATGAAGACAAAATGAAATTCATCTTACCATTATTTGTTGTATTTTCAAATGTACTTCCTTTCCTTGTGAACTTAAATTTTCTGTATGGTCTTATATTTCTTTCGTGTGTGAACTTTAATAGCTTTGTTGAATAGACCTGCTGGCAATGAGTTCCCCAAGTTTTTCTCTGCTGAGACTGTTTTCATTTCTACTTTACTTTTAAAACATATATCACTGGGTATAAAACTCTGGATTGACTTTTGTTGTTGTTCTTTTTCAGCTCTTTAAATATATCACTCCAAATTCAAAGTCTGTTGTAATTTTTGCGTTTATTCCTCTGACTGGAGTTTTGCTTTATTTGCCTGTTTTTTCACCAACCACCTTCAAGATTTTCTTTTAGTCTTTTGTATTTAGCCATTTGAGTGTGATATATTTAAGCGTGCTTTGTTTGATATTTATCTGATTTTATATTTCTTTAATTTTTATATCTGTGGTTTGATATTTATCATTATTATAGAAAATTTGGGCCATTATTTATTCAAATATTACTTCTGCCTTGTTTTCTCTCTCTCATTGTCTTCTTACTAGGATGTCAATTGTGTGTATTAGAACTTTACTATTTACCTACAGATTTGTATTCTCTGTTCTTTTTATTTATTTATTTATTTTCACTTTACTGTGGTTTTGTTTAGCTAATTTCAGTTTCAAATTTGTATCTTCAAATTCACTGACTTTTAATTGAGCTGTTGAGTCTACTTATGATCCTATAGAACACAGTCTTTATATGTTATTGCATTTAAAAAAAAAATCTATTCCTATTTGATTATTTCTTATAGTTTCTTTCTCTCTGCTGAATTTATCCATTTACTATGTTGTCCTCCTTCTTTATTACAAAACTTAACATATTAAAATGTTATTTTATACTTCCTGTAAAATAGTTTCAACATCTGTGCCCTGAGATCTAATTCTACTGATTAATTTATCTCTTAACATTGTGTCTTTTTTTTCTTGTCTTTTAATCTTTGGTTGAAAGATGGTCATCACATGTATAATAATACAGAACAGAGGTAAATCGATCTTGTTGTTGTTGTTTTTGTTTTGTTTTGTTTTGCTTTGGTGACTGGAAATGTGCATACTCTTAGCTCTGCTAGGCCTTTAGCATTTGAGTTAAGATAGAGATGACCTGGCTTTGAGGATTTTCTTCCTTAATTAACCTCAGAGTACCACTCTCTTCAGATACCCTAGCATTCCCTTAGGTTTAAGGTGGGGGAAGATTTGCAAGATAGCTTTTAAATGTTGATTTCACTTTTAGCTTTGGGTATCCCCTTTGCACTGTGCTTTGGGATTGGTCTGTCTTCATGCTCTTGAAACTCTTCTTGCAGTATTCATTGCTATTTGTTACTTGATACTTGTTAGGCTCATGATGGTGGTTGGGAGCAGGAGTGAAGGGGTAGGGGTCATTTCTATTGTGTTGATTTAGTCTCAGTATTAAGGAGGCAATGCGTACGTGATTGTCAGACCCAAAATCTTTTTAGTTTTTCTACCTCCCATCCCCAAACTGTAGTTCTATTCCCAGCAAGTATTCTGGCCCCCTCCCCTCAGGTAGGTTTTTTTTCCCATTACCTACATCCAGCTATCAAGGCTTACTGCAAATACACTAAATATGATCGTGTTTGATACCCTCCCCTTAATACAGATTAAGACTTCTGTTCTGAAAAGAGAATGGGAAGAAGCATTTGGGTAGAGTTTTGTGTCCTTCCCAGGCAGTTACTTTTCCTCCCTCAGGTCTGCTCAAGACAGGACACTTTACCACCATTCTAGGCAATTGGGGTTACTAGAGGAGAAAACCTGCAAAGGATATGAACTCTCCTTATGTGCCCAGACCCAAGGGTTCACACTCTTTCACCAACCTACACTTGACCTCCACCAATTTATGAAATATTCCAACTTACTTCTTTTTACTTGTGTCAAGCTACATCTGTTCCAAGTTCTGGCATTTCATCTTTTTCTGTAGGTGTCTGTATTTCCTTAGATCTTAGGCCAGTTTCTTGCACTGTGACCACAAGTTTCTGTTTGGCTCAAAAAACTCATGAACTTACAGTGTGTCCAACTATTTTTCATCTAAGTGTAGAAGTGATGCTATTTCCAGCTCTATATATTCCCCAGGAGAGTCTAGAAGTGTATCTCTACCATTATATTTTGTTTTTTAATTGCTAAAAAAAATTTTTAGGATTAGACTATAACATTGATTTAACTAAATAAAGCAAAACTCCAGTAATTTCATCTTCTCCAGCTTTCTCTGTAAGCCATTTTATTCCTATCCTCAAATCTGAAACAAACCACTCTGTCTAGTTTTCACAGTCATTCTTCTGTTTCAGTAATGCCAATCAAACTCGGCAAGTACTAAAGATGTGCTCTAACCTAATGGCTCTACCACTTTTAGTTTAAAACATTAAAAATTATCTGATGAGAATACTTTTATTAATAATTTATTATCTAGTGGTATTACAATGCAATTTGCTTAGTCTTACCCAAGGGAAATCTGATTCCATACATTTGTGAGCGAGCTAGAAACTCTGGATTTCTGATAAGCCGCTCTGGTATTCTGATGCCTGTGGTTCCATGATCTCATTCCCTAAGAAACTCTCCTAAGCCTCTATCCCAGTAGACTACTGCTTTTTAATTTCTACCATTTGCATTTTTCTTGGTCTCACATCTCTGTCTCCAACTTTTGCCTATCTTTCAGTGTTTTTCTACTCCAAATCCTCTCCCTGAGAGCAGAGGTGATAATCAAATAATAACTGGCAAATTCTCTGCTCTGACCAATCAGAACACAGGCTACCCCAGTCAGAATAGATGTCAGCAGTAAAGAACAGAACTGCTGTGCTGTGCCTACCAGCTAATATCAGGCTTCAAGGAATCTACCTGGAGCTTTAATGTTTCTGTAAACATTAATTTGCATTTCTGTAAATATCAGTTTGTATGCATTATTTTTTTAGTAATTTATTGAGATAAAATTCACTTACTATAAATTCACCCATTTAAAGTATTACATATAATTGCACACAGTGTTTGCCATCTGATGTTTTACTGATTTGTGAATGTGTATTGTCTTCACTAAAATATAATTTTAATTATTTTTTAAGAAGAGGTATGTCTTCTTATCTAGAATTTTCAATTGTTACTTAGCTAGTTCCCTCCACCTAGTAGTTGTTCAGTGAACATATTTTATTGAATGATTGAGTAGACAATGTTGATTCTTAAATACTCAAGTTATTTGAGTGTATAGCTATGTTTCAATAGTTGCTATATTCAGGGGTGTAAATACATTAAAATAGAGCAACAATCACAGCAATTTTTTTAAAAAAGCACATTGTTGACTAACCTTATGGATGCAGGCTTATAAAGATTTAAATAAATGTGGGAGCAGAAATTTTACTATTTTAATACAAAGCAAACAAAAAATTCAAAAATAAGAACACTCGATACATACATGTACACATAATATATAATAAGGATATAGAGTATTTTGCATTTCTCAACTGAGAATCAAACTGAGTAAGATATATGCTCCTTCTAGTCAGTGTCTAAAGCAGACTCTTTAGACATGTTGCTATATCACAAATCTTCTGGAAATATCAATATTCCAACATAAGCATTCTCAAGAAGCCGATTTTGTTACGATGCCCACACAGCATTAAAAAATATACCTCAGTGAGCAGCACTGAGAGAAAAGATAATATATTTTGCAGTTTAACAGTTATTTTTCTTTCTTTACCAATATTTTAAGGTAATTTTAAGACTGAACTATTTGGTGTACACACTTTTAAATCTAGGACACATTTCTTAATCTCCATAAGTCTGTTCTTACCAGTTTTTCTAGTTATAACTCTGCTGTCAAGTATACTTTATTCCACTGGGACTGAAATCCTCTACACAATCTGTGTTAAAAAATATTCATAAATCATCTAAAACACAGCTGCCTATATTTCAGTCAGGCATAACAAAAATACTCCAGGCATAGCTTATATTTTTGTCTCTACCAAGTTAAAAGAAAACAGGGCTAATCAGAGCAAGTCAATAAAGTTTGTCTTCTGTGTCACTAGCTCCACAATGTTTTTCTTATCAATACTTATTTATGTTTTTTCCTATCAATATTTACTTCTCTCCATCATTCAGGTCTTCAATTTTCTTCACCCTTTATCACTACCCCTTTGTCATATCTGGTAGGGATATAGTTGTCATTTAGGTGGTAGAGAAAAAGAATTTCAAACAAAGACCATTGTTTTATCTTTGGTTATGTAGATTCCCTGAATGAATATCTGACCTACACACCCTGAAGATGAATGCTTTAATCCTTTTAGAGCCATGCACAACAATGTAGATTTTCATATTAAAAAACAACAAAACTCAAGAGACTGAGTTTTGAAATTGTTGGGCTTTGGGTTATTACTGAAAGTTCAAGGAGTATGGAAAGATCCCTGTATCATTTCTTTCAGGGCTTTTTCAAGTTCTGAAGCATGTCATTTCTTAATTCAATAAATATTGTGTCAAACAATGTTCCTTCATTAAGAATGTAGCAGTGATTATGATACACAAGGTCTCTACTGTTATTTGGTTTATAAGATTAGAAAGGAAATATATCTTATGAAAGTAAATGAATATGCAAGATAATTTCAAATATGAATGAGTGCTATATTGATACCCCTCCGTGGCCCCCACCCCTAAATTAATGTAATAAATTGCCTTTGAGAAGAACCCAGAGAAGAAGCGTGAGCATTTTACACAGAGTAGTCAAGAAAGTTCTTTCTATAGGTGGTGACATTGGCAGTGAGCCCTGTGTAATGACAGAGAAAGATAAGTAGTTCAAGAGAATAAAGAGGCTTCCTTTCAGAAGTTCTATCTTGAGGAACAGCAATTGCAAAAGCTTTAAAGGGAAATAAGCTCAATATATTGGAGAAATAGCGAACAGGTCAATGTAGCTCAAGCATAGTGAATCCTGGGAAAGATAGAATGATAGATGTTGTGGAGCAAAGGAAGGGAGATATCTTGTAGTATCTTGTGAGTCGAGATAAGAAATTTGGATTTTTATTATCTAACTAGAATGACAAGCCATGGAAAGGTTTAAATTAGTGAAATAGCATAATCTGATTTACATTTAAAAATATTGCTCAGATTATGTATGGAAAATGTATTGCAGGTAGGGGAGTTGGAAACAGGAAGATCAATTAGAAGACTATAACCAGGTGAGAGATGATGGCTTAAACTAGGATAATACAGTGGAGATGAAAGTAGAATATGAGTGAAATACATTTAAGATCTGCCAAAAGATGGTTCGATAGCTTTAGAATCAAACATACCTTGGCTTGAAGCTTTCTCTAAAACTGACTATGTATGGGACATTGAACAAGTTATTTAATTTTATGACAGTCTATGCAGGCAGCTCCTCAGTTATGAGCAGCACCAACATGTGGTAAATTGTAAAACTGATGAAAAATTCTTTTCGTCCCTGAATTTATGGCTTGTGGTGTGATTTTGCAGGTATTTTTATCAAGAGGTGGGAACTGTTTCTTCACCTCCTGACTCTGGGTTGGCCATGTCATATTTATTGGCCCAGAGAATATTAGCATTATGATGTGAGCAGAGACTTAAAACCTTTTGCACAATGATGTTTTCTTGCTATTTATGCTGTTTGGATCCCTGCCACCACCACATTTGACAAACCCACAGCTAGCCTGCTGTTTGAGGGTGACATGTGGCCTAGCCACTTCTGTCGTCACAGCACACAGCCATTCAGTTCCCAGCAGCAGTCTTCCAAATGACTAACACGTAACTCTATTGAATGAGTGAGGTTGGTCAAGACCAACAGAAGAACCACACAGTTGATAACAAATTGATAACCCATGGAATTCATGAACTAAATAGTTACTTCAAGCCATTAAGCTTTGGGGTGGCTTGTTAAAAGCAATTGGTAACTGACACACAGAGTCACTGAGAGTTAGGGTAGGAGATGATTCAACACTAATTAGAGTTTGTGAATAGAAACACTGAAGGTGTAAAATTTTCCATGGTGATTTACAATATTTGTCAGAAGACAACAATAAATCATTACATTGATTGACAGTGAAGGGAAATAGCTCATCTCGATGCTAACAGAGACAAATAACATTCCTTTTTAAACATGTTCTGTTTCGAACATTCCCACTCACAAATTCTCACTTACTGAATTTGAAGTTTGAGGGTACTGAGAAGAGTAGACACATACTATAGAATGTCAACCTAGAAACCATATAAGAAATGTTTTTTACTGTGACTATTTAAATTTATAATAAAACATTTTAGATTTCCATTTTTTCTTCTCAAAGTTACACGAACCAAAATTTTCCACCACTCCTTTTTTCAACTGCAATGGAAAATATATTTTTTGACATGAAAACTTTTGTGGATTTCTCTGGAGGTCTACCTTTTATAAATAAAATTCTACTTCTGGGAAAATAGAAATGAAACTCCAGAAAACCAACTAGCTAAATATCTTTCACCATAGAAACATTATATTAATTCTACATGTCTATGTATGCTTTTGTGTAATTCCTGGATATTACAAATATACATCAGAAACAGAAAGAATAGCATCTGGGTTTCTCGATCTAGACATTACCTATTATTTTGGCTTGAGCAAATCATTTATCTGCTCCGCTTCTTTATTTCACATCTGTAAAATGAGAGTGTTGAGTTACATTCTCTAAGGTACTTTTTGCTTCACAGATTCTATGATTTATGATGCAGCTTCTTATTTTTAATTTTGTAACCTCTAACATATACTAACCATTTAATTTGACAATGCCACTACTCTCACATGAGTGTTTCTTGTTTGTTTATGTAATTATATGCACATAAGAAGACTCATTCATTAAGTTCCCATCTTCTTTGTGGCTGTATGCAGTGAATGACCCAGATATCAGTTTATCTCCTCTGTTCAATATAAGCCTCTTCCCAATCCATATTATGTGGTCACCTGTCCGGAAAATGCAACCAAGACTGATCACCACAGGTGCACCTTCAACCTTGATATTGATTTACCATCTTGATTTATAAAATATATCATGGTTTCCAATAAATGTTATTCAGCTGTGTTTGATTGCTTCAATGGCTGAAGAGTTTCCTTACTGATTTCTTTTAATGGCAATCACATTAAGCATCCCATCTATTTTAAGCAATTTTTTGGAACACGTGAATAAGTTTCTTGCATTCCATTCTTTAAACTATTTTTATAACGGAACAAAAAACTATAAAACCATTTTTTGTGATATAATAGTTTGATTCTTGTATTACTTTGTGTTCTTGAAAAAGTTAAATTGTCCAGAGAGAAGAGTAATTATGATATAATACCAAATAATTGTTGTGGGCTTCTTAACTAATGTTGTCCCTAAAAGTGATAATAGATTAGCAAGCACAGAGATAGAATAGGAGACCTGTTGTTAGGCCTGATTTGAAAGGGTTCAAAAACACTAATCAAGATAAAATAATTACATCAACAGCTCAGTTTACAATGTGGAATTTTCTTTACTAATGTAATATATTGTTTAAAGCATTTTCTCAGAAAACAAAATTAAAATGCATTTATCTAACCTATACCGTTAACTAATGTACCATATTAATTAATTTAAACCTAGTTTTTAATAGCATTTTCAAATAAAATTTACTTGCTGGACATTCAGTATGATTTAATAGTTATCAAAATGGAAGAAATAAACTTGACGAATTAACGTCAATGCACAAGTTTATACATTAGGAGTAGAAATTTGGACTGGCAGGTTAGGCCTACTAAGCAAAGTGAAAATCTGTGCAGCTGGGGGCAGCAAAATGTGTATAAACAGACCTTTCTTATGGAATGTAAGTAAATCTAAGGGGTGGCAAAGCTCACCCTGGGATCTTCTAATTATGCATCTGTTATTCCAATGCTCAATCCCATCCAGGATCTGACTCAGAAACCCTAGGCTACAGTGGTAGCATCTGTGTCTTTGAGAAGCTCCACAGAAGATTCAGAGATTCACCCTAGCTTGAGAGCCACTAATACGGACAAATTACGACAAAGGAGAGGAAAGTGATCCAAGACAAATAAGACTCTGAGACTAAGCAAAAATTAAGCTCCTTATTAACTAGTATCTTCGTGTGATCTTTGCAGAAGCAACTGAAGTCACATGAACACTCTTAGCACAGCAACAAGATGTTAAATAGAAACTTAAATGAATATCAAAGTGCAGCCAGAATTATTGTCTTAGTCTGTTTTGTACTGCTCCAACAAAAATACCTGAAAGCAGATAATTTATAAATAGAAATTTATTTTCTCACAGTTCTAGAAGCTGAGAAGTCCAACATCAAGGCACAGGCAGGTGGCAGGTTTGATTGTCTGGTGAAGGCTGCCCTCTGCTTCCAAGATGGACCCTTGTTGTTGCATTTTCTGGAAAAAAGGAACACTGTGTTCTCAGATGGCTGAAAGCAGAAGGGTAAGTAAGCAGAACACCCTGTGAAGTCTCTTTTATAAGGGACTTAATCCCATTGAAAAGGAAGGAGCAATTTTGGCCTTGTCATCTCTTAAAGGTCCCACCTCTTAATACCATCACATTGCTAATTAAGTTTTATCATCTGAATTTAGAAGAGGACACATACAAACCATATCAAGCAGGTCATGGATACGAAGAGAAATAGATATTGTCAAGAAGTAAATATGAGTTAGTAAAAATAAAAAGAGAGTCTAGTTAGAGGTGTTTTACATATGTGTGTCTGTGGGTGTGTGTGTCATATATAAATTAGGGAAAATTAGATCAGTGGAGAACTATTTTTTTTTAACCAAGCACAAATTTAAATTTAGACAGTAAATGGTATAAAATTCTAAGAGATGGAAATCAGTGGGAAGTGTTCTTAGTTAATTGCTTCTATTTTTATTCAGGAAAACACAATTGTCATACCCAAACTTGTTACCCAGCACATAGAATAAGAGGTCTCTCATTTAATTTCTGGACCACACCAACTATCTGAACAGACATTTGATACTGCTCCTTGTGCTCAGACAAAAAAAAATACTTTTAAAGATTAAGTTGAACATTATTTTGGTCTTACTTTCTTCCCTGTAATTCCATGTCTCTCTCTTTTGTATTAAAGATGCTATCCAATTATATTTTCTATCTCATTAAGACTTTAGAGGGACATTCTCAAATTTCCTTACCAGAGCTATTACAAAGTAACCAGCATGACAGACTGCAAGAGAAAACGTAAGCTATAAAGAACTAGAAAATACCTAATGCTTAGTTCCACTGCCTTGTAAGTTATAACTTACATACATTTCCTAGGGCAATTGCCTTGCTCTGCTGTGGTTTCCTACCCAGGTTGCTTTCCAAATTCATGTTCAGAAGGAAGCATTGCAATTTGCAAATGGCCAAGAGGCCCCAACCCTGATTCTGTAGGATTGTCCCTTGCTGATTGAGCTTTGACTAGATGGCAAGCATTATGTTAAGTGATAGGTAAATATTTATATGCATGACAACCTTACCAGGGAGGCATAATTGGTATAATTTGCCAAGGATGTGTATTTACAGCCTTGTCTTGAAACATGGTTTGAAACTTCTCTATAATGTTGCCTGGGGCATGGTGATAGGTTTGTTCTTCTCTCCCTCATTATTTCTATGTTTTGTAAGGAAGTGCAGTATGTCTCACTGTCAGCCATTACAAGATTGGAAGCTATTGAAGGTCAGAGATGTAAACTGTGCTCTCTCTTTCATACATACTATTATATAGTAGGTGATGCACAAATATTGAGTAATTGCCACCAGCCTCCTCTTTCCTGTCATAATACTAATTGCATCCAGGACTGTTCAATTCAATTCAACAAACATGTATTGACAACTTCTCATTTTGCTGGCATGAGACCAGTTTTAACTTGAGCTTTCTGCCCCAAGGCAAATTCTAAAATATTTCCCCAAATTGAAAGTAAAACAGTATCAGATCCCTTTGCCAGTGATCAGCAGGAGCCAAGTTGGAATTAGCAGCAACAATGAGATCAGCCCTGAGAGTCAAGAAAACATTGCTGTCTCTGAATTGAGATTTTCACTCTGGCGTTACTTCAGCTCACCACTCGTCCAGGCAAACAAAATTAAGCCAAGGCATTAGATTGGCTAGAACTGCAGCTTCTGGACCGAGTCTAGTAAAAAGTCCCCATTGCACATGAGTAAGTGAATGGCGCTTATATGGTGAGATCTCTGATTATTTACTATTTTTTTTAAAACTAGGCTTATCTATTACTAATTTGTATATTCTTGGGCAGGATTTTGTCTATGAAAATAAATATTCTTAAACGATGACTGAAATCCAGTGACTGATTATTGTGATGTTATCTTTTGAAAAATCTGAAATTACTTTCAAAACCAGTTTATAAGCCACATAAAATAGGTAAAACAGACACATCTTTTGTTATCAACCATGCAAGAATATCAGTTTTCTTGCTCTGCTATAACAGTTAATTATTTTTTTTGTTTGTTTTTGTTTTGTTTTAATTTTATTATTTTATTTTATTGTTCCATAAGTTATTCGGGTAAAGGTGGTATTTGGTTACAAGAGTCAGTTCTTTAGTGGTGATTTGTGAGATTTTGGTGCACCCATCACCTGAGCAGTATGCACTGCACCATATTGTAGTCTTTTATCCCTTTCCCCCCTCCCACTCTTCTCCTCAAGTCCCCAAAGTTCATTGTATCATTCTTATGCCTTTGCATCCTCATAGTTTAATGAACATCGCCATGTTTGATTTGAATCTGACTTGACAACCCTGGCTGAGAAAGAATATCTGACTGTTAAAAAGCAATAACAAGAGCAAAAATATTCTCAAAATCCGTAGATTTGGAATGTATAATTGTATGGGTTTTTAGTGCACAGACATCTATTTATCACTTAACATTCATAAAGGTAGGTAGTGCCGCCCGTAGAGACAGGAATGATTAGAATTTATTCAGACAATATACAAACAAGAAAACCAAGAACAGAATTAAGAGAAAAAATTAGGAGAAAAGGAAAATTGAGTCAGTTTAGCGCAAGCCCATAAATACAGAAAGCCATGTTAATGATTCTTATGATCATGATAACATCTGTTAAGTCCACGAGTGGGGAGGTATCTCAGGAAAAATACTACAACTGACTGGGATTAGAAGCAGGGCATAGGAATAATTTCTCAGGGACTCAGTGAAAGATACCCTTGTGTAGGCAACAGGTTAGACATGTTTTGATACAAGGCTGGTCAGTACAAACATGTAAAAGTGGTTACAAGGCTACAGATGAACAAAAAGGTTAAGATGAAGCCGGGCCACTATACAATGCAGACTAACAAGAGTCATCCCAGACGCATGGGAGGAATTATCTGAAGGCACCCAGATCAAAACTTTTGGCCCTATTCTCTCCTTCTGTGTTTGTAAGCAGTGTGACCACACCACCCTATTTACACCACTGCTTGAAGCTGATATTCCCTTTCCATTCCCAGCCTCAAGACCTGTCATATCCAAACTGGATAACTGTAATCTCCTCTCCCTTAGGCTTCCTAGTGTGAGCAGATGCTGTGATATCTCAAATTGTTATTTGTTACAATCAGAAAAAAATATATAGTTTATGAAATATTCTTTGGTAAGAAGAAATAAATTCCATGCCTTTTTCTTTACCAGTGAAATGTTATATGAAAGCTAGGACCATTAATTAGTCTAACTTGAGAAGATCTCTGCTATCTAAAACCTCATCTCTCAAGATCTGAAATAACCTTAATTATGGACAGGATAGAAGTAAACATAGCCTATGCATAAGTGTTCACAGGAATGCTGGATCCGAGAGGAAATGAAAAGTAGTCACATTCGACATTTATTAAGATTCTACTATTTGCATTGAAAAACATCAAGATGAATGATATATCATTCCTGCCATCAAAAAAATTCACTGTAATTGAAAAAAAAAATTTAAGTCCAAAGTGACAAATGGCTTCAGCTAACGGATAATGAAAGTTTTATTAGCAAGTATATGAAAAAAAAAAAAACAGTGGACTTAGACTTGCACAGTTTTCAGAAAAAAAGCAGTTTCAAAATAAGGAAATAGCAGCAAAATATCAGATTACTATATGCACTTATTTTTGAAGAAATATTTCTTAATTACCTTGTATATGTTTTACCATGGCAAGTAATGGTCTGGGGCTAGCTATGAGATAGGGCTGAGATATTTGGAGAAGATGAGAGGGTTAATAGACAGTAACCCAGAAAAGGAATTTAACAAATTAGGAAAAAATAATTTTTAAACAGGTGTTACATGGTCAAATACTTTTAAGAAATGCAACATACATTATTCCTGTATTCTGTTGAAAATGTAATGCATATAACCATTTAAAATTCTAGAGAAATCTTGAATAAACCAAATAGGTGTCTTGGTTCCAATGTATTATTTGAACATAAAACAGAGCTGCTATTTTTTTCTTTTTCTATTTATAACCTATGAAACTAATTTATGCAGAATACGTATTTGATGCAGAATACTCCTGTAGCTGTTACAAGCAGAAACTCTCCTTCAGTCAGCACAGCATCCACATCCCAGGCTCACTGCTGATTAACAGTTTGAATGGGGAAAGTTTCAAAGGCTTCAGCTTTTGTTCCATTGCCTTCCAAGGGTAATAGTAGCATCTACCTCAGAGGGCTTATGAGAATGAAACGAGATCAAGAGAAAGGGTGCCGAGCTCAGTTCCTATTAAAGTGAACACTGGTCATTATATTAATAACACATGAAGCACTAACTGTTATGTTAATGAAAAAGCATGTGAAAGTTTTGTAGAAGACTGGCACTCTAGAAATTACTCAGTCTTTTATATTTGTATGGAACGATAGTGAGGAAGCCTGAACAATGGGCTAGAAAACAATGAGAAAGAAAGGTCTGGGCTTTAGTCTCTTTTCTTCAATCTCCTAGAACTCTTTGCCACTCCCATCCTCTCATGTACACATTGCCTCCTATATTTTATCATACACTAATATAAATTATGCCCTTAGAGCTTCTTTATTGATTCCTTTCCTCAACAACTCAAATTTTAAACAAATTCCTACCATGTGCCAGCCATTGCATTCACAATACTGAGGACAAAAGCAACAAGGAATTAAAACATTTTAAATCCTCCCAACCCCATAAAGTCTTACCATACCAGGAAATAATGGAGTGAGCCCTCGTGCTACATCCAGGATTCTCTGAATTGAGACAGCTCTTGCTATCATCAGACTTGAATCTTGGGAAAGCTATTTAGTCAATGTGAGCCATAGATTCCTCATAGAGAATATAAAGCTATCTACATATATGTTTCAAATTCATAACACATGAAAATTTCCCTCTGCTTCTCTTACTATGAAAATACCAAAGTTGATTTTTTCTTAAAAACTAGTGCTCTGATTACTGACCAGCAATACTACATCTAAAAACTCTATACTTAGAATATAAAATTAATTCTTTAAGTCAAAATTTTTAAAAAGCGTATATTTGGTTCTGTATGGTGATGGTACTATTTGTGGACTCCAAGGGTTGCATTGTATTTTGCAGCCTTTATTAAGCTTCTGAAATGCAGTGTAAATGATTCATTTTTCTTTGAATTTCATAGCATCTGAACTAACACCGTACACTTTTGGAAATCTTTGATAAATAAATGAGAAGATTTAGTAAAATAGAGTTGATCAAGAAGGGTTTTTCAAATTGAAAAGATTTTTTGCAGTTCTTTTTATCTGTTTATCCTGCCATAAACTTTCTATCTTGTAATAAAAGTCGAAATGCTGTAATAACTTAAAGAATATTCAAAGTTATAATTCAAATTTTATCTTGGAACAAGGTAGTATACAAAAAATAGAAATGTTATTATTTTTAGAATACATTTTTTAAAGTCTAGCTTTATGCTATCTTATTTAAAAAATAATCATGTTTCTGTCATTGCCCATTGTAACACTTACAATTTTACTTTTAGTTGTGAATTAAAATAACTTCTTTCCAGTAGAAAAATAATTTATTCCTTTAATTCTTACATGAATAAAATTCATTAATTATTTGATTAAAGACATTTGAAGGTGATGAAAAAATTAAGAACAACAATAATCATAGCTCTCAGATGCTGGCATCGCACTGTGGTTATTCAATATACATGAGCCCTGGGAATTATCAATGTTTGTATTAAGAAAGAGCCATCAGAAAACATTGCATTTCTGAATTCCTCTTCCAAAATAACGTCATTTTTCTATATCATAAAATGAAGATGTGTTATAATAACAAAACTATCTCAAAGTAATGCTTTATACTTGCTCAGTAGGTATTTGACTTTTAGTTATAATCAATATCACCTGAAAGAAGGGAGCAATTTAAAGAACCAAACCAAACTTCTTATTTACAGATTAGGCCCAAAGGGATTGCCCATCTTCTGATACCTAGTAGGCTTGACACTGAAATCCCTGTCTTGGTTGCAGCCTTCACTGCCTATATGCTATGTTCTGCTGCATCTTGTGATTTATAGCCCTTTGCATTTAAACTTTCTACCTGTAGATATATTATTTCAGATCATACAGTTTCCCATGCTTCAGGTTTTCATTTACATGGCTATTAAGAAATAACATATTTCTCATTTAGCATTCCCCATTGGTAGAACTCATAATACTTCCCATTTAAATACAAACTCTGTAATAGCCAAAATATTTATTACAGAAAAGCCACTTTCTATTCCACTCAGATATTATATTCATACATGGTGGGTTTTCTCCTTAGGCAAAAAGAGTTAACAATTCTGATAGAGAGAATGCAATTTAAAGACCATTTAAAGTGATTTAGCTTTTTTTAATGTTCAGTTTAAATATCAAAGGGGAAAAATTCATTCCCCAAAACTAGTATTTTAATTAGAGCAAATTGAGAATTTTGTTCCAGCTATTAGGAGAGAAGTTCCTGTAAATTGGCAATAATGTTTAAAAACTTTCCTTTTACAAAATAAGTATGTCGTTCAATAATAGCCCAGAAAATGGGCTGAATTCACTAAAATAGCATCCTCCTGTGTCTCTTTGCATCTCCTTATCTCTCTCTTCCTTTCCTGTCTCGGTCATTGTGTCTCGCTCTCAATCTGTGTCTTTTTCAGGGCTATTTCATCAACTACTGTGAGCTGATCATGTACAAAGGTGTGCATAAAGTAAATGATGTTCTTTGGTTCTGCAAAGAAATGCAGTCTGTCTGTGACTTTGAGCAGTGTGCTATAGACTGGCAGCTTGTCATCTGGAAAAACTGACACTTGGCTCCCCTGGGCCCACTGAACAGCACTGCTGCAAGATAGCATTAGTAGCTGACAAAAATGGAAATGGGAGGCACAAGCTACTTGACACAAATAAAATGGCACAGTCAGTTTACTTGTAAAGTACAGGGGAAAAATAACAGGAACTAATGGCATTTCAAAGAAGTTTTACAAGGCTGGGCGCAGTGTCTCACGCCTGTAATCCTAGCACTTTGGGAGGCCGAGGGGGGGCAGATTGCCTGAGCTCAGGAGTTCGAGACCAGCCTGGGCAACATGGTGAAACCCCACCTCTACTAAAAATACAAAAAATTAACCGGGCATGGTGGCATGTGGCTGTAATCCCAGCTACTCGGAGGCTGAGGCAGGAGAATCACTTGACCCCGGGCGGCGATGGTTGCAGTGAGCTGAGATCACGCCAGCCTAGGTGACAGAGCAAGACTCTTGTCTTAAAAAAAAAAGAGTTTTATTCAACATCTTTCCTCAAAGAGACACTTTGAGAAATTCAAGCGAGTGAAACTTTTTAAGTTTTGACTTGCTTTAAGGAACAAACTGAGTTTACTAATGAGTAATCTAAACTGATCGGTGTATCAGTGTAGGTACAGTACATTGTAGCTCGATATCACATCAAGAACTGTGGGTAATTCATTTTTTCATGTCTACCCTGAAACATAATAAGCACTTAAACTTTGATTAATTGATTGATTTTCTTTACACACTTTTTTTATCTTTTGTACTTCTAAGCAAGTGTAATTTTTAATGATTTGCTTTTCGCCAAAGATACAACATGAAAATATTTCTTTTAAAATATTTTCAAAATAATAATTTGCCTGTATTTAGAAAATGTAATGAATCCACTATTTTCTTAAACCAAAAAAATTATTTGATAATCAAATTAAAAGTTCTATCAAATACCACAAAGTAAACATTGCAAAGCTTTTTGCCTAATTAGTGTCATTCAAAATTAGCTTATTTCCTGGATTTTATAAAACATTCTCATGAGTAACTGTTGTTTATATTATTAAATTTAATCAAACCAGCAAATCTTTTGATTAAATTAAATGCTCACTTCAAGTAGACAAAAATAGTATATGAAATACGATATAATATAAAAATGTAGAGTCCGGAGTTTACTTCCGGGCCCCGATATTAGGTACATTTGTTGTTTTATAATGCTTCAAAGTTTACAAGTCATTTAATAATATCAGGTGTTTACTGACTATATGTGGTTTTCTAAATGCTTGTAATTCATTAAGTTAATTTTCCCCATGATCTTATGAAAGTATCAATAGTATTATAATTAACTTATAGAAAAAATAAAATAAAAGGTTAAAGTAATGCTCCTAAATTACTTCAAGTATAGGCAGAAACAGAAGTCCAAGCCAGGTACTTTGACTCCAAGTCTTAATTCTTTCTATTAGCTCTATCTTCCTGCTGCGCTCTTCTCTTTTTGCATATAATTTTTTCACTTGAGGCTCACAACATTATTGTTGTTATCATTCACATTTTCTAGCTGAGGACGCAGGAACAGACATGATGAATTTTTTTCCCAATTACTCTGTAATCACTAGTAAGTGGGAATAAGTTGAGAGGCTCAAATCCAAGCTTGGCACTATGTGTTCCCCAGCTTTCCGTTTTCCTGGGAGGGACAAGGACAGGAAATAGTTGTATTGTGCTTTAGAAAAGCCACTTTGGCATTGACAGTGAGAAGGAAATAGAGACACAAATTCACTGAGAATGTAGAATCAGCTGTATTTGTCAATGGATTGAATGTGTTTCATGAGCAAAAAAATTTAAAGATTATTTGCCACAACTGTTAAACTGAGACATGAGTATAAAAGAAATTTTTAAACAATCAAAAGAACAATTTTTTGGTAGAACCTAATGGAAGCCCATCATTGGTGAGATGGGAAGACATTATATAATTACTATAAAATAAATGTTGATGACATTCCTGGCAAAGGCAACTACTTTGTTGACTTACTTGAGGTGTTGTTACGTGTCTCTTCTAGAGCTTCATAACTTGACTTTCTAAAAAGTCAATATTACTTATTGAAATGAACATTGATAAGGAAATGACAGCCTTGGATTTGCATTTTAGTTCCACTGCTAATTAGTTTTGTGATCTTTGTCAAATTCCTTTGGCCCATTTGGGTCCTCATTTTCTTATCTATCTATGTAACGAGGAAAGTACAGCAGGTGACATGTTAGACATTAAATTTGTTGGCATTTTTACAATGAAAGCACTGGAAATTGTTTTGAATTTTGTTTTGTTCTGTTTTGTAATATTTAAAATTAAAATATAAATATAAGTGGTCTTATGTTTTTTTAAAGACTCATAGAATCTGTGTTTCTGTAAAGCTACCAGGACCCTTAGATGTAACAAAATAAGTAGTCATTCTCAAAGTATAATTGTAAGCGTGCAAAAAATTTCTATGCTTCCAAATATAACCTCAAAGTCTTGGTCACTGGACAAAATGCCCATATTTGAGTCATTCATTTTAGTAGAGATTGTGTTAACAAAGAAATTCTCAGGTTAGGAAAGAGGAAAGTAAGCTCCAAATAAATAGAGTTGCAAGTTAAAAATAGGACACTAAAGTGAGTGGCAATAGCCTAAGGCATAAGAAGATGGGTATTACAGAAGAAATGCGTAAAAATCGAAATAGCACAATAAAAACACAAATGCAGGTGCTACACAAAATCTTCCCGGAGATGGCCCTGAATGTATTTAAATCCAGCAAGAATGGAGTTCACTATGGACAAGGGCAGCATCCACTGTGGCCATAGCCTTGCTCTATTTGTTGCCTGTACAGTCATCAACTCCTTTTCTGTCTTCACAGCACTTAACGTCTCTTTAGGTTAAGAGTAATAATATTTGAAGAAAAAATGTTTAATCACGCTATGGACAATCTCTCTGTACCCTCAAAATTCATGTATTAAAGCCCTAATCCCAAATTGGGTGCTTTTTGGAGGTGGCCTGTTTGGGAGGTAATCAGGTTTAGATGAGGTCATGAGAGTGAACCCCCTGTGATGGGAATAGTGTACTAATAAGGAGATGAAGGGAACGGATCTCTCTTCTCCTCCATGTGAAGATAAGTGAGAAGATGGCCCACTGTGAACTAGGAGGAGGGCCCCCACCAAGAACCCAGCCATACTGGCACCTAATCTTGGACTTCCAGACTTGAGAACTTTGAGAAATACAGCTATTGTTTAAGCCACTCAACCCATAGTATTCTGTGACAGCAGCCAGAAATGACTAAGTTAGATGAGGAATTCATTTTTACTCTATTTCAATACTTAATATTTAGATCACATGTTTAATACATTCCCTACTTTCTGCAACTCTGAAGCAAGATTGAAAATCACCATGTATTTTAAGAGGTTTAGAGATAATTCCACAGCCCTCTTGATAATCTCTCACAGTAAGGTGTTACAACAGAGATAGAAGAGGTTTTGGATTTACACAGACTTGGATTTCATTCCTGACTTCATCAATTAGTAACTGTGCAATGCTGGAAACTATACTAAGCTGTCTAAGACCTAGTTCTCTTGTCTAGTGGTCATTTACATAGAGTCCTGGTGAAGAATAATCTGAGAAACATAAAATCATTCAAGCAATGTCTTCTCCATCCAAGTTTTTACTAATGCTATTAAATTTTACAACAAATCTATGAGAAATATGAATCCTATTTACACATCCTTTACCTTTTTTCCCCAATTAGCATAAAAAATAAAAATCAAATAATCCTCTCGTTTCTCTGAAAAAAATATTTCCAAAGAAGCCCTACTTATCTCCCACATTTTTAACAACTATTGATTTCTTGGGGTTCACATATATATATGTGAGTATGTATAAAATGAAGTGAATGCCTGCTGCGTATCTTACCTTGTACTTCCTGGTTATTATTTTTATAAGTGAAGAAGAAAAAAAATCAATTTAAGAGCCACAAATGCTAATCTAAAATATCCAAATCTTCAAGAAGTACATGCCACAAGATGATGTTTTTCACTCCAAATCTAATCATAAGTTTCCAATCTAGTATGCACTTTAATAATGTTGTTAGGTAAAGCTTTGAGGATGATTTCTAGCAGAAGAATGTCTAATTCGTTTAAGTTTACTTTGGAATTCACTTTTACTTATGTTATTCTTTCAGTTTCATCTTTAAAATCATTTATAATGGTAACTTCATACCGAAAAATGAGAGCACTTATTGTTCCAAATAACATTACACACTTTATATTAAATAATGACATAAATAATAGGTCATTTAGAAACACAAGGAATTTTAGTGACTTTTCCTGGCTGGAGATTTGCTCCATTCTTCAAGCTCTGTAAGAGTTATATGTAATATTTTATAAATTATTTCCATATGTAATTTGTATTATTTTGATGTTCTACATCCATACAATCTAGTGGAACTATTACTGCTATGAAAAACTTAATTGATAAAGTGTAATACCTCTTCACCTTTAATTTGGTGGTCGGTAGCCTTAACGGCATGTGAAAGTCACCTAGGAAACTTTTAAAATACAAAGGCTCAGGCCACACCTCATATCAACTACATCAGAATCTCTGGAGGTAGGATCTATTTTTAAATCTCCTATAATAATTCCCATTATATAGCCAAGATTGAGAACCATTAGCTAATTTGACTCCACTCTGCTTACTTCATCTTCCCAACACTACTTTAATTAGGCAATTACTCCCTGCCTTAATCAAAAAGAAAGAAGCAAAGATGCAATGAGCCACTCAACAGATAGTAGAGGCCCTAGTGCTTAGAAAAGTAAGATCCAGTCCTTGGAAAGGTTAGATCTTTGCCAAAATCAGCTGTAGATTTATAGTGACTGAATAAGCTGCTTAAATATATAGGATTATGGATATATTGGATTTTTAAAAACATTTTGTAACGCACTAAAAGTAACTATTAATGAAAATTTTCACAACTGATGTTATATATTTATTGATATATAATGTATACATGTGTGAATATATGGATATATATTGTGTGTATATATATCCATATATATACACATATATATCCATATATTTACATATATATACACACATATATCCATATATATACACACACACACACATACACACACACACACACACACACACACACACACACACATATATATAGGATCTCTTTTTTTTCCTAGAAAAGTTTTGCTCTGTCACCGAGGCTGGGGTAACTGGGACCCATCCACCAAGTAGATGGGACCACAGGTGTGTGCCTCCATGTTTAGATAATTTTTTTGGTTTTTTGATAGAGATGGGGGTCTCCCTATGTTGTCCAGGCTGGTCTCTAACTCCTGAGCTCAAGCAATCCTCCCAACTTGGCCTCCCAAAGTGCTGGAATTACAGGTGTGAGCCACCACACCTGGCCATAAGTATATATTTCTAACATGGAGTTTACATAATAAATCAGTAAGTATATTTTTATGTGCTTGATTTTAAGACACCAGAATATTTGAAAACAGCCTCTAAGTGCTGAATACCTTGTGGCAATAACTTTGAAATATAATCTCCTCACCTCAGGTTAACTCAGTATAGTACAATTTTTCTTTTTTTTTTGAGACGGAGTATCTCTCTGTCACTAGGCTGGAGTGCAGTGGCACAATCTCGGCTCCACTGCAACCTACGACTCCCGGGTTCAAGCGATTCTCCTGCCTCAGCCTCCCGAGTAGCTGGGATTACAGGCATGTGCCACCGTGCCCAGCTAATTTTTGTATTTTTAGTAGAGATGGGGTTTCACCATGTTGGTCAGGATGGCCTTGATCTCCTGACCTCGTGATCTGCCCACCTCGGCCTCCCAAAATGCTGGGAATACAGAGATGAGCCACTGCGCCCGGCCAGTATAGTAGAATTTTTAAAGAAAAGGACCAAAGTTTGAGAGGAGAACCTTAACAAAGACGGAGTACAGCAAAAGATAAATTTGAAATATGTAAGGAAAACACAGATATAACACTAGATATACTTCCTTGTGTATTTTATCATTTTACCTCTGTCCTGAGATCACCATTTCAGGAGAGCTGCTACTCACTTCCAGAAAAAGTAAGCAAGTAGTAAGGTAAGTATTAGCTAGTAGTAAACATCTGTCAGAACTTGGACACAGTAAAAAGGCTAAGGCCAGAAATTCCTCAGTTTTTAGCTTCATGGGCCGCTGCTAGGACTAGAGCATAAGAAAACGTGGTTTTGTGGGGTAGTGCTTTTTTGTCATTATGTAAGGGCTGGATCTCACGTGAGACCTTAAAGTTCCTCCTGTCTCATTTGGATTCTAGCTTAAGGGGCTTTCCCCAGTACTTTTCTCCTTGAGTTGTGCCATTGTTCATTTCTGGCCTTCCATGGGCAGTGGCCATCACTCTCCAACACATCATTTCCCCCCGCTGGCTGTAACACAAGCTACAAAGAGACAGTTTGATCAGAGGTCATGTGGAAGTGATTAAAAAGACATTTACTTATGCTCCTATCTCTCTAACAGCTTCCCCTAGTACAGTAGCATAAATGCTCATGCCTAGAATAGAAATCATACACTTGAATATAATCAGATTCCCTTTACCTTGGGGATAGAATGAGCTTGAACTTGCCCAGAGTTTTGAATGTGCTACTAATAGTATCTACTTTAGCTGTAAGTTGATTTACTTTAATAACACATGTGGGCAGTGAGGGAAGAAAGAAAGGAAAATAACCCAAATTAGTAAGATATGCCTTCATTTGATGCAAACAACAAAAACAGAAAACATTCGAGAAAGGTAAATTATCTCTTTCCCACTTGAGCAATTAATTATGAAAGGTTGTTCTTGTAACATAGATGACAGTTTCAATCTATTTCAACCCAACAAATATAAGTTGAAAAATACAGTGTGTTCGATATTAACTTGAATAATATTGATATGAATAGTAATAGGTATTAATATGCATATTATTAATATGAACATGATACTAATTAAAAAAATAAGCCTGCCCTTGAGGAGCTTTCAGTATTGTGATGCACGAATAATTGTATCTCTTGGTGAAGTGGGATATTGAAGACATTTTAAAGGGAACACAATTTAAGAAAAGGGACTATTAAGTGAACCAACTGTAAGCATCAGTAGATTGAAACATCCTGCCGTGGCTAACCTCTTAAATTCTCAAAGGAATGCTGAAGATGTAGAATCCAGGTAGACTTGTTTTCACAAATACCAAACTCATTTAACGTGCATAGAGAAAGCTTTCTTCATAAAAGTTGAATGTGCTTTATAAATTAAGTGGCAGACAATCTACAAGATTGCAGTGAGAAAGCCTGAGTTCTTTCTGTAATCAAATCATTTTCTACCAAAGTAAGAAAAGTTTGTCTTTTCTTACTTATTGAAGGATGACTCAAGGCCAAATACTACCTTCCTTATTGACAAATCACTAGGTATTTAGTCTGGAATAGGGTCACTGAATGTGGAAGTTACTTTAGTTTCTAGACAATTTAATTGAAGAGAAGAGCCTATCTTTCCAGTAATGTTTTCTTGTCAACCACTCAGTAGCAGCAC
This sequence comes from Homo sapiens, assembly GCF_000001405.40. NCBI lineage: Eukaryota > Metazoa > Chordata > Mammalia > Primates > Hominidae > Homo > Homo sapiens. The sequence continues at coordinate 29,070,962 of NC_000018.10, read as the reverse complement.
TTGAAATTTGATTCCATTTTGGAGGTGGAGTTAAGAATTATTTTTAAGGATTAGAATTTTGAATTAACTTATGACCTACAAAAATGTGCTTTAATTTTGGTATAAAGGAAAGAAGGAAGGAAGGAAAGTATGTTAATTAAAAACAAATTTTAAAAAAAAGCGTAGATTGTAGGAAGAGTTCTGCCTCTACCAGCCAATTCTTGGATAGGTCTCTGGTCATATGTTGAGATTACCTGACATGATATTTTGTTAAGTACAAAAAAGATTGGAAGGTAGTTAATATTGATGGAACAGATTCTAGTTCCAAAGTAAAAGTCATCCTAACTAAAGAGAAGGTGGGCAAGGCAGGGGCCCGATAGCAACAGCTGAAAATTGTTCTTACATTAACTTTGTAAGAACAAGGTAGGAAAGAATGACACAAAATATTGTATGACATTAACAAAAACCACATTGATTTCTCATCTCATAACCTTATTCCCCTATGCAATACATTTATCCCAAATATTAATTAGGAGATTCACAGCATGTGAATATAAATGTAATGAGGTAGACTGGGGGCTCTGTGACAGAAATGGAGTGGAAATGGCTCTGTTACATCAAAGGAAGAGGGAGAAAATAGGCATATGGGGCCCTAAAAGATATCCTGATTTTCAGGAGCCTCTACTGCAACCCACCTACTTCAACAATTGCCAGAAGATGTGGCAAATATTGCTTGCTTGATAAGCCTTAAAATATATCCCTGAATAGCCAGCGTGGTTATAACTCCGAGTCAAGAGGGTCCTAATACTAACAGCTCAAGCTACACAGCTCAAACAATATAAGCCACTTAACATTTGCAACACCACATTTTAAGCAATGAGAAAGCATTGTCATGTTGCTCAATAGAGGGCAATTATTTGCAATGATGTGAAATCCTGAATCTTTTGCTTCCATTCAAGACCAGAGGTATAACAAAGAAGAAAAGCCCATTGTTTCAGGGAACGATTGTCTCAATGCACAGGTGATTCTAAAGAGCCTAACCTGTAGTAACTGCCCCATGAAAGCCTTTTTCCAACTGCTGCAAACTGCGAGGAGAAACGGGACCAAGTTTTGTTTGCTATTTCTAAAAATGTCTCACAGCTCTGAGAGCTCTCTTGTCCTGATATCATTCCTTCATTTAATCAGCAGCCTCAGTGGACATACATGGTGCCATTTCAGCTCATGTCTTTCCCATTTGATATCTGACGGGTCTGAACTTCTCCATAATCTCAAAGAGCCAATAGCAGGACCTGTCACCCAGGCAGCGAAACTATGAGTATTTTAGTGACTATCACAGAGAACCATTATTTGTCCAGTGACAGAGACTCATGATGAATGTTTCTGAAATGACATTTGAGATGACAGGGGGTGAAAATCCCCAAGTCAGAGACTGTAGTTCTTGGGGTCTCCAGAGCAGCATCATTGTCAGTTAAACTGGGTATGTGCAAAGATGTTGCCACATGGACAGCCCACAGATCAATTTATTATCACAGGCCGTGAAACTCACTTGTGGCGAAATCAATATGAAACTTCAGGCTCCCTGATAAAGAATCAGAGATAATTTTATTTACCCTTTAACTTTGCAAATGTTACCTTTAAGTCCAATGAGGAAAAGCATATGTCAGACTTTTCTATGAAGTTATACAACAAAAATAGTGTCCAAGTCATAGTTAAGAAGTAATCTATTTTCAGTGCTAACGAGCTCAACATTTTAACCTGATGCTTTGATAGAGAAATAAAGGTAGGTTTTAATGATGAACAAAATAATCCTGATAGATTAAATGTCATGTAGCTCAAAAATGGAAGAGATCTGAAAAGTAGCATTCATGTAAAAATAAAGATATTATGCTGTTATTTTACACTCATGATATTCAAGTATTTTAATCACTGCAAAATAATTATAAAGTTTAAGAAAAGCACATTGCAGGAAGTGCTCATTTCTGAGAGTAGCCTGTCATCATAATAGCTTGATTAAACAATAGCAAAAAGTAACAATAACTATTTAAAAGTCAATGTTTGTTTTGCCAAGCACTATGCTTAGGGATTCTTCTGTGTGTGAGTGTGTGTCCATGTGTGTATAAATCTTTACAATAACCATTTAGATAGACACTTTTAATATCATCATTTCACAAAGGAAGTAATTGAAGTACAACAGACTAATGGCACAAGGATGCAAAGCTAGTAAGTATTGAGCCAAAAGAGGAACTCAGGCAACCTAACTCCAGAGCAGGTGCTCATAGGCATTATGGAATACTCAAGACATTCAGAAAGACCATTTTTCTTCCTCAGGCAACTATAAGAATTTTGTATCAGAGCTTAAATATTTTGGGGGGGCATTACCTGTAAAAATAGTCAGTTCTTCTTCTAATGGCATCTGATATCACTTTCAAAAATGCTACTGTAGCCAAAATCATACTATGCGTTAGCTTTATAAGGGCCTTGAAATTGCTGAACTGGTAATAAAATTGAGAGTGTTCTCTAAGGCAAAACGTTTGTATCTAGGACAAACACTATTATCAACTTAGCTAATTCCAGAAATATTCCAAACAATTCTCAGCCAAACCTTGGTATTTTGTATTTCTCCAAGTTAATTCCAGTGGAAATTAGCAAAAAAGGGAAGGAAAAGAAATAAAAACATCAATTTGCTTTAACAGCCTTTGTAATCTCTCTCTCTCTCTCACACACACACACACACAAACACACACACAAAGTGAATCTAAATTCAGGGTTGATTTGGCAATGCTACTCAAGTTTCATTGCTCAAATTAATCTATATTGATTTACTATTACATTACTGCCCCTTTCACTTTGAAGCTTATGATGTAATTGCACTTATTTACTAAATTAAAAGCAGTTTTCACAGAGGTGATGTTTAGAAAACAGATGGATTCATACCATACAAAAAGCACTTCCATGTATTCTGGCATTCCCTACAGAATGAATGAAGAACTGACCATAAAATGCATATTATTCTATGTAAAAACAAATCAACACACCTCCCATGAGGCATCAGCCTGGATTTGTGATCAGAGGATTTCCACAGAGCAAATCATCCCTGCCATCTTGACATGAGTATTAGGGGCATTTGAAGAGAAGTATATCAGTTTTCTTACTATGCATATTTCTTTATCCAAATGTCTGGCTTTCTGCTTAATACTACTGCTCCCAATTTTATAAGAAATTCAGACATTGGATATTTTTCTACTACAAAAATGTGATGCTTTAAACACAGCTGGCTAGTAACATATGGAGATGAAAGAACACTAAGCTATAATCAAATTTATATCTCCTGTTTATTAACATAAGGTTATAGCTGAGTGGAATTTAAAATCCTAAAATCAAGAACATATTTACTCTGAACAAGGTAACGGAATAGAAAATTTATAAACTTGCTTCTGTTGGTATTCTCAATTTTCTTTAAAAGCAAAATTCAGCCACAGGTTTGTTTTGCTTTATTTCTTTTCCTTCTTTTTTAGGTAACTGGGCGAAGTACATATATGGAATACATTCACTGGGGTATGGCTTCTTTCATAAACGACAGTGTTCTGAAAAATATAACATTATCTCTCTTATGAAAAATTCCCAAATTTTTATTGGAAGCCTGGATCAAATGTGTGTGTGTGTGTGTGTGTGTGTGTATGTGTGTACACAGATACTTATACAGATATTTCTATTTATAGCACACATTTTATATCTTTATCTATTGTTGAGTAATTGTGAAAAATAAAGGGTTTCATTACCTATCCTTAAAAAATGTAAGCTGATAAACACTGATTTTCATTTGCTTTCTTTTCTCCTAGAACCTCAGGCCAAGTGTTCTTGACAGCTCATCCACAGACTCCCACTGGTAAAGCAGCATGAGGATGGCTTCTGTTATTTTATTTCAGAATTTTTTCCTGCAGTGGCATGCCAGTACCAGCTGAGGATCATGTATGCAATATTTGCCTTCTTTCATCTTCTACCTAGGATGGCTTTAATTCTCTTCGAGGAGAATTTATTTTAGTTTTTCCCAGTAAGAGAATCCACTTCTCTTGCCCATATTCATAAATTATCATTAAAAATTAAACTTGGTACAATAAATATTAACATGGTTCCAGCTTCTCCATTGTTATGCTCAGAATTCAGTTCATTGGCAGGATCTAGGCATAGGATCAGTCCAAAGTTGGGCCAAGGCACAAGGAAGGTTTGCACAAGTTTAGAGCATCATTGAGAATCCATATGGCATCAAATTCTGACCATCAGAACCAATCATTTTAGTCAAATTGCTGAGACACAAATTAAGTCCAGGAATCGGTAGATAATATATTTCCTCATATATAGGAACTAGACATAAAAATTCATATAAATTTCTTCAACATATTTTATATACAGAATAAGGTAAGCAACTGTATATATGAAATTAGATTGGGATTTTTGTTAATTGCAAGCATAGTTGGATTCAAGAGTATGTATGATGTATCCAACCAAATCAAAAGGAAACTAAAGCCATTATTCATTCATTTATGCAATATGTGCAATTATTTGTTTCATACAACAAATATTGTTGAATATTTACTATATATAGAAATGTTGCCTTGTACAAGGTGGTAAATATGACAGACATTCTTTTTAGCAAGGAAGACAAATAGGTTATTACAATGGCAGGTTGTAAGTTTTAGGAAGCACATGGGTCATGAAAACTCTAGAATGTCTATACCAGAGAATATTACATAATGCTTAAGATTTCCTAATTACCTTAGGAAAGAAGGGGAAAAGAATGGTATATGAAGTAGAAACAGTCGTTTAAAAACCCAGAAGCAAGAGGGAGCTTGGCAAATCAAAAAACTAAAAAAAGTCAAACACGGCTGGAATAGAGAATGTGGAGATGAAAATAGGAAGATATCAGTGGGAAGAAGGGATAAGTAGAGTAAGACCTGGAAAGAACTCATAAGCAGAACTGAAAATTTTTAACTTTATCTGAGGAGTCCAGGAAACTTGTTAAACTGTTTAAGCACAGACATGAAACACACAAACAAAAAACACTAAATGTACACCAGCACCGAAATAGGGTTCAAATTTATACAAGGGCATGGAAACTAAAATTCTAAAATGATGATTATTTTTTAAACAGCTCTCAAGTCAGTGAAAGCCCTGGATTATTTACAGGAAAGTAAAAACTCAAAGCAAATTTACTCTATAATTAAAAAAAAATAACTAAAAATTAGGCCAAAATGTAAAAAAACCTTAAAAGCACACAATGAGTGTATCTAAATGAGTGAGAAGCAACAAGCATAATAACCTGTAGGCTACGGTATAACAGCAGTTTTGAAAAAGACTATAAAATACGTATATTTAAAGTTATTGAAGAGACGAAAGATCAGAAACCATAAAGACATCTTGTTAAAAGGAGAAAAAAAAAGCAAGCGTAGAAAAGAATCATAAAACATTAACTTGTAGAAGTGAAAAAAATACCTTTTCAGTTAAACATTCAATGGATGAAAGCTAGAGCTGAAAAAAGTACCCATAATGCAGCACAAAGAAAGGATGATGAAAAATATGAAAGATCAGTTAAGACATAGAAATTGGAATGAGAAGTTAACACATGGGTTAAATATGTGGCCCAGGAAGAATAAAAAGAAATAAATAGAAATAATTATTATTTAATGAGAAAATTGCTGAGAATCTCCCAGAAATGTTGAAAGTCCTAAATATTAAAAAACCGTGAGTTCCAATAGAATCAATAAATATCAAGTAAGACCTACACCTATTGCAGTGAAATTATAAATAGTTTAGAAAAGAAGAAAATATGAAGAGCAACAAAATAAAAATTACCTCAAAAGAAGAATGCCTGAATTGAGAGGAATTTCCCCTAAAGCAACAAGTGAGGTCAATGGAATGCTATCTTCAGTGTGCTTCAATTGTAAAAGTAGAATATAATACCATATAAATTACCATAAAAACCGAAGGCAAAGTATATTTTCAGACCAAAGAAAAGAGCCTATGCACTTACTACTCATATAAACTTATTTAACAACTAACCATAAATTTCTGAAAAAAAGGAAATTAAACCCAGAATGTCAAGGTATTGCACTAAAAGCAAAGGTGAGGCAATTATGAAAACCATGGATCAGTAAAATTTGCAACTAACTGAGGACATTAAATTCATGCATCTAAAGTTTCTGAAAAAAATATCACAGAGGAATATAATCAGAGTTAAAATGTTCTCAAGTCTGTGTATTCTTTGTAACAGCGGGAGAAATGCTTGGTATATTTTAGGTTTAATTCAATTATGTAGGTTCAAGAATTATACTAATTGTGGGGTAGAAATAGACAGTATAACCTTCTAGTTAGCAGAAAAGGAAAAATTTTAAAAATTGATAAATTCAATTTTTTATGTGACGAGCAAAGAAAGGTCATCATATACAGAAGATAGAGCATAAGAAGAAAGAATTAATTTCAAATAAATTTGGAACTCCAAATTCCAAATACGTTAGTAATCATGACAAAGTTAAGTGAGTTAAATTGGCCACTAAAAAGGCATAAATTCCCAGACTGGATTTTAAAAAATCCACTAGGTTATATATAAATGTCACATTTAAACATAATGACACAAAAATTGAAAGCAAAGGGATGGAAAAGTATATCAGACATATACTGGCCTCCCCCCAACAATACAAAACAAAATAAAAATTTAGACAGAAATAGTAATGAAAACAAAACAGATCTTTATTAAAAGCAAACAAAAGAGCAAAGAAAAAACATATTTAGTGTAACCAAACAAACCAAGAACTAAGAAAATAATATTTCTGAACCTCAAGGCCTGAAAAACATAGGCCACCAAATAGCAATAAAGGTGAACACGGAAATGTGCATGGCAGTCCCACTTCTGAGAACATACCATACAGGAATCACTACTCAGGCATACAAGAAGACACATACAAAGTTGTTAATGATAACAATGCTTACATGGGATTGAAAACAGTCTAATTCCACACAAATGTGAAAATGGATAAATAAGTGATAAATATTTGTAAATTGGAAACCAAATTTGAGAGGGAGAATGAATAACACACTAAATCTGAATGTCAATATGAGTAAATTTGAATAACAATGTTGAAGAAAAGTATATTCATTTTGATATTTCTATGACTTCAAAACACATAGAGCACTGTAAATTGTTTAAGGATGCAGACATAGATGGAGAAGGGAAGGGAAGAATATACAACAGCTTCAGAATGGCTATTATGCCTGAAGAGAGGAAACTATATTGAAGACGACTGACAAACCACAGAATTCTCAGCTGAGCATTTTCATTACATCTCACATTTGGACAGACAGCATTAAGACGTTTTATAAGCCTTCATGCTCAGAAAATCTTACCTTATCAGAGAACTAAAGTTAAAACAAACACTAAATTTCTTTAATCTTTGCCTTTCCTGAAACTAATCCCAAAATAGCCAATGAGTAAGACTCTAGCAGTAGTCAATGAAATGCCTCAGGACTTATAATATTACATCAGCTTTCTCACAGTATCAAACTGATAACAAATTTTATCTATCAGTGACAATCCCACTTGCTTTAAGGGGACATAAACATTGAAATCTTTAGAAGTGCATTTATTGCAAATCTAATCTAAAGTAGTTCATTTAAAGCACATTTAAAGAATAGTGAATGTGTTTTCATTTAATGTTTGGTTTCAGCATCCTGGCAAAAGATGAGAAAAGAAAGAGGAAAAAAGCCTTGATCTCTAGTTCTCAGGCAACCAGCTTGTTCCAAAAGGTCTTTGTTGTTAAATCATTTTCAGCTCAACACAGCCCACAGATTCTAATTAACAAGAATCCCTTGACAAATGGGGATAAAATTGGCCTGCTCTATGCTTAGAGGTGTAGAGTTATTTGCACTGTATCTTCAAACAAAGTTTACAGGCCAATGGTTTGGTAGAATTCATAGCATGCTTTCAAAGTTTTAGTATTGCAAAATTTGTGTCAACTGCTGATTTTTTTTAAAAAATGTGGTAGTACAGTTCTTTCTAGCTTTGCTCTGCAAAAGCCTCACCTGGGAAGGGTCGCAAAGCGGCACATGAACAACCAAGGCTTGCTGATTTAATTAATACTAATGTGGAGCTTTAGGGGAAAAGGTTCACAATGGATGGATTTTTCTGCTGACTCTAACTTCGTAGTTTTGATTGATTTTTTTTTAATCTAGGAGGCTTTTGAACCAACTAGAAGTCCTTCATAATTTGGCAGACCATGGAAGGAGAGCCTCTAATCAAATTTTCCATTTACACCTTTGCCCAGTACCTACAGGTGTGGAGGTAGGGGAGAGGGGAGGGGGAGGCACACAAGTGTTCTTCTGGAAAGGCATCCAAACAAAGTGTTGTCAGAATTGCAAGCTGCTGCAAGTGAATAGAGAGCATCATCAAGTTGGTATTATAGAAGCTTATCTTTTGACATTTATATTATGTCAATTTCATTCTTTATCAGACTAACATATTGGTCTGTTGAGAATTATTTCATTCTATCTGACTGTTATGCCCATGAGGCATAAATTTTGTTTAGGTTATTGTTATATCTCCTGGCATTCAACATTTGCGGGGTTAAATGGAAAAGAAAGAGAAGGAATAGTAAATAGTGAAAGAGGAAAAAGGAAGGAATAATGACAGAGAAGAAAAGGGAAGGAAGGAGTTGTAAATAAAGACACTTGATTCCATGTTGTACACGTTGAATTAGAAGGATCTGAGGGAGACCTAAAAAGGTGCTTAGCAGGAAGCTGGCAATGTGTGTTTGAGCACAAGAGGGAACTACATCTATAAGACCAAAGGCCGTAAGAACAGAGGTGGACGGAAATTACAAGAATGAAATGGTCATCCAGGAAAACTATGGCATGAGAAGAGGCCTGTGAATTGAAAGCCAAGCAAACATTCATTTAGTAGATATTTACAGAAAGAGAAGAGTGAAGAAGGTGATTAAAGAAATTTGTCATTGTTTCATGGAGCACAAGAGAAAGAATGCCATACAAGTTGTCATCTTGAAAAGCAGAAGCCTGCTTTAAGCTTTAAGTCACAGAGCAGAAAAATATTGATGGTAGTGGTAATAGTAGATAAATTGGAAATATAAATCTAAAAAGGTGGAAGTAGGATGCCATAACAAAGGGCACACGAGCAGCTGGGAATTAATGGATGACAAGTATTATAAGGCACGAGGCAATGTAAGGGAAAGGTGAAAATAGAACCACAGTAATCTGGGCAGATCATATAGTTCACTCTGCAGCAATGATTTTATCTACTTTTTAGGGGTTCCATCATCTTAGCATGATGGAAACATTTCTATCTTTTTATTCTGAAAGGAATAGGGAATCCATGTAACTCACAGAAACTAAATTTTCTGTATTCTGTAATTCTGTAAATTCTGTAAATTCATGTAACTCACAGAAAAAAATTTAGTTTCTGTGAGTTACATGAATTTATCTCACAGAATAATGATGTCTCACAGAAAACTGATTGATGAACAAAAATCAGTTCAGGCAATGTCAAATGAGTTTATTTCAAATTATTCACAAGTCTAAGACATTACTTATAGCCAATATACTAAATATATACTATTTATATATAGATGTGTTGGTAAAATATGAACATAATTAATTACCTCTTACTATTGGTATGTGAAGTGTTTATGTAAAATTAACATAACAAACGTGATATGAAGGAGAATAGTTATTTTCCATAGGTGTCCTTATTTTTAAGAAAATAAGTTCAAAACTACTATAAGCTTCGCTTGGGTCAAATAAGAAGTAAACAGCTATCTTAGTGTTTCTGGGCTGTGACAACCTTTGACTGGGTAACTTACAATAGAAATTTGTTTTTCCTAGATCTGGAGGCTGGGAGATCCAAGATCAAGGCACTTACGGATGTGCCAAGTGTCTGGTGAGGGCCCACTTTCTGGTTCATAGATGGCACCTACTCATGGCATCCTCACATAGTGGAAGGGTGCAGCTAGCTCTCTGGAGTCTCTGCCCCGATAGGCTAATCACTTCCCGAAGGCCCTACCTTCTATACTGGCACATTGGGCATCAGGTTTCAATAAATGAATGAATTCTGAGGAGACACAAATACTCAGACTATTCATAACACCAGCCTTTGCTGATTTTTAGTTTACCTCACCCAAGTTTCTTTTATTATTTCCCTAAACATAAGTTTTTCCATAATTATCATGTTAAAAGTCACTTCTGTGCCACATAAAAGTTTGAAGTCAATGAAGCATCAAAATTGTATATTTTCCTTTTTATCACTAATTAATAAAGCATTAAAATATCCCCCTAATCAAAATAACATGTGTCATATATTCTGTTGTGCTTCACTGTAATCGGCAGAGGGCTTGGCTGTTTACATTCTATTCCCTGGGTGATACTCTCACTTCCTCTTCTGATGGGCACCACACAGCCCTGCTCCATGACATCCCAGCTATCCTTCTTTCACTACTAAAGTACCTGCTCCTTATGTCCCTATAACCTGGTTGGATTTCTGGCCACAATCCTCTCATCATCTCTGCTGCCTTTCATCATCTGTGCTGCCCCCTGTACCAGAAGTGTGTGTTCCCTATTCTGCCAGCAATGCTTTGTTCATGCCAATCCTTACTCCTTTCCCACTCTTGCCTCTAGGTAGCAACCTCGATGCTTCAACAGCATCCTCTGATTACCTCAATGAGTAGTCACTTTTTCCTTCTCCAAGTTTCTTCTCCATTGACTGTATGTCTCTTAAAACAAAAAGATAGAAAGGCAGGGAGGGAGGGATGCAGGCAGGACCAACACCCACATCAACACTGTGAGTAATGTCTTGCACCTTTGCTGTGTGTGGATTGTGTCTCAGTTGTCCTACTGGATTAAAAACTGGAGAGCAGAGGCCACTTTCTATACATCTCTGTACTCTGAGATTTGCCTTAGTAGATGCTTTCAGTAGCTTTTTATAACACTTGTAAATATGGGGAAATTGACAGGCAAAACTTTCTTTCACTTTTTCTTTATGACACTTTTATTTTATTTTATTTATAAATCATAAAATGAATTCATTTACTTTTAATTATGTATTAAGCATCTACCCCTTGACAGTACAGCCTCATATTGGGGACATAAAACTAAAAGAGGTAACGTTAAGTTTATTGTGATAGAAGTATTGCAGATTCCTAGGGCCGTCACAGGAGAGGTATATAAATCAGACTAGGAATTTAGGTGACTCTCTAAACCAAGCTGGATCAAAAGCATAGCATATGCTCAGAACTAGTAGCAGATAATCATATATGTTATTGCACAGTTGCAAGTATGCTATTTATTCTTTTATTGTATTTCTAATAAGTATGTGATTTATTTAGATTGAAACAATAATCCTAACTTTACATTTCTACTTCCTAAAACAATTTTTTTCTCTTTAAACTGACAGAAAGATTCCTGCCCATACAAAAATACATGCTATGATCTAGCTTTGATTAATGTTTGCAGCCTTTTAAAATACATTTTTACATTTCACAGTAGCTATTTCTAAAGTAAAAAAAAAATGCTAAGAATACTTGAATCATATATTCTATTAAAGCTATTCACAGTATGGTAACTAAAAATTGAAATAGCTAGTACAAGATTAATGTACATTTATCTACCAAATTTAATTCCCTATTTATCTTAAAATCAGAGCAGCAAAATGTATACATATTTCTAAAATTGATATTACATAATTTTTACAGTAAATTACAATTTTTTGACAAAGATATGTAAAGTTTACAGTTTATTCCAAAAAGAGTTCTTTTTTCCCCATAGGTTATTGGGGTACAGGTGGTGTTTGGTTACATGATTAAGTTCTTTAGTGGTGATTTGTGAGATTTTTGGTGCACCCAACATCCGAGCAGTATACACTGCACCCTATTTGTAGTCTACCAAAAAGAGTTTTAACAGAGTCCCAGAAATGGTGATGATAAAAATATTTAATAGCATGCTTCACGAGAAAAATGTTAACCAATCAACACTTCAATTATGTTCTTACATTCTCAAATTACTATAAAATTAAATGCTGAGTCTTTTTTACTGCTCAAGTCTTGACAAGACAAAGGCCAGGTGTCATTATCCACAACACTGGATGAGGAAACTGAGATTATTATCTTGAACAGTTGAAGTCTTCAATTTTCTTATAGAGTAAAAATAGAGCATTTAGGGCAGAGCTGTAGTAAACCATAATTTTAATATAGGTAGTGTTCAAGGTGAAAATAAGTTTGAAATAAAGAGATAGGAGTTGGGCCAATGAATTTTTATTTGGAGTGAATCTATTTTTGGTAACCAGGAAGCAGTAACTTAGATTACATATTTATATGGAGTGGTTTCAGGGATGATTTATGGAGATTATGTATGGAGTGGGTATAGCTGTAGATGAGATAGTTAGTTATTTGTAAGACTGAAATGAATTGTTAGCCAGTAAAACTAATATTGGAAGTCCTTAGTAGGTTCTATAATCTAACCATTATTTTATTATTATTATTAAACTATTTGCTAAACATAAAAAAAAGACAAGTTCAAGCTGTGAGAAATACAAATTTATATAATAAATAGGCTCACAATTTAATGAGGATGTCCCTACCTTAAATAAAGGGGGATAAATGTGAGACAAAATAACCATAAGATAAGACCATAAAAGTGCATGTGACTGATGTAATCCAAAATCCCTTGGAAGTTCATTGGAAAGACAGAGCATAAGCTAGAGTGGACACTTATAGCTACCAAAAGATGACATTGGTTCTTGGCCTTTGAGGCAGATATGGAAGACAATGTAGTAAGGTAATAGGCAAATAGGATTTAAAAAATTCAAAATCTATATGAATGGATGTGAGTAGATGAATTTGAGAGGATTTTAAGGAATGTATGAAAGATAAGACTGAAAATATATAGTGGAGCCATATTTGAAGGTCCTTAAGGATCATGTTCAAGCATTTGGGTTTCCTTTATTAGGCATGGCTATTTGGGGAACAAGTAAAGCATGATTAGAGTTATGCCTTAAGGAGAGTGGCCTATCAGCAGAAATTGAAACTGGATTGGAAGAGAAGCAGTGCTGAAAGTGGGGAAAATACCTGGCAGCCACTACAAAACTTAAGAAAAGTAATAGGGCAGAGCTTTACTTCTGAACTTTTCTCTGAACTTTCTCTTGCTTAATCTGCTTCAGTAAATCCTTCTAGTAGCTTCCATTTTTTAAAAAAGTAACACCTGTATATAACATCTCTACCATTTACAACAGAGGTTCTCATTCTTGTATGTATGTAGGCATCTAGGAATCTTTTGTAAAAAGGCATACTCAAGATCTCACCATCAGGAATCAGGAGTTCTAGGGTAGGATTTATGGAGGTTTTTTAACAATTCCCCAAGCATTTTTGATGTAAGTGACCCTGGAATCATAACCTGAAATACATTGCCTTAAAGAATTTAAGCGTTGTTTTTTTCAACTAGATATTCATTATAGGAAGCCTTTCAAAAATAACCAGTTGAAAAAAGTTCTTTGTTATTGAACTTCTGACCTACACTATTTAAGGGTAAAGTAAATTGAATTTGATTAAAATATGAATAAATTATTAACTCAGCCATCACATATAATAAATAGGAAAATATTTATGAATTGCAAAAGCTTATCATTGTATATTACTTACTGTCCTAAAATAAAAAATTAGCTTGTCTCGTGGAAATACAAATTTTTCTTTTTCTGCTTTCATCATTTTTCTTAGGAACACAGAAAAGTGTAAATTCTTGAAGTAAGACTTGGAAATGGATGCTGTACACTTGGCAACAAAACCATTGAATGCTTTCTGTGCTGGATTTTAAAACAATACTGACAAGAAACACCACCCCCACCCCCAATGAATTTTAGCTCACTCCATTTAATTCGCAAACACTCACAACTCACTTGTAGTGGGCACTCTCAGTGTTCAGACCAAAATGCCTCAGCTTCTAAGGGCTTTACTTCTTTCCACTTACACTTTCAACTTGTTTTGGAGGAATGTCCTTGAACTACTAGAGCTGCTTTGCCGACCACTGGTGGGAGCCACAAGTGCCTGGCAATTTATGTCCCTCCAGGGTAGCTTTTAGCCAATGACTGGTGCAGAATTATAAAAGCCTAGCTCCCTTGACTGAACTGAGGACAAATTCTGAGGCCTGATCTATACTTCACAGCTTCCCTGTACAATCAGGTTGAGACTGAGACTTTGCCTGAAATTTTACCTTTGCTTGGCTTCTTTCAATATCAAGCCCTGCTTTCTCCATTCCTACATGGGTTTCTCCTGGGAGCATTTTCTTAATAAATAACATATAGCTGATTTCTTATCTTAGAGTGTGAGTATAAGGAACCCAGCCAAAGTACAATATTCACTGTACTCTCTACCAATATCTCATCTAGAAGAAAACATAAATAAATAAAAAGACAAGTGCATCAACATTTTGGTCTTTTACTGTAAATATGGAATTCTTAGTCAGAAAGAGTCTCTGTTCTTATATTGAAAGGACAAGGATTTATTAGTGAAGTTTGAATGGAAAAGGTATGTTATTATTGTGTTTACCAGATTCAGTGTACTCCTATGGTTTAATACTAAAACAGATTTGGAAGAAGTTGCGACATGCTGCCAACTAAACCCCCAAATACCCTAATATGTTTGATTGTTTGATTTGTCAGTCTTATTGTCTATTTATCCTGGAAGAGTAATAATTAAGAAAAGGAACCTATTTGGAAAGGGAAGTAGTAGGAGAGTCAGGTGATGTTTAGAATTTTGTCTGCAGACTTCTTTTTTAATTCAACATTCAGTGAATGCGAACACTTTGGAGATATCACATCGAAACTTTCAGGCTACTAGATCTAATTCCTCAAGGTACCATTTGATTTTAGTGATCAGAGTATACTTATATCAAGCCCTGTCATTGCAATAAATGCATTTCTCAGAAAAATTGTCTGATGAAATAATCATAAATTTTAGGAGTATATATGATCAATGCAATATATGATCAATGCAAATCTTTCAAAAAATACTCATTTTTCAGCATATGCTTTAATTTTTACTTAGGTCTTCTCTCAAATAAATCACTTTTTTTCACTCTACCCACACGTCTTATTCTGGCTAAGCCTAGAGTGGATCCTTCCCCTTATGCAAAGTATTTTAAGTATCCTGACATTTAGTGCTCACTTATGCTTTTTTTTGTCCATCTACTACTTCTTTTAAATTCCTGTCCCTTTCTTGCATGCTGACCTTCTGGAATTTATCTATCATCTTGACACTAACTTTTTTTCTAATGCCTACTTGGACTTACTTGCTACCATGGTACATGTATATATGTATATACCAAAGTAAAAATTTGCATAGAATCTACTTAATTCTCAGTAGGCCTTTACCCAAATATCATGGCTACCCTCTTGATAACTGTAATTTCCAGTCAGACACTGTGCCATTGCTTACAGCTCAAGACCAGTGTTTTCTAAAGTGAGATCTGTGCCATAACTGGTACTCAAGGATAATGATAGGTATTACATGAAAAGAAAAAATGTTGAGTGAAAGATCCTAATATATAATGCATTGAAAAAATGCTAGTTTAAACTAAGTAAAATGCTACAAGGCATTTCAAATATGTAACACAATAATGCAAATGTTAAATCTTCAGTAGAGAGATAGACTTACTTATATATTCTATTAAGTAATCAAACCCCCTTCCTTATCTTTTTACAGTTTTATCGAGGTATAATTGACATGTAATAAAGTGACATATGCATACACTTACAAAACCTTTGCCACAGTCAATTTAATAAATGTATCCATCACCCCCAAAGTTTCCTTCTACCCACTTAGAATCCCTACATCCCACCCTTCTAGCCCTCACATCCCTGGGCCATAATTGATCTCCTTTCTGACATTTTAATTTGTATTTTCTAGAATATTATATAGATGGAATTATTTGGTATGTTTTCATTCATATCTGGCTTCTTTCACTCAGCATAACTATTTGGAGACTCATCTATGTTTGTATGTGGATCAATAGTTCTTTCCTATTTAGTGCTGTGTAGTATTTTATTGTATGGGTAGTTCACAAATCTTTATTCACATGTTGATGGACATTTGGGTACTTTCCAGATTTAGATTATTTTTAAAAGGCAAAAATTTTCAAATTTTTAAAATATTTTTATATAGATGTATACTTTCATTTCTCATAAGTGGAATGGAATGAATGAGTATATGGTAGGCATAAATTTAATATTTTAAGAAATTTCCAAACTATTTTCCAAAGTTATTTTAGCAGTTTACATCAGCAAAGCATGAGAGTTCCAGTTGTTCCATGTTCTTGCCAATACTTGGCATCATTCGTCTGTATGATTTTAGATGCCATCATAGGTATATAGGGGCATCTCACTCTGGTTTTAACTTGCATTTACCTAATGACAAATTATGTTAAGCACCTTTTTATGTGCTCATTTGCTATCTGATAAGGTTTGGATATTTGTTCCGTCCAAATTCCATGTTGAAATGTAATGGTGGGGCCTGGTAGGAGGTGTTAGAATCATGAGGCAGATCCCTTATGAATGGCTTACATCATCCCCTTGGTGATGAGTGAGTGGTAGCCATGGCAGTTCACATGAGATCCAGTTGTTTAGAAGAGTGTGACACCTGCCCATACCCCCTTGCTCTCCCTCTTGCAGTATAATACCTGGGTCCCACTTTGCTTTCTGCTATGAGTAAAAGCTCCCTGAAGCCTCACCAGAAGCTGATCAGATGCTAATGTTATGCTTTCTGTACAGCCTGAAGAACCATGAGCCAAATAAACCTCTTTTCTTTATAAATTACTCAGCCTCAGATGTTTCCTTATAGCAATAAAAAGCAGCCTGATACACTACCCATACATTTTAAACATTTTAAAATTGACAAATAAAATTGTATATATTTATCACATACAATATGATATTTTGAAATATATATCCATTATGGAGTGTATAATTGAGCCATTTATCTTCTTTAATGAAGTATCTTCAACTTTTTTGCTGTTTTTTATTGTAATATGTGTTTACTTATTGAGGTTTAAGAGTTATTTATATATTCTGCATTCAAGTCCTTTTTCTTTCAGATATGTGATTTGATAATATTTCCTCCAAGCCTGTGGCTTGTCTTGCCTTTTCATTCTCTTAATAGTGTCTTTTGAAGAACAGAAATTTTTAATTATAATAAAGTTCTATTCATCAATTTTTTTCTTTTATTGATTGTGCTTTCGATATGATAGATAAAACACCCCTTCTCTAAACACATAGTTCTCAACCATGGGAAATGTTTCCATCCACAGAACATTGGCAACGTCTGCAGACACTTTTGGTGTCACAAGAGGGACACGATAGGCATCTTGTGGGGGGAGGCCATTAATACCAATAAATGTGCTATGACACACAGGGCGGCCTCCTGCAATAAAGAATTACACAATTCAATAGTGAGGCATTTGAGAAACTTTGACCTAACTCAAAGTTATAAAAAATCTTATTTTATGTTTTCTTTTAAAAGTTTCATATTTTTAGGTTTTATATTTATGTCTGTAATGTATTTTGAGTAAAATTTTGTTTATTTTTAGAGATATGAATTGGAGTTTATATTTTTGCAAATAGATATCCAATGTTTTCAACACTATTAATAGAAGAACTATAGTGTCTCTGCCGAATTACCTACGAATCTTTGTTGAAAATCAGTTGACCATATGGGGACTGGTCTATATCTGGACTCTATTCTGTCCCTTTGATCTACATGTTTATCTTGACACAAAATTGTGATTGCTGAAGATTACAGTAAGTCTTGAAATTGATAATGTAAGTTATTCTTTTCAAAGCACTTTGGCTATTTATCCCTACGGATTTTATATTTCTCAATGCTAATGTATGTTTGTGTTATTTCTTTGATTTCTTTTTTTTTTTTTTTTTTACTGTGGTAAAAGTTACCAAATTATAAAGACCATCAACACTATGAAGAAACTGGATCAACTAATGGGCAAATAACCAGCTAGCATCATAATGACAGGATCAAATTCACACATAACAATATTAACCTTAAATGTAAATGGCTAAATGCCCCAATTAAAAGACACAGACTAGCAAATTTGATAGAGTCAAGACCCATCTGTGTGCTGTATTCAGGAGACCCATCTCATGTGCAAAGACATAAATAGGCTCAAAATAATGGGATGGAGGAATATGTACCAAGCAAATGGAAAGAAAAAAAAGGCAGAGGTTGCAATCCTAGTCTCTGATAAAACAGATTTTAAACGAACAAAGATCAAAAAAGACAAAGAAGGGCATTATGTAATGGTAAACGGATCAATGCAACAAGAAGAGCTAACTCTCCTAAATATATACACACCCAATACAGGAGCACCCAGATTCATAAAGCAAGTTCTTAGAGACCTACAAAGAGACTTAGACTCCCAAACAATAATAGTGGGAGAGTTTAACACTCCACTGTCAATATTAGATAGATCAACAAGACAGAAAGTTAACAAGGATATTCAGGACTTGAACTCAGCTCTGGACCAAGCAGACCTAATAGATATCTACAGAACTCTCCACCCCATATCAACAGAATATACATTCTTCTCAGCACCACATCACACTTATTCTAAAATTGACCACATAATTAGAAGTACACTCCTCAGCAAATGCAAAACAATGGAAATCATAACAGTCTCTCAGACCACAGTGCAATCAAATTAGAACTCAGGATTAAGAAACTCACTCAAAACTGCACAACTACATGGAAACTGAACAACTTGCTCCTGAATGACTACTGGGTAAATAACAAAATTAAGGTAGAAATAAAGAAGTTCTTTGAAACCAGTGAGAACAAAGACACAACATATCAGAATCACAGGGACACAGCTAAAGCAGTGTTTAGAGGGAAATTTATAGCACTAAATGCCCACAGAAGAAAGTGGGAAAGATCTAAAATCGATACCCTAACATCACAATTAAAAGAACTAGAGAAGCAAGAGCAAACAAATTCAAAAGCTAGCAGAAGACAAAAAATAACTAAAGTCAGAGCAGAACTGAAGGAGATAGAGACATGAAAAAACCTTCAAAACATCCGTGAATCCAGGAGCTGGTTTTTTGAAAAGATTAATGAAATACATAGACCTCTAGCCAGACTAATAAATAAGAAAAGAGAGGAGAATCAAATAGACACAATAAAAAAAAGATAAAGGGGAGATCACCACTGATCCCACAGAAATACAAACTACCATGAGAGAATACTATAAACACCTTTATGCAAATAAACTAGAAAATCTAGAAGAAATGGATACATTTCTGGACACATACACCCTCCCAAGACTAAACCAGGAAGAAGTAGAATCCCTGAGTAGACCAATAACAAGTTCTGAAATTGAGGCAGTAATTGAGAGCCTACCAACCAAAAACAGCCCAGGACCAGACAGATTCACAGCCAAATTCTACCAGAGGTACAAAGAGGAGCTGGAACCATTCCTTCTGAAACTATTCCAAACAATAGAAAAAGAGGGACTTTGCCCTAACTTATTTTATGAGACCAGCATCATCCTGATACCAAAACCTGGCAGAGACACAGCAAAAAGAGAAAATTTCAGGCCAATATCCCTGATGAACATCAATGCAAAAATCCTCAATAAAATACTGGCAAACCAAATCCAGCAGCACATCAGTCAAGTCGAAAACAATCAAGTCAGCTTCATCCCTGGGATGCAAGGTTGATTCAACATATGCAAATCAATAAATGTAATACATCACATAAACAGAACCAATGACAAAAACCACATGATTATCTCAATAGATGCAGAAAAGGCCTTGGTAATAACAGCTATTTATGACAAACCCACAGCCAATATCATGCTGAATGGGCAAAAGCTGGAAGCATTCCCTTTAAACACCAGCACAAGACAAGGATGCCCTCTCTCACCACTACTATTCGACATAATATTGGAAGTTCTGGCCAGTGAATTCAGGCAAGAGAAAGAAATAAATGGTACTCAAATAGGAAGAAAGACAGTCAAATTTTCTCTGTTTGCAGATAACATGAATGTATATTTAGAAAACTCCACCATCTCAGCCCAAAATCTCCTTAAGCTGATAAATAACTTCAGCAAAGTCTCAGGATACAAAATCAATGTTCAAAAATCACAGGCATTCCTATACACCAATAATAGACAAACAGAGAGCCAAATCATGAGTGAATTGCCATTCACAATTGTCATTCACAATTGAATAAAATACCTAGGAATACAACTTAAAAGGGATACGAAGGACCTTTTCAAGGAGAACTACAAACCACTGCTCAAGGAAATAAGAGAGGACCCAAACAAATGGAAAAAAACATTCCATGCTCATGGATTGGAAAAACCAATATCGTGAAAATGGCTGTACTGCCCAAAATAATTTATAGATTCAATGCTATCTCCATCAAGCTACCATTGACTTTCTTCACAGAATTAGAAAAAACTACTTTAAATTTCATGTGGAACCAAAAAAGAGCCCGTATAGCCAAGACAATCCTAAGCAAAAAGAACAAAGCAGGAGTCATCATTCTACCTGACTTCTAACTATACTACAAGGCTACAATAACCAAAAGAGCATGGTACTGGTACCAAAACAGATATATAGAACAAAGGAACAGAACAGAGGCCTCAGAGGTAACACCACACATCTAGAGCCATCTGATCTTTGATAAATCTCACAAAAACAAGCAATGGGGAAATTATTCCCTATTTAATAGTGGTGGGAAAACTGGCTAGCCATATGCAGAAAACTGAAATTGGACCCCTTCCTTATACCTTATATAAAAATTAACTCAAGATGGAATAAAGACTTAAACATAATACCTAAAACCATAAAAACTCTAGAAAAAAACCTAGGCAGTAGTACTCAGGACATAGGCGTGGGGAAAGACTTCATGACTAAAACACCAAAATCAATGGCAACAAAAGCCAAAATTGACAAATGGGATCCCATTAAACTAAAGAGCTTCTGCATAGCGAAAGAAGCTATCATCAGAGTGAACAGGCAACCTACAGAATGGGAGAAAAGTTTTGCAATCTATCCATCTGACAAAGGGCTAATATCCAGAATCTACAAAGAACTTAAACAAATTTACAAGAAAAAAACAAACAACGCCTTCAAAAATGTCCGAAGGATATGAACAGACACTTCTCAAAAGAAGACATTTATGTGGCCAACTGACATGAAAAAAAGCTCATCATCGCTGATCATTAGAGAAATATAAATCAAAACCACAATGAGATACCATCTCATGCCATTTAGAATGGCAATCATTAAAATGTCAGGAAACAACAGATGCTGGAGAGGGTGTAGAGAAAAAAGAATGCTTTACACTGTTGGTGGGAGTGTAAATTAGTTCAACCATTGGGGAAGACAGTGTGGCAATTCCTCAAGGATCTAGAACTAGAAATACCATTTGACCCAGTGATCCCATTGCTGGGTACATACCCAAATGATTAGAAATCATTCTACTATAAAGACATGTGCACATGTATGTTTATTGCAGCACTATTCACAATAGCAAAGACTTGGAACCAACCCAAATGCCCATCAAGGATAGACTGGATAAAGAAAATATGGCACATATACACCATGGAATGCTACACAGCCATAGAAAAGGGGGAGTTCACGTCCTTTGCAACATGGATGAAGCTGGAAACCATCATTCTCAGCAAGCTAACAGAGGAACAGAAAACCAAACACTGTATGTTCTTATTCCTAAGTAGGAGTTGAACAATGAGAACACATGGACACAGAGAGGGGAACATCACATACAGAGGCCAGTCAAGGGGTTGGGGGTTGGGGGAGGAATAGCATTAGGTGGAATACCTAATGTAGGTGACAGGTTGATGGGTGCAGCAAACCACCATGGCATATGTATAGCTATGCAACAAACCTGTATGTTCTGCACATGTATCCCAGAACTTAAAGTATGTAAAAAAAAAGATACATAACTTAAAGTTTACTGTTTTCACCATTTTAAGTGTACAGTACAGTGACATTAAGTACATTCACATTGTTGGGCAACCGTTACCACCACTCATCTCCAGAACATTTTTCATCTTCCCAAAATGAATATCTGTATCCATAAAGCAATAACTCCCCATTCCCTCCCTGACCCAGCCCCTAATAACTACCTTTCTACACTGTATCTCTATGAATTTATCTATGTCAGGTACCTCATATAATATTTATCTCACACATATGTAATGCTTCTCAAATTTGCATGTCATTCTGGTGCATTCTAGTCTACTCTGTATTATTCCAATATTAGTAGGTGTACTGTCAAAGTGAGCAGTGTTTTTATTTTTTTAGAAAATTTCTTATCAGTCATTGCTAGTCTATAGAAACATAATTGATCTTTGTCTATCCACCGTGTATCCTGTATAATTCAGTATTTGCTATTATTGTACATAGTGAATTACAGGACGCATATCTTGTGTCCTGTATCATTCACTGTTTTCTTAACACTTAATAAAATGACCATATTTCTCCATTGAATTACTTACACATCTTTGTTGAAAATCAATTCACTATTCATTCTTATAGGCTGTTTTTGTAGAGTCCATCAAATTCTCTACATATATGATTAAATCATGAGAAAAATATTATACTTCATGCTTTCCAAAAGGAATGTCTTTCATTTGCTTTTCTTGTCTAATTGCATTGGCTAGAACTCCCTTACAATGTTGAATACAGGTTCAGGGCTATAAGTGCAGGTTTGTTATATAGGTAAACTTATGCCATGGAGTTTGTTGTACAGATTATTTTGTCACCCACATAACTAAGCCTAGTACCCAACAGTTATTGTTTTCAGATCCTCTCCCTCATTCCACCCTTCATCCTCAAGTAGGCCCCAGTGTCTATTGTTCTCTTCTTTATGTTCATGAGTTCTCATTATTTAGCTCTCACTTATAAGTGAGAACATATGGTATTTGGTTTTCTGTTCCTGTGTTTGATTGCTAAGGATAATGGCCTCTAGCTCCATCTATGTTTTCACAGAAAAACATTATCTCATTGTTTTTTAGTGTTGCATGGTATTCCATAGTGTAAATGTATCACATTTTCTTTATCCAATCTGTCATTGATGGGCATTTAGATTGATTTCATGTCTTTGCTATTGTGAACAGTGCTGCAATAAACACACATGTGCAACCCTAATTTCAGACAAAAGAGACTTTAAAGCAAAAAAGATAAAAAAAAGACATAAAAGGGCATTACACAATGGTAAAAGGCTCAATTCAAGAAGCGCTAACTATACTAAATATATACGGACCCAATACAGAAGCACTCAGATCCATAAAGCAAGTGCTTAGAGATCTTCAAAGAAACTTAGACTCCCACACAAGTGGGAGACTTTAACACCCCACTGACAATATTATACAGATCATCAAGACAGAAAATTAACAAAGATATTCAGGACCTGAACTCAGCTCTGGATCAAGTGGTCCTGATAGATATTTACAGAACTGTCCACCCCAAACCAACAGAATATACATTTATTCTTCTCATTGCCACATGTCACTTACTCTAAAATTGATCACATAATCACATGTAAAACACACATCAGCAAATGCAAAAGAACTGAAATCATAACACTCTCTCAGACCACAGCACAATCAAATTAGAACTCAAGATTAAACTATTATTGACATTCCTCAAAGTTAGAAAAAACTATTTTAAAATTCATATGGAACAAAAAACAGCGTGAATAGCCAAGATGATCCCAAGCAAAAAGAACAAATCTGGAGGCATCATGATCCCCAACTTCAAACTGTATTACAAGGCTACAGTAACCAAAACAGCATGGTGCAAGAACAGATGTATAGATTATTGGAACACAATAGAGAATTCAGAAATAAGATTGCACACCTACATCCATTTGACCTTCACAAACCTGACAAAAACAAGCAATAGAGAAAAGATTCCCTATTTAATAAAGTGTGCAGGGAAAACTGGCTTACCCATATTCAGAAAATCAAAACTGGACTCCTTTTTTATATCAAATACAAAAATTAACTCTGGATGGATTAAAGACTTAAATGTAAAATCCAAAACTATAAAAACCCTAGAAGAAAATCTAGGCAATACCATTCAGGACATATGCACAGGAAAGATTTCATGATGAAAACACCAAAAGCAATAGAAAGAAAAGCAAAAATTGACAAATGGGATCTAATAAACTAAAGGGCTTCTGCAAAACACAAACTATCATCAGAGTGATTGGACAACCTACAGAAAAAGAGAAAATTTTTGCAATCTATCCATCTGACAAAGGTCTAATATCCAGAGTCTACAAGGAACTTAAACAAATTTATAAGAAAGAAACAACCCCATTAAAAAGTGGGAAAAGAACATGAACAGACACATCTCAAAAGAAGACATACATGCAGCCAACATACATATAAAAAAAAGCTCATCATCACTGATCATTAGAGAAATGCAAATCAAAACCACAATGAGATACCATCTAATACCAGTCAGAATGGTAATTATTAAAAAGTCCTTAAACAACAGGTGCTGGTGATGTCACAAAAAGAGAATGCTTTTACACTCTTGGTGATAGTGTAAATTAGTTCAACCATTGTGAAAGACAGTGTGCAATTCCCCAAATACCTAAAGGCAGAAATACCATTTGACCCAGAAATCCTATTAGTAAGTATATAGTCAAATGAATATAAATCATTCTATTACAAAGATACATGCATGTGTGTATTCATTGCAGTAGCAAAGAAATAGAATCAACTTAAATGCCCATCAATGGTAGACTGAATAAAGAAAATGTGGTACATATACATCATGGAATACTATGCAGTTATAGAAGGATATAAGATCATGCCCTTTGCAGGGACTTGGATGAAGTTAGAAGCCATTGTCCTCAGCAAACTAACACAGAAACAGAAAACCAAATACTGGATGTTCTCACTTATAAGTGTGAGCTGAATGATGAGAACACATGGACACACTGAAGGGAACAACACACACTGGATCCTGTCGAAGGGGGAGATTGGGGAGGCAGAGCATCAGGAAGAATAGCTAATGGATGCTGGGCTTATACCTAGGGATGGGATGATCTGTGCAGCAAACCACCATGGAACATGTTTACCTATGTAACAAACCTGCACATCCTGCACATGTATCCTTGAACTTAAAATAAAAGTTGAAGAAAAAATAATTAGAAATTAAAAAGTCAAGACTTTAAAAATAGCTCAAAACTATGCAATTACATGGAAATTAAACACCCTGCCCCTGAATGACTTTTTGGTAAATAATGAAATTAAGGCAGAGATCAGGAAGTTCTTTGAAACTAATAAAAACCAAGATCCAACATACCAGAATCTCTGGGATACAGCTAAGGCAGTGTTAAGAGGGAAATTTATAGCACTAAATGCCCATATCAAAAAGTTAGAAAGATGTCAAATTAACAACCTAACATCACTACTGAAAGAACTAGAGAAGCAAGAGGAAACCAACACCATAGCTAGCAGAAGACAAGAAATGACCAAAATGAGAGCTGAACTGAAGGAAATTGAGACATGAGAAACCGTTCTAAAGATCAACAAATCCAGGAGTTGTTTTGAAAAATTTAATAAGATAGACAGTCTGCTAGCTAGACTAATAATAAAGAAAAGGAAGAAGATCCTAAAAAAAACCACAACTAGAAATGACAAAGAAGATATTAGCACTGACCCCAGAGAAATAAGAATAACCATCAGAAACTACTATGTACACTTCTATACACACAAACTAGAAAACCTAGAAGAGATGGATAAATTCCTGAACACGTACACCCTCCCAAACTGAGCCAGGAAGAAATTGATTTCCTGAACAGACCAATAAAGAGCTTTGAAATTGAATCAGGAAGAAATAGCCTGCCAACAAAATAAAGATCAGGACCAGATGGATTCATAGCTGAATTCTACCAGACATACAAAGACGAGCTGGTACCATTCTTACTGAAACTATTCCAAAGAATTGTGGAGGAGGGGCTCCTCCCAACTCATTCTGTGTGGCTAGCATCATCCTGATACCAAAACCTGGCAAATACACAACAAGAAAGAAAACTTCAGGCCAATATTCTTGATGAACATTGATGCAAAAATTCTCAACAAAATACCTGTAAACCAAACCCAGCAGCATCAAAAAGCTAATCCACCATGATCAAGTAGGCTTCATCCCTAGAATGAAAGGTTGGTTCAACATATGCAAATCAAACAATGCAATTCATCACATAAACAAAATTAAAGACAAAAACCACATGGTTATCTCAACAGATGCAGAAAAGCCTTTTGATAAAATTAAACAACACTTCATCTTAAAAACTCTCAGTAAAGCAGGTATTGAAGGAACACACCTCAAAATAATAAGAGCCATCTATGACAAAACCACAGCCAACATCATACTGAATAGGCAAAAGTTGGACATATTCCCCTTGAAAACGGGCAGGAGACAAAGATGCCCTATCTCACCACTCTTATTCAACATAGTATTGGAAGCCCAGCTAGAGCAATCAGTCAAGAGAAATAAAGTGCAACCAGGTAGGAAGAGAGGAAGTCAAACTACACCTGTTTGCAAATGACATGATTCTATATCCAGAAAACCCTACCAACTCGGCCCAAAAGATCCTTCAGTTGATAAACAACTTCAGCAAAGTTTCAAGATACAAAATCAATATATAAAGATTACTAGCATTCCTGTACATCAACAATAGACAAGCCAAGAGCCAAATCAGGAAGGCAGTCCCGTTCACAATTGCCACAAAAAGAATAAAATTCCTATTATTTTACTAATTATTGATCCAGAGAAGTTAAATCTTTGACTGTATTTTTGGATTTTACTATTTCTCTTTGCAATTCCAACAGGCTTTTTAAAATATGTTTAAAACTCTGTTAACATTTAGGGTTGTTATTTCCTCTTGGTAAATTGATTTCTGTAGCATTATGAATTGACCTTATTTATCCCAGATGATAGGTTCTGTTTTAATAATCTGTTTTGTTTTAAACAAATGTAGCTAATGCAGATTTCTCTTAATAAATATTTATGTAGCATATATTTTAAATAATTTTATTTTAACTCATTTATGTCTTTATATTTAAAGTGGATTTCTTGTAGACAGCACATGGCTCAGTCTTTCTTTTTAACCCAATCTGACAATCTGTTTTTAATTGGGGTATACAGACCATTTAAGTGTAATGTGATTACTTATATGGTTGGATTTAAAGCCATCCATCTTGCTATTTCATTGCTGTTTTTTTTCTTTTTCCCTCTTTTCTTCATTCCTTAGATGACTTGAGCTTTTTATTTAATGATAATATTTAATTATCTAAGCTGACTTTTCAATTATTGTAACCTTTTGTTGTGTTATGTTAGTGGTTGCTTCATACTTTGATATATATCAAATCATATACCAGTTCATATATAATTTAATAACATTACAACAGTATACTTCCTTTACTCCTTGTTGGGACTTTATGCTACCATTGTCATATATTTTAATTCTATACATTTTATAAACTTCACATTATATTGCTATTATTTTTTGTTATACAAGTATTAAAATATGTTAAATTAAAGAAAGGATTTTTTTCTATTTAATCATGACATTACTGTTTTCCAGTGCTCTTCATTTGTTTGTGTACCTTCAGTTTTCCACCTGGTATCATATTTCTCCTGTTTGAAGGACTTCCCTCCACATTTCTTTAGAGATAGTCAACTGGTAATGAATATGTTCTGCCTCTGTATTTCTGAAAGATTATTTTATTGTCATGTTTGTAAAGTATTTTTGCTCCAAAATGGATTCTATGTTAACAGTTTTTATATTCAGTATCCTAAATATGTTGCTCCGTTGCCTTTTTGTTTGCATTTTTTCAATGAGAAATCTGTTTTTATCCTCTTTTGTATTCTTCTGAACATAATGTATCCTTCCTCTGGCTACTTTTAAGATTTTCCTCCTTATCACTGGTTTTAACTAATATGATGATGACAAGTTTGGTGTGGTTTTATTCTTGTTTTATTGCGATAGGGTTTACTGTATTTTGGGGTCTGCAGGTATGTAGTTTTAATCACATTTTAAAACTTAGCCATTGTTTATTCAAATATTACTCTGAACTCCCTCATGCTTCTTCAGGGACTCCATATTCATATCTATTAGGCTGATAAAGCTGTCCCACAATGCAATGAAGTTCTATTTAAAGTTTTTGTTCCTTTTTTTGTTCTTTCCCTTTTGAGTACATTCTATTACTATATTTTCAAGTTTGCTAATATTTGTGTTGCTACATCTAATGTGTCATTAATCCTATTCAAAGTATTTTTCATGTCAGATACTGTAGTTAACTCTAACAATTGGCTGCAGGGTATTTTGATATCTTTCATAGCTCTGATTAACATATTCAAAATTTGTCTAGCTTCTTAAATACATGAAACAGTAATAATTATTTTAATATTCTTATCTATTAATTCTCTCATCCATATCAATTCTGGTTTAGATATGATTGTTTAATTTTCCTCCTCATCATGGACAATGCTTTATTGTATCTTTCTATGTCTAAAAGCTTTTAGTTGGATAAAAGATATTGTGTGTGGGATTAAAAAAATCTGTGTATATATTACAGCTTTGTTTGGGAGGCAGTTAAGCTACTTAGCAAAAGTGTGATCTTCTCTGGCTTTTCTGCTATGCCGTGTCATGAAGAATCAGTGCAGCATTTAGTCTAAGGTTAATTATTCCCACTACTGAAGCAAAACCTCTGAGATGACTCTATCCAATGCAATATGAGTCATGAGGTTTAGAAAACACTGTCCACTCTGGTACTCTCACCTGTAGACTCAAGCTGCCTTGTCCTTGCCAGACTCTCAGCTATATCTTTTCAGCTAAAAGTGACCTCCTAGCTCAGCCTGAGTTTCCCATCATGTGCTGCAGCATTGAAAGTTTCCTTAGCTGATATAAACAGACACGTCTCAAAAGAAGACATTTATGCAGCTGACAAACATATTTAAAGAAGCTCATCACCACTGGTCATTAGAGAAATGCAAATCCAAACCAAAATGAGATCCATCTCACACCAGTTAGAATGGTGATCATTAAAAAGTCAGGAAACAACAGATATTGGAGAGGATGTGGAGAAATAGGAACGCTTTTACACTGATGGTGGGAGTGTAAATTAGTTCAACCATTGTGGAAGACAGTGTGACGATTCCTCAAGGATCTAGAACTAGAAATACCATTTGACCTAGCAATCCCATTACTGGGTATATACCCAAAGGATTATAAATCATTCTACTGGAAAGACACATGCACACATAAGTTTATTGTGGCACTGTTCACAATAGCAAATACTTGGAACCAACCCAAATGCCCATCAATGATAGATTGGATAAAGAAAATGTGGCACATATACACCATGGAATACTATGCAGCCATAAAAAAGGATGAGTTCATATCCTTTGCAGGGACATGGATGAAGCTGGAAACCATCATTCTCAGCAAACTAACAAACACAAGAACAGAAAACCAAACACTGCATGTTCTCACTCATAAGTGGAGTTGAACAATGAAAACAAATGGACACAGGGAGGGGAACATCACACACTGGGGCCTGTTGGGGGGTGGGGGGCGGGGGCTGGGGGAGGGATAGCATTAGGAGAAATACCTAATGTAGTTGACGAGTTGATGGGTGCAGCAAACCACCACAGCACCTGTATACCTATGTAACAAACCTGCAAGTTCTGCACATGTACCCCAGAACTTAAAGTATAATAATAAAAATTTAAAAAAAAGAAAGAAAGTTACCTTAGCCAATACTCTGGAGTAGTTGTGTGGCTAACCTCTTTTGTTTCCTGTCTCTTGGAGATTTTGTGACCTGATTGCCAATATCTTGAGAATTATCATTTCTTATATTTTGTCTGTTTTTCTAGTTTAAAAGTTGCTTCAGGCAGGAGGGTAAATTTAGTCCCTGGTATTCCACCTAGGTCAGAAGTGGAAGTCTTCTTACCTAAAAATCTTAATATTCCATGTAACAGACCAAACTAAACATTCCATTGGATAAAACATTGGCTCCTAAAAAAATGCTCCTTTAATGTCCATTATCATAGAATGCATAGGAGCTGAGAGCAAAACAGTATTGATAAGGCCTTTAAACATCATGGGTGTTTATGAAGCTCTTCTTACATAAATGTATTAACTTAATAAATACCCATGAGTAACATAAGTTACATCACATTTTAATGAATAAATCTTATTTTTCAGTATTGATACTATAGAAAGACACTCCTACATGTGTTTATAATGAAAATATATAGAATAAAATTTATACCAACATGAATAATAAATTTAAATTTAGCTTAATGATTTTTTTGTAATGTGAGCTGAAATTTTAGATGATCTAAATTTTGCTAAGATCAAGAGAATGTTTAGAAAGATAATAGGCACACATAGATTTCTTACAAGTATCAAAAAACTGAAAATCTTAAAAAGTAAAATATTTTAGGAACTTATAGTAATGTATAAAATATAAAAAAGAAACATAATTTTAAGAATTTGATTTACAAATTTTGATTTTAAACATGCAATACAAAAAAGAACTCTAATGTCTATTCTTTGTAACTCTAGAAGTCCCTGTAGACATTAAAAATAAATAATTAAAAAATAATATTTGCAATATATTGCTGAATCTTCAGTAATTAAATCAGATAATTATCTTTGGTTTAGCTTCTATTAACAACAAATATGAGTTATACAGTTAGAGTATTTTTACGATCTTGGATATCTTCATTGATCTACATTACTAGATTTCATCTCACTATAAATTACTATGGCAAATGCAGCTCAGGAAGATCATACCTTTATACTTGACTTCATTATTTTCTAACAACTTATAAAATCAACCACAATTACAGAAATTACAAAATTGTCAGTTATAATCTCTTTTAATTATCTTTTTTAGTTAATGTTTTCTCTTTTAATTACCCCTTTTAGTTGGTAGCATTCCACTTACATAACTGAAAACTAAAATTTAGACAATTTAAAAATTGTGTTCCAGGTCATACACCTATTAATTATTTGAACAGTTATTAATATGGTTTCTCTGTGTCCCCACCCAAATCTCATCTTAAATAGTAGCTCCCATAATCCCCACATGTCATGGGAGGGACCCAGTGGGAGGTAATAGAATTATGGACGTGGGTTTTCCTGTGCTGTTCTTGTGATAAAAAATAAGTCTCACAAGATCTGATGGTTTTATAAAGTGCAGTTCCCCTGCACACACTCTCTTGCCTGCTGCCATGTAAGACATGCCTTTGCTCCTCCTTTGCCTTCCTCCATGATTGTGAGGCCTCCCCAGTCATGTGGAACTGTGAGTCGATTAAACCTCTCTTTCCTTTATAAATTACCCAGTCTAATGTATGTCTTTATTAGCAGCATGAGAATAGACTAAGACAGCTATATAAACCTAGTTCTTTTGTCCAAGATGCCAGGTATGTTTCTTCTAAGGCATTGATTGAGTTCCCCATTTTCAAAAAAATTATGCATCTTTATCAATATAAAAGTATTGCAAGAAACCTATTTTATGCATTCCATTATAAGTATATATACCAATATATTCATGTATTATGTTATTATAAGATATACAAAATAAAATTAAAACAAATGTGACAAAAATAAAAATTTTTAAATTTCTTATATAGCATCTTTCCTCCAAAGTAGATTTTCCTGCATAATCCGTAGAGTACAAGTTTCTCATTTGGTCGACCACTGCTTAGGAATGAAGGAGCCAGCACTTGTTCAATGTGCCTCATTGGGGTTGTGCTGTTACATTAATTATTTCATGTCACCCTCATAAGAAATCTGTGGGCTAAAATGTATACCATGTTATACATTGTTTATTTCAAATAATAACTTAAACAGCAAAAAGTTATTAGGTAAAAACTGTGATCTACATAAAGTATGGGCATTTATTAATAACAATGTATCAATATTGTTTCATTAATTATGACAAATGTATGATACTAATGTCAGCTCTTAATAATAGAAGGTATCGGTGATGGGCTATATGAGAACCTTCTGTCCTATCTTCACACTTTTCCTGTAAACATAAAACCATTGTAAAGGAAATAAATTTTATCAAACAAAATTAATCAACAACTACCATATGGTTCCTTTAATTACTATATTTCATAAGAAGTCCTAAAAGAAAGAGTGAATAGAAAACAGAAAAATACAGTGTTTCCCTTTTAAACTCCTGGAGGAGGAGGAGGAATGTTTCTAGAATGCAGAGTATATGTAAAAGCACAAAATCTCAAAATAAGAAAGATGAAAATGTTTTATATAAAGCACAAAGAAAAAAAATTAAGTGTGTGGATAATTGAGAATCCTAATGAAGCATGCAAAGGAAGTATACCTTAACAAATGATAAAATTGCATGAGCAAAGTATTTTCTGACTTATAAATTGATCTTGAAAGTACTTATCAGATATCTTTATTGTGTGCCAGTTACACATACAAAGGTCAACAGCTAGAAATATCAAACAAAGATCTTGGATTACATAATGAAGAAGTTAAAACTCTATAAAAATCCAAGCATAAAATAGACTTTGAAAAATATACAATTAAATTAAAGAGAAATAGAAATGTAAAACAGGCTTCTTTTTTAAAATACCAAATATTTTGAAACCCCAGAATTCAGTAATCACTCAAGTAGTCTACATGTAAAGTAAATAAATATGTTTACGAATATATCTTTCTGAGAAAGAAAAAATAATGTTATTATGCACAAAAGTATAATTTCAGTTTTTAAGAGAACAAAATAGACAAATAATGAAGTAGACATCAAAAGCAGTTTTGAATCAGTTTAATATGAATAATTTTTATAGGTATAATAGTAGTCTTATTTACAAATTTGTCACAAATTATGGAAAACAATATTTTCAATATTGTGAAAAATTAATAGTGTATAAAATTTTAAATTATATCAATAGTTATAAAAGAGTAAAGGACTGCAAACTCAATTGTCCTACTTAGCAAGAATTAATAATTTTCTCCTTAATTTGTATAATTACTTAGATGCGGATTAAAGAATGATTTTAAATTACTTTATTTAAAGAATTTTAAGTATTTAAACCAAATTTACAATACATGTAGAAGCTATAAATGAACAGAATATCTTACATAAAAACAAGCAAAACCAAAGTAAATAAAAATAAAACTTTAAAAATCAGTATACAACTAGACAGAACTAAACAAAAGAACTAAACACAACAACTAAACAAAAGACAGAAATAAGGTAATAACACTCAATTTATATTCTATAATTTATTTATTTACTCCAGAAAAGAATATGACCAGCAGTATTTTCTTCATTTTACAGAAGATGAACATAAAACATCAGTGAAGTTAATCTAAAAAAAGTCCATGGTAAATGGCAAATCCAGAATTTGAATATGTGTGCATGTATGTCTAATTTAATCAAAATGCACTGCTGCCAGCCATGACTATTTCTAACTGAAAATTAATGTAAATGGTTACAATTCAAATTTAAATATAAAATAATATAAATTTAAGTTATAACTAAAATTCAGGAGTAAGCTGCATATAAATGATAACCCTAAACAGATAGTGCATTACATTAACACTTTCAAATAAACAAAGACGCAACCCTCATCATATGTCATTAGGGAAAGCAAATTAAAACGAGACTGAGATATCATTATATACTTATCAGAATGGCCGAAGTTCAGAACACAGACAACACCCAATGCTGGTGAGGATGTTGAGTGAAAGGAGCTCTCATTCATTGTTAATGGAAATGCAAAATGGTATTGTTACTTTGCAATATTTCACAAAACAAAACATACTCTTATTATACTATACAGCAATTACACTTGTTGGTATTTACCCAAAGGAGTTGAAAACATACATTTTAAGTTGAAAACATAAGTCCATCCAAAAACCTGCACATAGATATGTATAGCAGTTTTATTCATAATTGCCAAAACTTGGAAGCAACCAAGATGACCCTGAGTAAGTGAATGAATAAATAAGCTGTGGTACATCTGGATAGTGGAATATTATTCAGTGCTTAAAACAAATGAGCTATTAAGCCATGAAAATATATGGAGGGACCTTAAATGCATATCACTACATAATGTATGATTCTGACTATAATAAAACATTGCGGAAAAGGCAAAACTAAGGAAACAGTAGAAAGATCAGTGGTTGTCAAGAGTTAGGGGGAGGAAAGAATGACTTGGTAGAGCACAGGGGATTTTTAGGGCAGTGAAAATACTTTGGATGATAGTATAATGGTGAATATATGTTAGCATATATTTATAAAAACCCATAGAATGTACAAAACCAAGAATGAACCCTAATGTAAATGATGGACTCTGGGTGATAATTACATGTAAATGGAGGTTCATCAGTTGTAACAAATGTTGTATGACTCTGGTTGAGAATGTTGAAAATGGGAGAGGCCATACATGGTGGGACAGGAAGTATATGGGAAATCTGTCTATCTTCTGCTTAACTTTGTTATGAACTTAAAACTTCCAAAAAAGAAAACATCTATTTTTTTAAAAAAAGAAGGGGTTTCCATAGTGATTAAAATAAACTAAAATGGTGCTATAATGTCAATATTGATTCCCCATGTAAAGTAATACTTTCCCCATGTAAAGTAATTCAAAATTATGAAGAATAAGGTATTCTTAATATTTTCTTTTAAA